>NW_012132920.1:0-300000 GCF_000001405.40 Homo sapiens
ACTAACGAACCCATCTGGGCTTGGCGCTTACTGATTTGAAGGTTATTTGTTGTTGTTGTTTTTCCAACTTTGTTGAGATATAATTGGCATTAAAAAAACTGCATATGGCCTGGCATGAGGGCTCATGCCTGTAATCCCAGCAATTTGGGAGGCCGAGGCAGGAGGATTGCTTGAGGCTTGGAGTTTGTGACCAGTGTGGGTAGCATAGTGAGATCCTGTCTTTATTAAAAAAATTTCAAGATAAATTAGCTGGGTGTGATGGCACGCGCCTGTAGTCCCAGCTACTGAGGAGATTGAGGCAGGAAGATTGCTTGAGACCAGGCATTTGAGGCTGCAGTAAGCTATGATCAAACCACTGCAGTCCAGCCTAGGTGACAGAGAGAGACACTGTCTCTAAAAACAAAAAAATCCAAAACAAAAATCTCCCCCAAAAAACTGCATATAAATTTATGCATACAATTTGATGATTCTGGACATATGTATATATTCATGTTGCTATTGCTGTAATCCAGGTAATACACGTATCTGCAACTTTCCCCGTGTCCCCTCTTTTTTTTCTTCATAAGAACACTTAACATGAGATCTACCCTGTTAACAATTGTTTTTACGACACAATATCTTGTTGTTAGCTATGGACAGTCTATTGTACAGCAGATCTCTGGAACTCACCGATCTTGTTTAACTATAACTTTATACCCACTGGATAACAACTCCTTTTTTCTCCTTCATGCCATCCCCAGGTAACCCTCGTTCTGTTGTCTAATTCAACACCTTTGACTATTTTAGATGCTCATATTAGAGGAATCATTAGTATTTCTCTCTCTGTGACTGAATTATTTCACTTAGCGTCATGTCTTCCGGGTCCTTCCACGTTGTGACAAATGGTAAGATTTCCTTCTTTTTAAAGGTTGAGTAACGTTGTGTTGTATGTCTATGTCACATTTTCTTTATCCATTCAGCTGTCTATGAACATTTGGGTTGTTTCTACATCTTGGCTATTGTAAATAATGCTGCAGTGAACACAGGAATGCATAAATATTTTCTCCCATTCTGCGGGGTTGCTTTTCACCCCGCGGATTGTCTCCTTTGCTGTGAAAAAGCTGTTTAGTTTGATGTAATCAAACTTTTCTATTTTTGCTTTTGTTGCTTGTGCTTTTGATGTCATATCCAAGAAGATTATTGCCCTGAACAATGTCCAAAAGCTTTTCCTTGGGTTTATTCTAGTAGTTTTACAGTTTCAGGTCTTACGTTTAAATCTTTAATCTATTTTGAGTTGATTCTCATATATGGTGTGAGATAAGGTCCAATTTCATTATTCTGCATGTTGCTATTCACTTTTCCTGGTACCACTTATTGAGGAGACTATCTTTTTCTGCATTGTGGGTTCTTGGCACACTTGTCAAAGATCAGTTGACCATAGATGTGTGGATTTATTTCTAGGCTCTCTATTCTGTTCCATTGGTCTGTCTGCCTGATTTTTATTCCAGTACAACACTGATTACTGTAGCTTTATAATATATTTTGAAATCAGTAAGTACGATGCCTCCAGCTGTGTTCTTCTTGCTTAATATTGCTTCAGCTATTTGGGATTTCTTGTGGTTCTATATTTTTTGAGATTTTTTTCCTCTTTCTGTAAAAAAATGTTTACCGTATTTTGATAGGGCTTGCACTGAATCTGTAGATTGCTTTGAGTAGTATGGACATCTTACCAATATTAAGTCTTCTAATCCATGAACAAGAGATGTCTTCCCATTTATTTGTATCTGTCTTAATTTCTTTAATCATTGCTTCATAGATTTCAGTGTGCAGTCTTTCACCTCTTTGGTTAGGGTTATTCCTAATATTTTATCTTTTTGGTGCCATTATAATTAGGATTGTCTTCTTTTTTTAATATACTAGTTGGCCACATAGATATCTTCTTTTGAGAAATGTCTATTCATGTCCTTTGCCAATTTTTTAACGGAGTTTTTTGTTTTCTGCCTAATTTAAGTTCCCTACAGAATCTGGATATTAGACCTTTCCCAGATGCATAATTTGCAAATATTTTCTCCCACTATTTACTCTGTTGATAGTTTCTTTTGCTGCAGGATGCTCTTTAGTTTAATTAGGTCCCCATTTGTCTATTTTTGGTTTTGTTTCAATTGCTTTTGGCATCTTTGTCATGAAATCTTAGCCAGGGCCTATGTCCACAATGGTATATCTCAGGTTTTCTTCCAGGGATTTTATATTTTTAGGTTTTTCATTCAAATTTTTAATTCATCTTGAGTTGATTTTTGTGTATGGTGAAAGGAAGGAGTCCAGTTTCAATCTTTTGCCTATGCCTAACCAGTTATCCCAGCATCATTTATTGAATAGGGAGTCCTTTCCCTATTACTTGTTTTTGCTAATTTTGTTAAAGATCAGACGGTTGTAGCTGTGCCGCTTTATCTCTGGGTCCTTTGTTCTGCTCTTTTTTTCTTCGAGTCTATTTTTGTACCAGTATCATGGTGTTTTGGTTTCTACAACCTTGTAGTAAAGTGTGAAGTCAGGTAATAGGATGCCTCCAGCTTTGTTCTTTTTGCTTAGGATTGCTTTGGCTATTCGGGCTCATTTTGGTTCCATATGAGTTTTTAAATAGTTTTGTATAATTCTGTGAATAATGTCATTGGTAGTTTGATAGGAATAGCATTGAGTCTGCAAATTGCTTTGGGCAATATGACAATTTTGACAATATTTATTCTTCCTATCCTTGAGCATGGCATGTTTTTCTATTTGTTTGTGTCATCTCTGATTTCTTTCAGCAATTATTCAGTAATTCAGTAATTATTATTGTAGAGACCTTTCACCTCTGTGGTTAGCTGTATTCTGAGGTATTTTACTTTTTGTGTGTCTATTGTAAATGGCATTGCATTCTTGATTTGGTGTTACTGGTGTAAAGAAATGCTACTGATATTTATACATTGATTTTATATCCTTAAACTTTGGTGAAGTAGTTTATCAGTTCTGGGAGCTTTGGGGCGAAGACTATGGGGTTTGCTAAGTATAAAATCATATTGTTTGCAAGGAGAGATGGTTTGACTACCTCTTTTGCTGTATGGATGCTTTTTATTTCTTTCTCTTGCCTGATTGCTCTGGCTAGGAATTTCAGTACTATGTTGAATAGGAGTGGTGGGAGTGGGCATCCTTGTCTCGTTCTGGTTCCCAAGGGGAAGGCTTGCAGCTTTGGCCCATTCAGTATGATGTTGGCTGTGGGTTTGTCATAGACAGCTCTTACTATTTTGAGGTATGTTCCTTCAATGCCTAGTTTGTTGAGGGCTTTTAACATGAAGGGAGGTTTAATTTTGTCAAAAGACTTTTCTGCATCTATTGAGATGATCATGTGGTTTTTGTCTTTAGTTCTGTTTATGTAATGAATTACATTTATTGATTTGTGTATGTTGAACCAAACTTGCATCCCAGGGATAAAGCCTACTTTATAGTGCTGGATTTGTTTTTTGATGTGCTGCTGAATTCAGTTTACCATTATTTTATTGAGGGATTTTGCATCTATGTTCATCAGGGATATTGGCCTGAAGTTTCCCCTTTTTGTTGTGCCTCCACCAGGTTTTGGTATCGGAATGATGCCAGCTTCATAGAATGAGCTAAGGAGGTGTCTCTCCTCCTCAATTTTTTGGAATAGTTTTAGTAGAATTGGTACCAGCTCTTCTTTATACATCTGGTAGAATCTTTCTGGCCCAGGACCCTCTCTGGTTGGTAGGCTTTTTATTACTGATTCAGTTTCAGAACTTGTTACTGATCTGTTCTGGTTTTAATTTCTTCTGGATTAAATCTTGGGAAGTTGTTTCCGAGAAATTTATCCATTTTTCTAGGTTTTCTAGTTTGTGTGGTAATGTCCCCTTTGTCATTTCTGACTGTGTTTATTTGGATCTTTTCTCTTCTTTCCTTTATTAGTTTAGGCTAGTGGTCTATCGATCTTATTTATTCTTGCAAAAAAACCAACTTTTGGTATCGTTGACCTTTTGTGTGTTTTATTGTGTCTCAATTTCTTTCAGTTTGGCTTTGATTTTTGTTTTCTTTTCTTCTGCTAGCTTTACGGTTAGTTTGCTCTTGTTTTTCTAGTTCCTCTAGGTGTGTTAAGTTGTTCATTTGAGGTCTTTCTAACTTTTTGATGTGGGCACTTAGCACTATAAAGTTTCTTCTTCACACTGCATTAGCTGTTTCCCAGAGATTCTAGTATGTTGTATCTCTGTCTTCATTCGTTTCCAAGAATTTCTTGATTTCTGCCTTAATTTCATTGTTTACCCAAAGTCATTCAGGAGTAGATTGTTTAATTTCCATGTAATTGTATAGTTTTGAGCAATCTTCTAAGTATTGATTTCTATTTTTATTGTGCTGTGGTCTGAGAGTGTGGTTGGTATGATTTTGTGTTTTATGAATTTGTTGAGCATTGTTTTATGGTCGAGCGTGTGGTTGGTTTTTCAGTATGTGCCACCTGCAGATGAGAAGAATGTAATGTATAGTCTGTTGTTGGCTGGAGTGTTCCGTAGATGTCTGTTAGGCCCATTTGGTCAAGTGTCGAGTTCAGGTCTTGAAAATCTTTGTCAGTTTTCTGCCTTGATGATCTAATACTGTCAGTGGAGTGTTGAAGTCTTCCACTATTTTTGTGAGGTTATCTAACAAAATAGGTCTCTAAGAGCTTGTTTTATGAATCCAGTGCTCCAGTGTTGGATGCATGTGTATTTAGGATAGTAAAGTCTTGTGGAAATTAAACCCTTTATCATTAAGTAATGCCTATCTTTGTCTTATTTTATTGTTATTGATTTAAAATCTGTGTTGTCTAAAATTAGAAAAGGAACCCCTGCTCTTTTTTCTTTCCATTTACTTGGTAGGTTTTTCTCTATCCCTTTACTTTAAGCCTATGGGTCTCATTGCATGTGAGGTGGATCCTCTGAAGACAGCATAAAGTTAGGTCTTGTTTCTTTATCCATTTTGCCACTCTGTGTCTTTTAAGTGGAGGATTTAGCCTATTTACATTCAAGGTTAATATTGATATGTGCGATTTGATCCTGCTGTTGTGTTGTTAGCTGGTTGATTGTATAGTTGTTTTATAGCATCAATGGTCTATGTACTTAAGTGTGTTTTTGTGGTGGCCAGTAACAGTGTTTCATTTCCATGTTTCGCACTCCCTTAAGGGCCTCTTGTAAGGCAGGTCTGGTGGCAATGAATTCCCTTAGCATTTGCTTGTCTACAAAGGATCTTATTTCTCCTTCACTCATGAAGCTTAGTCTGGCTGGATATGAAATTCTTCGTTGGAACTTCTTTTCTTTAAGAATGCCAAATATAGGACCCCAATCTCTTCTGGCTTAAGGGTTTCTGCTGAAAGGCCCACTGTCAACCTGATGGGGTTCCCTTTGCAGGTGTCCTGCCCCTTTTCTCTAGCTGCTTTTAATATTTTTTCTTTCATATTGATCTTGGAGAATCTGTTGACTATGTGATTTGGGGATGATTGACTTGTATACTATCTCACAGGAATTCTGTGCATTTCCTGAATTCTAATGTTAACCTTTCTAGTGAGTTTTGGGAATTTTTTAAAAATTTATTTAAGTTCTCAGATACATGTGGAGAACGTGCAGATTTGTTACATAGGTACGCATGTGCCATGGTAGTTTGCTGCACCTATCAACCCCTCATCTAAGTTTTAGGCCCCGCATGCATTAGGTATTTCTCCTAATGCTCTCTCTCCTCTTCCCCGCCGCCCCCGACAGGTCCCGGTGTGTGATGCTCCCTTCCCTCTGTCCATGTGTTCTCATTGTTCAACTCCCATTTATGAGTGAGAACATGCAGTGTTTGGTTTTCTGTTCCTGTGCTAGTTTGCTGAGAATGATGGTTTCCAGCTGCATGCATGTACCTGCAAAGGACATGAACTCATTCTTCTTCATGGCTGCATGATAGTCCATGGTGTGTATGTGCCAGATTTTCTTTATCCAGTCTATCATTGATGGGCATTTGGGTTGGTTCCATGTCTTTGCAATTGTAAATAGTGCTGCAATAAACATACGTGTGCATGTGTCTTTATAGTAGAATGATTTATATTCCTTTGGGTAAATATCCAGTAATGTGACTGCTGGGTCAAATGGTATTTCTCGTTCTAGATCCTCATGGAATTGCCACACTGTCTTCCACAGTGGTTGAACTAATTTACACTCTCACCAACAGTGCAAAAGGTTTCCTATTTCTCCACATCCTCTCCAGCATCTGTTGTTTCCTGAATTTTTAATAATCACCATTCTAACTGGCATGAGATGGTATCTCATTGTGGCATCAAATTTGATGGTATCAAAAAGATTTGCATCAAAACTTGATGATAGCAAAAGATTTGCATTTCTCTAATGACTAGTGATGATGAGTTTTTTTCATATGTTTGTTAGCTGCATAAATGTCTTCTTCTTTAGAGAACTGTCTGTACATATCCTTTGCTTACTTTTTGATGGGATTGTTTGTTTTTTTCTTATACATTTGTTTAAATTCCTTGTAGATTCTGGGTATTGGACCTTTGTCAGATGGGTAGTTTGCAAAAATTTTCTCCCATTCTGTAGGTTGCCTGTTCACTCTGATGATAGTTTCTTTCACTGTGCAGAAACTCTTTAGTTTGATTAGATCCCATTTGTCAATTTTGGCTTTTGTGCAATTGCTTTTGGTGTTTTAGTCATGAAGTCTTTGCCCATGCCTATGTCCTGAATGGTATTGCCTAGGTTTTCTTCTAGGGTTTTTATGGTTTGGGGTTTTACATTTAAGTCTTTAATCCATCTTGAGTTAATTTTTGTATAAGTTGTAAGAATTTGCATATGTTGAACCAGCCTTGCATCCCAGGGATGAAGCTGACTTGATTGTGGTGGATAAGATTTTTGATGTGCTGTTGGATTTTTTTGCCAGTGTTTTATTAAGGATTTTCTCATTGATGTTCATCAGGGATATTGGCCTGAAATTTTGTTTTTTTTGTTGTGTTTCTGACAGCGTTTGGTATCAGGATGATGCTGGCCTCATAAAATAAGTTAGGAGGATTCCCTCTTTTTTGATTGTTTGGAATAGTTTCAGAAGGAATGGTACTAGCTCCTCTTTGTACCTCTGGTAGAATTCGGCAGTGAATCCATCTCCTGGGCTTTTTTTGGTTGGTAGGCTATTAAGTACTGCTTCAATTTCAGAACTTGTTATTGGTTTATTCAGGGATTCGACTTCTTCCTGGTTTAGTCTTGGGAGGGTGTATGTGTCCAGGAATTTATCCATTTCTTCTAGATTTTCTAGTTTATTTGTGTAGAAGTGTTTATAGTATTCTCTGATGATAGTTTGTATTTTTGTGGGATCAGTAGTGATATCCTCTTTATCATTTTTTATTGTGTCTATTTGACACAATAAAATTTATAGATAAATCCATGAAGATGAGGGAAAAACAGCACAAAAAAGCTGAAAATTCCAAAAACCAGAATGCCTCTTCTCCTCCAAATGACTGCAACTCCTCTCCAACAAGGGCACAAAACTGGATGGAGAATGACATTGATGAATTGACAGAAGTAGGCTTCAGAAGGTGGGTAATAACAAACACCTCTGAGCTAAAGGAGCATGTTCTAACCCAATGCAAGGAAGCTGAGAACCTTGACAAAAGGCTACAGGAACTGCTAACTAGAATAGCCAGTTTAGAGAGGAGGATAAATGACCTGATGGAGCCGAAAAACACAGCACAAGAACTTCATGAAGCATACACAAATATCAATAGCCAAATTGATCAAGCAGAAGAAAGGATTCAGAAATCAAAGATCAACTTAGTGAAATAGTCATGAAGACAAGATTAGAGAATGAAGAATGAAAAGGAATGAACAAAGCCTCCAAGAAATATGGGACAATGTGAAAAGACCGAATAGACTAGTATTGATTGGGGGTCCCTGAAAGTGATGGGGAGAATGGAACCACATTGGAAAACACACTTCAGGAGAACTTACCCAACCTAGCAAGACAGGCCAACATTTAAATTCAGGAAATACAGAGAAGTATTGAGGATACTCCTCAAGAAGTGCAACCCCAAGACACATAATCATCAGGTTCTCCAAGGTTCAAACTAAGGAAAAAATGTTAAGGGCAGCCAGAAAGAAAGGTCAAGTTACCTACAAAGTTAAGCCCATCAGACTAACAGTGGATCTTTCTGCAGAAACCCTACAAGCCAGAAAAGAGTGGGGGCCAATATTCAACACTCTTAAAGAAAAGAATTTTCAACCCAGCATTTAATTTAATAGTCAGCCAAACTAAGCTTCATAAGTGAAGGAGAAATAAAATCCTTTACAGACAAGCAAATGCTGAGGGATTTTGTCACCACCAGGCCTGCCTTACAAGAGCTCCTGAAGGAAGCACTAAATATAGAAAGGAAAAACTAGTACCAGCCACTGCAAAAACACACCAAATATAAAACCAATGACACTATGAAGAAACTGCATCAACTAATGTGTGAAATAACCAGCTAGCATCATAATGACAGGATCAAATGCACACATAACAATATTAACCTTAAATGTAAATGGGCTAAATGTCCCAATTAAAAGACACAGACTGGCAAGCTGGATAAAGAGTCAAGACCCATCGGTGTGCTGTATTCAGGAGACCCATTTCACATGCAAAGACACGCATAGGTTCAAAATAAAGGGATGGGGGAATATTTACCAAGCAAATGGAAAGGAAAAAAAAAGCAGGGGTTGCAATCCTAGTCTCTGATAAAACAGACTTTAAACCAACCAAGATAAAAAAAGACAAAGAAGGGCATTACATAATGGTAAAAGGATCAATGCAACAAGAAGAGCTTACTATCCTAAATATATGTGTGCTCAATATAGGAGCACCCAGATTCATAAAACAAGTTCCTAAAGACCTATAAAGAGACTTAGACCCCCAAATAGTAATAGTGGGAGACTTTAACACCCCACTGTCAATATTAGACAGATCAATGAGACAGAAAATTAACAAGGATATTCAGGACTTGAACTCAGATCTGGACCAAGCAGACCTAATCAACATCTACAGAACTCTCCACCCCAAATCAACAGAGTATAAATTTTCTCAGCTGCACATAACATGTTTTCTAAAATCGACTACATAATTGGAAGTAAAACACTCCTCAGCAAATGCAAAAGAATGGAAATCATAACAAACAGTCTCTCATACCACAATGCAATCAAATTAGAATTCAGAATTAAGAAACTCACTCAAAATGGCACAACTACATGGAAATTGAACAACCTGCTCCTGAATGACTACTGGGTAAATAATTAAGTTAAGGGAGAAGTAAAGAAGTTCTTTGAAACCAATGGGAACAAAGAGACAAAGTACCAGAATCTCTGGGACACAGCTAAAGCAGTATTAAGAGAGAAATTTATACCACTAAATGCCCACAAGAGAAAGCTGGAAAGATCTAAAACTGACACCCTAACATCACAATTAAAAGAACTAGAGAGGCAAGAGCAAACAAATTCAAAAGCTAGCAAAAGACAAGAAATAACTAAGATCAGAGCAGAGCTAAAGAAATAGAGACATGAAAAACCCTTCAAAAAATCAATTACTCCAGGAGCTGATTTTTTGAAAAGATTAACAAAATAGATGGACCACTAGCTAGACTAATAAAGAAGAAAAGAGAGAAAAATCAAGTAGACACAATAAAAAAATGATAGTCTTTAATCTTTGAGGCTGATGACCTTTGGATGGGGTTTCTGTGTGCAGCTTCTTTTTGTTGATGTTGATGTTGTTGCTTTCTGATTGTTAGTTTTTCTCTTCTAACAGGCCCCTCTTCTGCAGGTCTGCTGCAGTTTGCTGGAGGTCTACTCCAGACCCTGTTTGCCTGGGTATCACCAGTGGAGGCTGCAGAACAGCAAAGATTGCTGCCTGCTCCTTCCTCTGGAAGCTTCGTCCCAGAGGGGCACCAGCCTGATGCCAGCCGGAGCTCTCCTGTATGTGGTGTCTGTCAGCCTCTACTGGGAGGTGTCTCCCAGTCAGAATACACAGGGGTCAGGGACCCACTTGAGGAGGCAGTCTGTTCTTTAGTAGAGCTTGAGCACTGTGCTGGGAGAATCCTCCTTGTCAGGATCTGCTGCTCTCATCAGAGCCAGCAGGCAGGAACGTTTAAGTCCACTGAAGCTGTGCCCCTGACAGCCGCCCCTTCCCCCAGGTGCTCTGTACCAGGGAGATGGGAGCTTTATCTATAGCCCCCTGGCTGGGGCTGCTGCCTTTCTTTCAGAGATGCCCTGCCCAGTGAGGAGGAATCTAGAGAAGCAGTCTGGCCACAGCTGCTTTGCCATACTGTGGTGAGTTCTGCCCAGTCCAAACTTCCTGGCCTCCTTAGCACTGTCAGGGGAAAACTGCCTACTCAAACCTCAGTAATGGTGGATGCCCCACCCTCTACCAAGCTCAATCATCCCAGGTCAACTTCAGACTGCTGTGCTGGCAGCAAGAATTTCAAGCCAGTGGTTCTTAGCTTGCTGGGGTCCGTGGGGGTGGGAGCTGCTGAGCAAGACCTCTTGGCTTCCTAGCTTCAGGCCCCTTTCTGGAGGAGTGAACGGTTCTGTCTCTCTGGGGTTCCAGGCACCACTGGGGTATGGAAAACAACAACAACAAAAAAACTCCTGCAGCTAGCTCTGTGTCTGCCCTAACAACCATCCAGTTTTGTGCTTGAAACCCAGGGCCCTGGTAGTGTAGGCACATGAGGGAATCTCCTGTTCTGTGGATTGCAAAGACCGTGGGAAAAGCATAGTACCTGGGCTGGATAGCACAGTCCCTCACAGCTTCCCTTGGCTGGGGAGGGAGGTCCCCGGCTGCTTGCACTTCCTGGGGGAGGTGATGCCCCACCCTGATTCTGCTCACCCTCTGTGGGCTGCACCCACTGCCTAAACAGTCTCAATGAGATGAAGTGGGTACCTCAGCTATTCCTATTCAGCCATCTTGCCAAATCTCTCTATTATCTTTTATAGGAAAAAACTTTCTGAAGATGACATCAGACTCAAGAAGCCAAGTAGGAAAAGACTGATAAATCTGAAGATGTAAAAATTAAGATCCTTTACTCAGAAAAAGAAAAGTACAATAAAAAAATAAAAAATAATTTGAGCAAAATATTTGTGATACATGATGAACAATGGTTAAGTGTTCCTAGTAAACAAAGAAGTCATCAATCTGAAACAATCAACAGCAGTAAAAAATAGGATAAGCATCTCACGGAAAAAAGAAATACTAAGAGCAAATAAACACATGAAAACATGCACAACCTCATTCTGAGGAAATGAAAAACAGAACTAATGGCTGACTACAAGATTTAAAAACTGGTGATACACAATGTTGATGAGGATGTGTAAAACAGTCACTCCCATGGATCATTCATTGGAAAATATATCAGAGTAATCCTGTTGGAGGACAATTTTGCAATATCTACACTTAGTAATTTATTGTTCTCACCAAAGTACATGGAGGTGTATTATGGCTTGAGTATATGGAGGCTGTAGAGCCCTCGGAGTATGGAGCCCGATGCCAGGGATCAGATAATAGCTCAGCAACTTCTGAGGTATGTGACTGTGGCAAGCTAAGAGCCTTACCTGGGAAGTGGAGATAAGTATGTTTTTACCTCAAAATGCTGGTGTGAGGATCTGATATATTTATACACTTTAGAGAAATGCTTGGCACTTTGGAACATTAATCTAAAGAAAACATCCAACTGCTCACGAGTAGAGTGCTAAGAAGGAAGAGCTTGGCCTCATAGTTGGATGGCTGCCACGTTCCCTGAAAGTGAATGAAGCAAACCTCTCTCTGACTGGGAGGCTGATGTCTTTACTTCATTAAGTCCTGGGGCATCTCATGTTCCAGGATAGCATCACTTTCCACGTTTCTTCCTTTTTCATGCATAAGAATTTTAGCTAGCGGAGAGTAAGGCAAGTGACCATTTCAAAGACAGGCATTTTACTAAATGGTGGCCACTGAAAGCTTGATTCCTGTGCTGTTTTCTGGTACTTTTTGTCTTAAAGCAGGATTTCTCAACACTGGCACTATTGACATTTTGGGCTGGATAATTCTTTGTTGAGGGGGCTGTGCTGTCCATTGTAGGATGTTTAGCAGCATTCCTGATCTTGATCCACTAAATGCCCCAAGTTCTGACAACCAAAAGTGTTTTCAGATATTGTCAAATGTCCCTTGGGAGTGAAATCACCCTTGGTTGAGGATCACTGGGTTTTAGAGGTTTGGAATGAAAAAAAAAAATGATTCTCCCGTTGGAAGCAGAGACTGTAGTTCAGATTATGAACCAGTTAGATGATTTCCCTTCTTAAGCATGAATTCAGACTGCATTGCCTTTGAAAATTAATGTTTGGGGTGTGTGTGTGTGTGTGTGTGTGTGTGTGTGTGTGTGTGTAAATATTACGGTTAACAGTTATCCACTGGGCCCTAGGATGAATAAGGAAGCATAGCTTCACCTTATTCTCGACAAAGTCCTTAAGAGGGTCCAGATTATGTTCCATCACACTTTCATGCTTCTGAATTCCACTTAAAAAAAATAGACTTATTGGCCAGGTGCGGTGGCTCACACCTATAATCCCAGCACTTTGGGAGGCCAAGGTGGGCAGATCACAAGGTCAGGAGTTCGAGACCAGCCTGGCTAATATGGTGAAACCCCATCTCTACTACAAATACAAAAATTAGCTAGTCGGGGCGGTAATCCCAGCTACTCGGGAGGCTGACGCAGGAGAATAGCTTGAACCCAGGAGGCGGAGGTTGCAGTGAGCCGAGATTGCATCACTGCACTCCAGCCTGGGTGACAGAGCAAGACTCCATCTCAAAAAAAAAAATTGACTTATTAATTATTTTGAATTAGCAATATATTCCCATGGTTCAAAATTGAAGCAATATAAATGAGTGTAGAGTGAAAAGTTTCTCTCTCATCCCTGTCTCCAGATATCTGGGTCCTGCCCATGAGAAAGCCACATGAACAGGTTCTTTGTTTATCCTTCCAAATATATTTTTTGCATACACAAATATGTATATTTGTATTTATAACATATTTGTATATTTCCCTTGTATATTTGTATATTTCCCTATCTCATCCCCCCCTTTTTTAACAAAAACAGGTCATACACTGAACATACATGTGTTCACCCAGACTCTTCTATGTGCATATGTTATCTCTTCACCACTGCTTCCTTTCTAAGAGAACTCCGATTTTGTGCAGTTCTTCAGCACCATACCCTTTCCCCTACCTACCCACAAACACACTTCATGGAATCCATGTGACTCAGGGGAAGTGGATTCCACCCCCAGATCTGGGAGTAGCTGGTCAAAGGGTGACCCATTCTCTTTGCCAGAGGTCAGTTCAGAAAGGGGCATGAAACCCAACTCAGGCCAATGGACATGCTGAGAATTTTGCTGGGCTTTCCAGGGAATTTTTTTTTTTCTCCTGAGAGAGCTGTGGAAGAAGTCTCTTTTGCCTCCTCTGGACACCACTATGGGGAGAAGTAAAGATGGGGCAGACACTTGAGGGATGGCCCGGAAGAAACTGGAGCGCCTGGATTAAGCCAATCCTGAAGTCTGCACGACTGCTGTCCTTTCAGGCAGAGGAAAGATGGGTGATGTCACTATTAGCAGTCTAGGGTGAGGTGACAAGTCAGTGAAGCCATTTCAAATCCAAGTCTGGTGTGGCTTGAAGGCTTTTGGTTTACAACGGTAAAATCAGTTCTCCGATGTGTAGCATTTTACAGTACAAACGGTGCTCCCACATTCAGGTTTCATTGAGAGTAAATACGCCAGGCAAGGCCTCTGTGCCCACTGCACAGATGAGGAAAAGGAGACATGGAGGGGAAAGTCTTGTTTAAGGACACATATCCTGTAAGAGGCAGAACTGGAATCCAACCCCAAGTTTGTTTCTGTTACCGAAACACCGGGAGTTTGGTCTGGGTCCTGCGGCTCACAGAACAGAAAGCCAATGACTGAGACGATGAGTATTGCCAAGGACGAAGGCTTTAGTCGGGTTCTGCAGCAGAGGAGATGGGAACTCAGTCTCAAATGCATCTCCCTGACTAACTAAAACTAGGGGTTTATATGGCAGGGAAGCAATGTAACCGTGTGTAAGAAAACGGGAACTAGGGAGGGGCAAGGAAGCAATCATGGTGAATGAGGGGTCCCACATCTTATTGTCTGATGTGACGGTCTGGTGAATTTCAGTTCTTTGGTACTTTTTTTGAGATCTGAAGCTCCTTTCCTGAGGAAGGAACTCGGATAAAACAAATATAAGTTTCAAGCTTTAAGACTAGAAGGGTGAATTTCTATGTTTATCAAAAGAAAAAAAAACTGTCTATGGGACAATTGCATTGGTTTTATTTAAACATCAAGGTTATTTTCTCCCAAACCACCAGATACTCTGGCTGGAGGCATTCATACCCACAGATGCATGCCAAGTGTTGACTCTACCCTCAGGAGCAGCAGGACCAGGAAGCTCTGGGAGGTCAGGACACAGGAGAGAGGCAGGAAGAGCCCCCGCAGGACCTACTGTGGTGGCCGAGACTGCTACAGCCATATGACCTCCGACTGTGCCCAGTTCCTTTTAGCATGTCCTCAAGAGTCAGTGCCTCGGAGCAAATGGGCTGACCTCTGGACTACACTGGGGAAGAGAGAAAAGGAGGTCCTCCCTGTTGCCCAATGGAAGATTCCTCAAGATGGAGATTGAGCTGCTCTTCTAGGGCACCCCAAGGGCAAATGTCCCCATCGTCTCTAAGGCTCCAGCCAGCTCCAAACACTCTGGGTGGTAAATAGACTGAATCCCCTTTAGTGACCTCTCTCACTGGCAATGTTTTTTTTCTCTTTTTTCTTACAATAGTTGAATTGATCAAAAAAGAACTCAATCTCAAAGGTGAGAGTAGAGTTGATGATGGGGTCAGGGAGCTGACCTCAATCGAAAGTTGAGAAGAAAAGCATGTGTGAATAACAACATCCTTGGTTTAGAATTTACTTACAAAGCTTCAGCTGAGCTTATGAATGTGTCATTTGGATATTTGCTGGGCTTCGCACACACCCCTTCAGTTTCTACACAGGGCCAGGCATATCACAATGGTGTGGTTGCATTTTGTTTTTAATGTTAGGTTCATTTTTTATAGATCCTAAAACACAAAACGGGATTCGGGAGTGTGAATTTACTTGAACCAAACTGAAAAAAGGTTTTCTCAACCTCTGCAAAATGAAGCTGCAGAATTCACAACAGTTTTAATTATAACACACTAAATAGATACAATAAGTGGCTCTTTGCTCTGACGTTGAAATCTCTACCTATTTTTATCTCCAGGCAAATAACAGGCGGCTGGGGAAAGTTACTACATTATGAGTGGGTTATTGAATCTCTGAGCATCAACAACCTCTATGTCATTACACTGCATTGTATGCTAAAGAAAATCATTGTATCCAGGCTGGGCACAGTGGCTCATGCCTATAATCGCAATATTTTGGGAGACTGAGGTGAGCAGATCACCTGAGGTCAGGAGTTCAAGACCAGCCTGGCCAACATGGTGAAACCCTGTCTTTACTGAAAAAAAAAAAAAAAATACAAAAATTAGCCAGGCATGGTGGCGCACACCTGTAATCCCAGCTACTCCAGAGGCTGAGACAGGAGAATCGCTTGAAGCCGGGAGGTGGAGGTGGTAGTGAGCTAAGATCGTGCCATTGCAGTCCAGCCTGGGCAACAAGAATGAAACTCCATCTAAAAAAGAAAGAAAGAAAAAAAAAAAAAAGCAAAACAAAGAAAATCATTGTATTCAAAAATACCAAGATGAGCAAAAATATTTCAAGATTTCTTAGAAGAAATTTGCTTCCCATAGGCAAAGGAAAACTAAGCACATTAAAACTACTGCTCTAAAGTAACTTTAAAGCATAATTCTCCCCTTGAGTTTCAGGAAAGACCTGGAAAGAGGGGCAAGACTTTCCCTTTCTCACCTTGCCATGACCTCCAGGGCCTTGTAGCTCAGGCTTTGAAAATGAAGGTCACCATAATTACTATTACAACCCAGATCTGGAGGAAGGTGGAGAACCTTGAACAGAGCCCACCAGAAGTGGCTGGCTGGGGTCCCAGTGGGCTGCAGGGCCAGGGAAGGCCCTGCGGTTGCTGCCCCACCTGCCTGCTCTTGGCCTCACTTCTTTGCTTCTCCTCTGGAAGATTCTATCAGAATTGCTTTGTGCTCAGGAATGGGCCTATGATGAAGAGTCTGGCTCACTTTTTCCTCTGTACTTTGGGATTACATCATGGAACCCAATATCCTGAGCAAGCATAAGAAAGGGAGGGGAAAGTGGATGAATCTGATGTAAGAAGAAAACAGACACTCATATTTTCACTCAATTTTCAAAGCAATCCACACTACAGATGAGGAAACTGAGATTTATGGACGTGAAGAGACTTGCTGAAAACCACAGTTTGGTGGCTGAAGCTGGTTTGAATTTTATTCTAACACAAATCTTTATTTATTTTAGACAGGGTCTCACTCTATTCCTTAGGCTGGAGTGCAATGGCGTGATCATGGCTCATTAAAACCTCTTCCTCCAGGGCTCAAGCCATCTTCCCACCTCAGCCTCCTAAGTAGTTGGAACCACAGGCATGCACCACCACCCCTGGCTAATTTTTGTATTTCTTGTACAGATGAAGTTTTACCATATTGCCCAGGCTGGTTGTGAACTCCTGAGCTCAAGTGATCCACCTGCCTTGGCCTCCCAAAGTGCTGGGATGACAGGTGTGAGCCACTGCACCTGGCCTCAAATATTTTTACTGTATTTTATTTTTTATTTTTGTTGGTACATAGTAGGTGTATATATATATGGGGTACATGAGATATTCTGATACAGGCATGCAATCCATAATAATCACATCAGGGAACATGACATAGCCATTATGTCAAGCATTTATCATTGCTTTGTGGTACAAAAATTCCAATAATACTACTTTAGATATTTTTATATGTACAATAAATGATTGTTAACTATAGTCACCCTGTTGTGCTATCAAATATGCGATCTTATTAATTCTATCTAACCATATTTTTGTAGCTATTAACCATCTTCCCTCTCCTCCTTCCCAGCCTCTGGTAACCATCATTCTACTATCTCCATGAATTTAATTGTTTTAATTTTTAGCTCCCACAAATGAGTGAGAGCAGGTCAAGTTTGTCTTTCTGTGCCTGGCTTGTTTCATTTAACATAATGACCTCCAGTTTCATCCACAGTGTTGCAAATGACAGAATCTCACTCTTTTTTATGGCTGAATAGAGTACTCCACTGTGTATGTGTACGACATTTTCTTTATCCATTTGTCTGTTGATGGACACTTAGGTTGCTTCCAAATCTTGGCTATTGTGAATAACACTTCAATAAATGAGAATGCAGATATATCTTCAATATACTGATTTCCTTTCTTTGGGGTATATACTGGCAGTGGGATTGCTGGATCATATGGTAGTTCTGTTTTTAGTCTTTTTTGAGGAACCTCCATACTTTTCCCCATAGTGGCTGTATTAATTTACATTCCCACCAACTAACTCAAATCTGTAAATTATACCATGAGGATGTCTAAATCAAGGGGGCGATTTTTGCAGTTTCTACAAGAAAATCATTGAGTAGTTCACCTAACTTGATTGGCAAATTCAGTCAAATGACTGTACAAGTTTTATATAAATGTAGTCTCATGTTAAACATTTAAATCATGTGTTACCATAAACAATTATTAAATCACTTGAAGATGTTTGAGAACTAAATAGGATATTTCTTCATGATATATGCTTTAAAAAGTTTTAATTGCGGTAAAATACACATGACAAAACTTTACCATTTTAACAATTTTAAGTGTACAGTTCTCTAGTGTTAAGTATATCCACATTAATGGGTAACCAGTCTCTAGGACTTATCTCATAAAACTGAAACTATACCTATTAAACAACAACCCCTCATTTTCCCTTCTCCCCAGCTTCTGGCAAACACAATTCCACCTTCTGTTTCTATAGCTGACTACTCTAGAGAGGTCATATGAATGGGATCATTCGGTATTTGTCCTTTTGGATTGGCGTATTTCACTTAGCATAATGTCCTTAAGGTTCATCCACGTTGTAGCACGTGTCAGAATTGTCCTCCTTTTTAAGGCTGAATAATATTCCGTTGTATGCATAGACCACATTTTGCTTAGCCATTCTTCTGTCGATAGACAGGTGAGTTGTTGCCATCTTTTGGCGATTGTGAACATTGCTGCTATGAACATGATTGTACAAATATCTCTTTGCAATCTTTTCAATTATTTGGTTATATACCCAGAAGTGGAGTTGCTGTATCATATGGTAATTCTGTATTTAATTTTTTAAGAAGCTGCCATAGCGTTGTTCAAAACTGCTGCACCATTTTACATTGCCAACAACAGGGCACAAAAAATTGAATTTCTCTGCATTCTCTACAACACTTGCTATTTTCTGGGTTTTTTTTGCAAGCAGTTATTCTAATGGGTATGAGGTGGTATCTCACGGTGGTTTTAATTTGCATTTCTTTATTGATCAGTGATGTTGAGCATCTTTGACTATGCTTGTTGTACACTTACATACATTATTTGGATAGCTGTCTGTTCAAGTCCATTGCCCATTTCTAAGCTGGGTTATCTTTTTGTTGTTGTTGAGTTGTAGGAGGTCATTATATATTCCGGATACTAACCCTTTGTCAGATGTATGATTTGCAAATATTATCTCCCATTCCATAGGTTGCCTTTTCATTCTGTTGACTGTTTCATTCTGTTGACTTTTGTCTTTTGACAGACAAAAGTTTTTAATTTTGATATAATTTATCTATTTTTACTTTTGTTGCCTGTGCTTTTGGTGTCATAGCCAAGAAATCATTGCCAAACTCAGTATCAAGAAGATTTTCCTCTATGTTTTCTTCTCAGGCTTATATAGTTTTGGCTCTTACATTTGGGTCTTTGATCGATTTTGTGTTAATTTTTGTATATAGTATAAGGAAAGCATCCAATTCATTATTTTTTGCATGTGGCTATCCAGTTTTCCTAGCATCATTTGTGGAAAAGACTGTTCTCCCCCTTTGAATGATCTTGGCACTCTTGTTGAAAATCATTTAACCATATATGGGAGGGAGGGTTTATTTCTGGGCTCTCTATTCAATTCCACTGATTCATATGTGTGTCTTTATGCCATAAAGGTACTATGGCTTTGTAATAAATTTGGAAATCAAGAAATATGAGACCTCCAACTTTGTTATTCTTTTTCAAGACTGTTTTGGCTATTCAAGATCCTTTGAAATACCATACGAATTTTAGGATGAATTTTTTTTTTAATTTCTGTGAAACATCCATGAGATTTTGACAAGGATTGCACAAAATGTGTAGATTGCTCTGGTTAGTATGGACTTCTTAACTATATTCAGTCTTTAAATATAAGAACATGTACTGTATTTCCATTTATTTGTATCTTCTTTAATTTCTTTCAGAAACACTTTGTAGTTTTCAGTGTACAAGTCTTTTGCCTCTTGGTTAATTCTGAGTATTTTATTCTTTTTGATTCTATTAGAAATGGAATTGTTTTCTTAGTTTCCTCTTCTGACTGTTCATTTTAGTGTATGATAATGCAACTGATTTTTATATGTTGATTTTATATTCTGTATATTCTGCATCTTTGCTGAATTTGTTTATTAGTTCTAATAGTTTGTGGAATCTTTAGGGGTTTCTACATATAAGATCATGTCTGTGAACAGACATAATTTTACTTCTTCCTTTCTGGTTTGGATGCCTTTATGATTTTTTTTTTTTTTTTTTTGAGACAGGGTCCCACTCTGTCACCTGGCTAGAGTGCAACGGCTCAAACACGGCCCACTTCAGCTTTGAACTTCTGGGCTTAAGTCGTCCTCCCACCTCAGCCTCCCAAGTAGCTGGGACTACAGGCACTTGCCACCATGTCCAGTTAATTTTTTTAAAAATTTTTTATAGAGATGGGGGTCTTGCTATGTTGCCCAGGCTGGTCTTGAACTCCTGGGCTCAAGCAATCTCCCTGCCTTGGCCTCCTAAAGTGTTGGGATTACAGGCTGAGCCACCGTACCTGGCCTATGATGCATTTTTATTGAAAGAAAAACAGACACCATTATTTTGCATTACAAAATATAAAACAGAAGAAATTTCACAGCCAATCAAACGGGAGTTTAGAATTGGATCCTCCTGCACTTTCCCCTACACTTCTTTCAAAGCTGCCTTCCTCTGCAAGGCTTCTGCCTCACCTCTGATCACCCACAACCTGAGCTCTGAGCACCCACACCTCACCTCTGAGCACTATGACCCATCTGGATGGAGCTACTGCACGGTCAGTGTGGGAACATCTCTGAGGAAGATGCATTGTCTTCTGTGGAGTTACCTAAAAACACTGGGGCATGTTCTCCTAACTGCCTTCACTTAGTCTAAAGATGAAGCAATTCAACAAAAGTACATGTAAACCTCAAAACTGGACTTGGAGTTTTAAAGATCAATGGACTCTATTGTCTATTGTCTGGATGGTTTGGGGGTTTCCTAGCTCATTTTTTTTTCTTTTATGGTATAGACACCTGAAGGCTCTTTGCTCAGTACTCCTCACTGTGTGGCTGCCTTCCACTGCAGACGCTGTGCTGAAGGTTGGGTTCTGGCCACTCTGTTTACACCCTTTTGGACTTGAGGCTTGCCTGTTGGTTCCCTGAAACGTGGACTCTGGATCTGGGTGCTAACCAATTCCCTTTCTTTCCAGGCCGGGGTCCTGAGACCTCACTGTAATGAGAGACTGTGACCTCTTTTCTCATGTCTCAGGCAGGCTATGATGCCTTTTCTAGTTAAGGACCGTGTTGAACCAGGTGAAATCGCCATTTTTGTTGGCTGTTTTTGTCCTGCAAAACTGACAATTTCATGTCCTTAAATTTAATACCTTTGGAGTAGAAACTACCTATTGTTGTCCAATAGAGGAAACAAAGTTTCTTCCTGAAAGCATTTGTCTGAACAAAACAGTATTTGTTTTATCTGCATTTCCCCTTCATTCACTTGTATCATTCAGGGACTTGCACATCTCAGTCACATGTGTGACGCACTCACATGTATGGCTCCAATCCCATCTTCACGGCACAGAGAACTAAATTCTCTCCCACCTTCCCGTGGAGAGCCCTCTGTCCTCATCATCACTGGTTCCTTTCTTCTGGATCCTTCCACCTCAATTATGTTTCTCTGAGGGTGCAATGACAAGAATAAAATGAAATTTTGTTCTTGTTCAGTTAAGTAATAAATTGTCATTTCTTCCATTTTCTCTTTGACTAAAGATGTATTAGCTTTATTATTATTTTTTAAATAGAGACAATGTCTCAATATGTTGCCCAGGCTGGCCTTGAACTCCTGAGCTTCAGTGATCCTCTCGCCTCGGCCTCCCAAAGTGCTAGGTTTACAGGTGTGAGCCACCACGCCCGGTAAAAGATGTATTAGCTTTAAACAAAGTTAAAATTTCTTCTCAGTTGTGTAAAAATCACAGAAGAATGCAGCATGTCCTCTAAGTGTCAGCCTGTGTGGGGCTGAAAAAACAGTGGAGTCCTTTGTTCACTGTCTTAGGAGTCTTTGGGATTTCTGTTGATCCACAGACTTGCATAAAGAGTTTGCCATGATGACAGGGCCTCTGCACATGATGTGAGGATGTGGACCCCCTTTCCTCCCCACAGCCAGTGCCGGCCCGACTCATAAAAGCTCAAAGATCCAGTGAGACCAGCCTCAGTCAGATCAGCCCATCCATGAGTGGGGGTTGTTGTTATATATATTTATGCTCCATCTCACTGCCAAAGAGGGATTTGGGGTGGATTATAGAAATGCATACAACAGGGGCCGGGCGCGGTGGCTCATGCCTGTAATCCCAGCACTTTGGGAGAGCCAGGTGGGTGGATCACAAGGTTAGGAGATCAACACCATCCTGGCTAACATGGTGAAACCCCATCTCTACTAAAAATACAAAAACTAGCTGGGTGTGGTGGCGCGTGCCTGTAATCCCAGCTACTGGGAAGGCTGAGGCAGGAGAATTGCTTGAACCTGGGAGGTGGAAGTTGCAGTGAGCCGAGATCACGCCACAGCACTCCAGCCTAGTGACAGAGCAAGACTCTGTCTCAAAAAAAATAAATAAATAAATAGATAAAAATAAAGAAAGAAATACATACGACAAAATAAAAATAAAATAAGCAAAGAAGTGGAGGAAGAAGAGGAGAATTAAGGTAAGAAATTAAGATGAAGTCATTTGTTTCTTTTTGCCTATTCATATTTTGAGTTTTCTCTTTTCTTATTGATTTGTAGGAGTTACTTGTATATTCTAGATCTGTGCTAATACGTTAGCCACCAGTCCTATGTGGCTATTGAAATTAATTAGGCTGGGCGTGGTGGCTCACACCTGTAATCCCAGCACTTTGGGAGGCCAAGGTAGGTGGATCACTTGAGCTCAGGAGTTCACGACCAGCGTGGGAGACATGGCAAGACCCCATCTCTACTAAAAATACAAAAATTAGCCAGGTGTGGTGGCACACCTGTAATTCCAGCTACTTAGGAGGCTGAGGTGGGAGAATCACCTGAGCCCAGGAGGTAAAGGCTGCAGTGAGCTGTAATCACACCACTGCACTCCAGCCTGTGTGACAGAGACCCTATCTAAAACAATAATAATAATTATTATTAAAGTTAAATAGAATTAAAAATTTAGCTCCTCAGTCACCCTCCTCCCATTTCAAGTGCTCAGTAACCACAACTATCCAGTGGCCAGCATAGACCTACACCATTTCCATCATCACAGCCAATTCTCTTGGATAGTGTTGGTCTGTATATTAATCCCTTGTCAATTTTATTCATTTCAAATATCTTCTTCGAGAAAATTGTTCTCTGCTAACTTTGATTAAGATGTCTTCACTGAACAGAAATGTTTAGGCTTTTTTGAGACAGGGTCTTGCTCTGTTGCCCAGGCTGTAGTGCAGTGGTACAACCATAGCTTACTGTAACCTTGAATTCCTGGGCTCAAGCAATCCTCTTGCTTCAGCCTCCCAAGTAGCTAGAAGTATAGGCATGCACCACAATGCCTGGTCAATTTAAAAATTTTGTAGAGATGGTGTTTCACTGTGTTGCCAGTCTTCCTACCTCAGCTCACGAGTTCTCACGAGATCTGATGGTTTAAAAGTGTGTGGCACTTCCCCCTTTGCTGTCTCTCCTGCTCCACCATGGTAACACGTGCCTGCTTCCCCTTCGTTTTCCACCATGATTGTAAATTTCCTGAGGCCTCTGAACCATGCTTCCTGTACAGCCTGTAGGACTATGAGTCAATTAAATCTCTTTTCTTCATAAATTACCTAGCCTCAGTTAGTTCTTTATAGCAGTGTGACAATGGACTAATACACCTTAAATGTTTAGTTTTTATATGGTTGTGTTCATCATATTTTGCCCTGTAATATGTGCATTTGGAGTCTTGTTTAAGAAATCTCCTCCCTGAGGTCTCAGAGATATTTCCCCTCACCTTTTGGTATCTGGGTTGTGGATTTCCTTTTCATATGTGGGTAGTGAATCCAATAGGACTTTGCCTTTGCTACACAGCGTGAGGCAGGGATCCAACCCTATGCTCTCCATCTAGTGAGGGGTTTTCCCCATCATTGCTGTTAACAGATTCATCTACACATCCATCGTCTCCCCACAGGTCTTGTGTGCCACTGCTTTCCTGTGCCCATCCAAGGTCCATGAGGGCAATTTTGGGCTCTTGCAGGCTGCATCCATCTCTTTATGTTTCCTCTGCCAGGACCAAATTGTCTTATCACTCTGACTTTGTGCAACGACTTCACGCAGGGAGAGTGCTCTATTCTCCCTCACTCTTGTGTTGCCAAATGTTCATAGCTCTTCTAGGACCTTGCTCATCTAGATTCACTTTAAAATCTATCTTTTTGAGTTTCTCAAAATGTGTATAGAAAATCAGCAGTCACTCACTAATGAAATACTCTCTTTTAAGTGAAAAATAATATATGTGCTGTGAAGCTCCGTGATCTACTTTAAACCTAGGAATGAAGTTCCAAGTGTTAACGGTGATTTAAAATCCATTCCATTGAGTTTCGGTTTGTCTGGGGCATCAGTAAATGCTCATTTCCAAAAGTGCTTTGCCTTTGAAGGCTACTAATGCATGCAGTGTGTTGCCATGGCAACGGTTACTTTTAGTTAGTACTTTTTATAGATTAAAGTGCTACACCCTGGAGTCTATTCATATAAATGCATAAATCTTAAGACAGTATGGTACTTCATTTAATGTAGATATTTAATGGAACAGAGTCAGACTTAACTGACCAGAAATGGAAAATTTTCAACACTTATATTTGATACGGACATGCAGTGTTACCAAAAATATAACATTTTCATTACTTTGTTTTACAAAATATAAATTAACCTTGCTATCCATTTAACTTGGTCAATATTTAATAAATTGTGGTTGAAATGTATGTGTCTGTCAGAAATTTGCACATATCACTTTGTTTTCTACCCTAGAGTAAAATCCCCAATTATTGTAGGGATTCAGAAGACTTGGGGAACAAGGTGTTTCCCAGGCAAATGGAGGGGAAGTCAGTGGAGCCCTGGGTGGGAAAGAGTATATGGGCCTGGGCTTGGATTTTGGCAGTGATTTTTATTAGCTGTGTGGCCTTGAACTTCAGTTTCCCCAGTCATAAAATGGAGATCATCACATCTACTTTGCACAGCAGTTGTGAAGATTAATTGTATCTTCAGTGAGTGATATCTATGATTTAAAAATGACTAGATAATGATTTCAAGTCAATATTTAAGACAGAAAGAGAGGGTGGAAATATCAAGTACAAAAGTGCTGCGGAAAGTCAATAGTCAACGATCCTGGTGGATGGGAGGTCTCAGAGACAGGGGAATTGGGCACCGCTTCCACGCACACGAGAGGAGAAGGACACAGAGGCAGAGATCAGCAGAGCAGTGGGCATGGAAGAGGGACCATGGGGTTGGCTGGGTGAGGCTTGGTCAGGAAAGACAAAGGGGTGGCGGTAGGAGCCCCCAAGGGTGGGTTGAGAGCTCTGTGCCTTACACAAAGAGTGACCCTGAACTGTGCCTTATACAGAGGTGACAAGAAGTGTTTTAGAAGGGAGATCTGGTAAACAAAGGGGCACATGGAGACAAGCATGAGGGCTGGATGTGCCCCTGGCCTGAGGACAGCAAGGCCTGAACCCAGGAGGGGTGTGGAGAGTGAGATGAAGATGAGAATCTCACAGTCACAAAGAAGACGATATAGGGATTAGCTCTACTGGAAACAGGAGTGGAAAGAGCCAAAATGGTCTCCGAAGCTTTGATCTCTTCCGATGAACAATTGTTTAAAGCAACAATAATGACAATAACAAAACAGTCATCCCTTGGCATCTGGGGGGTATTGGTTCCAGGACTCAGTTTCTTGCCACGTGAATCTCTCCAGTTTGCTTTGTCAGAGCAAGCACGTGAAAAGAATCTGAACAAGATGGAAGTCACTGTCTTTTATAATCTGATTTCCAAAGTGGCATCCATCACCCTTGCTGTGTTTATTCATTAAAACCAAGTCACGAGTCCAGCCCATATACACAAGGAGAAGGAACTACACATGGGCATGAAGACAAGGAGACAGGGGTCGCTGGGAGCCATGCTGGAAGCTGCCTACCATACTAGGGGACTGGAGAAGTGGAAATACTCTTGACCAAAATAGGACAGGAGGATGGAAATAATTTAGGACCCAGATGATGAATTCAGTTGTAATCATGGTGTATGAGCTAATGGCATGGCATCAGAACCAGAATCCACAGCCATTTGAGCCATGGGAGAGCTCTAGAAAGAAGGCAAGCCACGGACATGGATTAGGAAGCATCCTGTTTTGACCATGTTCAGGACATGTATTCTTAGCTTCATTGCACATGTCTGCAAAACAAATGAGTCTGCTACAGGGCTGTCAGACAGGGCTGTGGTTTCATCTGAAGGTTCAACAAGAAAAGGATTTACTTCCAACCTCACTCACATGGTTGTTGGCAGGATTCAGTTCTTTGCAAGATGTTAGGATGAGGTTCTTGATTCTTTACCAACAGTGGCCTCGTGAGAAGTCTTGAGTTGGATAATCCAACTCAACTGTGGCTGGATACCTGACCCACAGAAACTATGAAATAATAAACGTGCTTTTCAAGCCACTAAGTTTTGGTGTGATTTGTTATGCCGCAACAGATAATTAATACACCCAGTTTCCAACTCTTTGATCCTATCAGTTACCATAAGGCACCTAGAAGTTTTCCCACCCTTCCAAGTCCTCAAAATTTATGCTTTTCTGGAATTTGAGAGAAGGTAATGGTCCACTTAGGGAGGAAGCTATTGTTTGGTACATGCCTCCAGGCACCCTTTCTCCTGCTGGACAACTGCTTCTCCAGTCTAATCCTGCTCTAGCTTTTTGCTGGGAAATAACACTCCACTCACTCTTTCACCTTGGACTTCCTGTGCTCCCAAACTTGGCTTGGGTCCAGACTGTAGTCTTCTGTGTCCCTGACCTGGATTTCTATTCCAGAACCTAAATGCTGCATGTCTAAGCTGATCTGGTCAGCAAATTTTTTATCGCTCTTGCATTTGATAGTTGGATTGTGGCATTCCTGACCTTGCATTGCACCCGCACAAATCAAAACAGCCTTGGCAGCCCTGTAAGATAATTTGATTCCATTCCCTAGCAATACAGGGCCAGGTCCAAAGTTACCAAATCAGGGCCCTGACTGCTCCTGGCACCCAGCCCTGGCCCATGGCTTCCTGACTGATCTTCCTGACCTTTGCCTTTCCAGCTCCACCACCTCAAGGAGGCATGAACGATCTTTCAGAGGCATGTGCCAAGTTCTGAGCTTGGTCTTCCCATCCTTCCAGGGGGTGTGGGATGGGACTTGGAGTTATGCCAGCTCTTCAGAAGGGGATGTGCATGCACCAGCTCCAAGTAGAGTTGGCAATAGGCACCGCTACTCAGTGGCACAGTGGTGACTCATGAAAGCAGTGGGGAGTAGGACATGGTGGCAGAGAATCAGTTCCCAGGCCCTGCTCAGCAATTATGAAAAAGGCTGTTAACTTGGCACCAGGAAAATAGAGTAAAGGTCGCTTTTCCTGACTTCCAAGGACTTCCACAGACTGAGGCCAACCTGCTCGCCCAATGTGTTCTCTACTGTGAGCCCTCTGCTCTCACTGTCACTTTCTAGTCTGGAAGTCAAAAAATTCTTCTCCTTCTTCTTCTCTTTCTTCTTCTCCTCCTTCTCCTCCTCCTTCTCCTTCTCCTTCTTCTTTCTCTTCTTCCTCTTCCTCTCCTTTCCTTCTCATTCTCATTCTTCTTTTTTTTTTTTTTGAGACAGGGTCTGACTCCATCACCCAGGGTGGAGTGCAGTGGTGTGGTGTCAGCTCACTGCAACCTCTACCTCCCAGGTTCAAGCAATTCTTGTGCCTCAGCCTCCCAAGTAGCTGGAATTATAGCCGTTTGCCACCATGCCTGGCTAATTTTTTATTTTTAGTAGAGATGGGGTTTCACCATGTTGGCCAGGCTGGTCTCAAACTCCTGGCCTCAAGTGATCCACCCACCTCAGCCTCCCAAGTGGCCTGCTAGGATTACAGGCCACTGTGCCCAGCCAAAAATATTTATTATTAATAAATGGATGAGCCTTGTAGAAATTATGTGGAACAAAAGAATCTGGACACAGAAGAGTAAAGACTGTATGCTCCACTTAGATGACTTTTTAGAATAGGCAAAATTCATCTAAAGTGGATAAAATAAAGGTCATACTTGTTGCCCTGGTTAGTTACCTGGAAAGGGACATGAGGGAGCTTTCTGGAGTGATGGAAATGCTCTATATCGTGATAGGGGTGTGAGTTACAGAGGTGTGTGTTTGTTAAAATAAGGCCGGGTGCGGTGGCTCACACCTATAATCCCAGCACTTTGGGAGGCCAAGGTGGGTGGATTACTTGAGGTCAGGAGTTTGAGACCAGCCTGGCCAATATGGTGAAACTCCATCTCTACTAAAAATACAAAAATTAGCCGGGCTTGGTGGTGCATGACTGTAATCCTAGCCACTTGGGAGGCTGAGGCAGGAGAGTCGCTTGAACCTGGGAAGTGGAGTTTGCAGTGAGCTGAGATGGTGCCACTGCACTCTAGCCTGGGTGTCGCAGGGAGACTCCATCTCAAAAATAAATAAATTAATAAAAAATCGGCTGGGCACGGTGGCTCATGCCTGTAATCCCAGCACTTTGGGAGGCCAAGGTGGGTGAATCACGAGGTCAGGAGATGGAGACCATCCTGGCTAACATGGTGAAACCCCGTCTCTACTAAAAATACAAAAAAAATTAGCTGGGTGAGGTGGCGCGTGCCTGTAGTCCCAGCTACTCGGGAGGCTGAGGCAGGAAAATGGCGTGAACCCGGGAGGCTGAGCTTGCAGTGAGCCCAGTATATATATATATATATATATATATATATATATATATATATATATATACACTTAATTTTTGTTACTTTGTCATTATGGCATTTTGATATATGTCAATTTTACCTTCAATAAAACTGTAAAAATATTAATGGTTGAGTAAGGGCAGGGGAGTGGGGTGAGCTACAGAAGACCCTGGAATGGCAGAATGCTGAATGTCGAAGCTGGGTATTTGCCGCATAGGGGTTTATTACGCTATTCTGTTTACTTTGTACATGTTTGAAAATTTCCACAATAAAGAGTCAAAAAAAATTTTATGGTGCACATATTCTGCACCATGTCCTATGCTAAAGGGCATGCACAGGCAGACAAGGCTGCAGAATACAGAAAGAACAAAACTGAAGATGGAATTTATTTTTTTACATTTATTTTTAGAGATGGGGTCTTGCTATGTTGCTCAAGCTGGTCTTGAACTCTTGGGCTCAAGCGACCCTCCCACCTCAGCCACCCAAGTTACTGGGATTACAGCATTATTCAACCTGAAGATTGGAAGATTTTTTTTTTTTTTTTTTTTTTTTTGAGATGGAGTCTTGCTCTGTCGCCCAGGCTGGAATGCAGTGGCACAATCTCGGCTCACTACAAGCTCCGCCTTCTGGGTTCATGCCATTCTCCTGCCTCAGCCTCCTGAGTAGCTGGGACTATAGGCGCCCGCCACCGCGCCCAGCTAGTTTTTTGTATTTTTAGTAGTGACGTGGTTTTCACCGTGTTAGCCAGGATGGTCTCGATTTCCTGACCTCATGATCCGCCTGCCTCGGCCTCCCAAAGTGCTGAGATTTCATGCGTGAGCCACCGCGCCCAGCCAAGATGGATTTTTTACTTACAAACATAAAGTGCGTTGAAAAGGGGGAAAGGTGGACTAAACGGAAAGTCATGCCAGCCCCAACATGTGGCTCCAAGAAGAGAACCCTGCACCAGAAGGGAAGTCATCCAACTGCTTCTTTCATGGCTCACAACATGTCACGAGACCATCGCCAGCAGAACTAAACACTGGGCGAAGCGATGTGGTTGATTTACATTCTGGCTCAGGCTCTATTCTTGAACCATCAGCCAGAAATGTGACCAACACTAAGGCAATGATTTATTAGATTCACCTGGGAGCACCCAGATAAACTAAATCAGAATCCCTTGTGGCAGGGCTCGGGCATCAGTGTATTTTGATGTTCCAGATGCAATTCCAATACACAGCCAGGGCAAGAACCAGCGATCTGTGAGCTGCTCAAGTCACATTGCTTCCAGGAAGTCTCTCTTCATGCTCGCTCACAAAGAGCCTTCTTTTATCCAACACCCTAAACATTGCTGACTGACAGTCTGCTATCTAGGTATATGGGGCCTTGTACTGTTTTGAACAATTCATGCTTGTCTTCTTTAATGAGGATGTCTGCACATGTGTTCTTGAGGGTAAGAATTACCTTTTACATTTTTGCATTCCCCACAACACTTTGCACTATGATGTTCAATAAACATTCAATTTTCAAATTTTTATTTAGACAATGAAATATTTCCTTATTATAAATTGGCTGCATTCTTTAATTCTCAGAGTACTGAACTAAATGATTAATCATTACTGGAACATGTTCTTTCATAATGAAAATACTAAAAGATTTATAAACTTAAACATAACTTTTCAGTTATTTAATTTGGGGATTTTCCAAGTCAACGTATTTCCTATTGAACAGATTTTTGTCTATATTATTTTTGCTCTCTGACCTGATGTGAATCTTTCAGACGCTGGGTTGGTTGAAGGGGAAACAGTTTTTCTAATGCAGCTACTGTGAGCTGAGCTGACTTAGGCCTTGGAGAATTACCATTCTTACCAATTGACCACAAAAGCAGATAGGAACAGTATCTACGTATTACAAACCAGAATCAAAATGACCTTCACACATGATTAGTGTGGAATTCTTTTCAGTGGAAAATGGCAACATTTAGCAGCACAGGGTGCAGTTGGCTTCAAATACTCTCTGAAGTGAAACCATTGTGTTTTCCTGGGTGACTGAGCCCAGGGCTAATGCCCATCGGAGAAGCTGCTGGGAACTGCAATGCTTTGATTAAACAGAGTATTAACCACAGGCTGGCTGTTTGAACCATATCGATAAAGACAAAATTCACCCTATCTACCAAAACATTCTTTGCATGTAAGACTTAACAATGAAAATAAACAAAAGCTTTAGCTGTCAACTATATATACCATGAAGAATGGCAAAACTGGTTTTTGTTAATGCTATTTTGTCTTTTAATCGCTCAGTTGGCTATGAAAACTCTTGTTTACATTCCTTTACATATTGTTGAGCTTCAAGGTAATTGTGAAAGAAAACGGGGAATTAATATCACTTCCCAGAAGCCACATTTTATTTAACCTCAAAAACTTTATGTAAAAGATTTTGTTATGAATCAAAGGCTGGCAGTTCTTCCCACTGGGGTGATTTAGGAAATTAAAGTTAGGAGTAGATGGTGCTAATGGGAATGGTAAGACTAGTAAGAGTGATTTATTCCTTGCAGAAAAAAATCACTGTCGATGCTCAGTTGAAATAATGTGGAATTTAATAATTACCTCATAGTACCATCTAGTGGTGCTATATTTCTACCCTTGTGTTAAGTGAGGACTGTAGTTTTCTGTAGCCCGAAGCCAGCAAAGCCAGGTCAGTGGTCTATTACAAACACTTTAACTGTAAGCTGTTAGAAGGGTGAGTTCACAGAGAAAATGTAAACAAAGTATTAGTAGCTCATATGACAATATTAAATTTTAAAATGTTCCCAGAACTCAGACATGTTCAATATGGATTCTCAATAAATTGTGTTTTTAAATATTGAACAAATACTGTGATTACTTTTTTCACAATAATTACAGCAATTTGGGTAGTTTTGGGTACTACCGTAAGATTCTAAGCACTATTTTATATTTTTCCTATTCTGAACAATTGTGGTTTGTGCATTTCTTCCAGTAAATGCTGTCTGGAAAATAAATACCTTTCACATGGTACGTGTTATTGGAAAACAATTGTCTTTAGTGAGATTTATGGAATGTGGAGAAAAAAAATTTTTTAAGGAACTATTGCTCCTATGAAAGCTTGAGAGTGTTACGGGCAATGTAGGCACTTTTAGATCAAATTCAAACATAAAAAGGCACTTACACACATTTTAAGAATACTTGTAATTATAAGCACATTTTCAGATTTACAGGACTAAGTCTAGTTTAAGCATAAACCAGATTCAATGTGAATCTCTATATATTTTTCTTGCTTCAAGTATTATTTTACAGAAGGGACACTGATTTGTTTGGCCTGTGTAAACCTAAGAATCTAGGTTTGATCTAGTAGATATCATATCTAGTAGATGTCATATCTCAACAATAAAGGGTCTGAAGAATAAATATTAATATTTAGGCCTAAGTTATTTTTTAAAATTCATAATGTGTCTGTCCTGTTTTGCTTACTGAATTAACAAATCTTTAAAGAAAACCTTCATATATTATAGCGATATATTTATATCACAGTGATATGATTTATTGAATGTGAGAGAAATTCTCACACTCAATTTTAATTTTCTTAAAAAGAAAAGATGGGAAAATGTTACAGTATTTAAATAGTGAATGCTGGGCGGCGACGGCGACATGGAGAGCGGGGCCTACGGCGTGGCCGAGGCGGGCGGCTCCTTCGACCTGCGGCCCTTCCTGACGCAGCCGCAGGTGGTGGCGCGCGCCCTGTGCTTGGTGAGCCCGGGGAGGGCGGGCCGGGGGCACCCCGAGGACCCCCCCCGCCGCCAGGCCCGGCGGGACCCCTAACCCACGAGCGTGACAGGTGGATGCGGCCGCGTCCGGGCCCTGGCGGCGAGCGGGGCGGGCATTTAGCGTCCCGGGCCCCGCCTTCCCGCCCTCCACAGTCTTCGCCTTGATCGTGTTCTCCTGCATCTATGGCGAGGGCTACAGCAACACCCATAAGTCTAAGCAGATGTACTGCGTGTTCAACCACAACGAGGATGCCTGCCGCTATGGCAGTGCCATCGGGGTGCTGGCCTTCCTGGCCTCGGCCTTCTTGGTGGTCGACGCGTATTTCCCCCAGATCAGCAACGCCACTGACCGCAAGTACCTCGTCATTGGTGACCTGCTCTTTTCAGCTCTCTGGACCTTCCTGTGGTTTGTTGGTTTCTGCTTCCTCACCAACCAGTGGGCGGTCACCGACCCGGAGGACGTGCTGGTGGGGGCCGACTCTGCGAGGGCAGCCATCACCTTCAGCTTCTTTTCCATCTTCTCCTGGGGTGTGCTGGCCTCCCTGACCTACCAGCGCTACAAGGCTGGCGTGGACGACTTCATCCAGAACTACGTCGACCCCACTCCGGACCCCAACACTGCCTACGCCTCCTACCCAGGTGCATCTGTGGACAACTACCAACAGCCACCCTTCACCCAGAATGCGGAGACCACCGAGGGCTACCAGCCGCCCCCTGTGTACTGAGTGGCGGTTAGGGTGGGAAGGGGGACAGAGAGGGCCCTCCCCTCTGCCCTGGACTTTCCCATGAGCCTCCTGGAACTGCCAAACCCCCTCTTTCACCTGTTCCATCCTGTGCAGCTGACACACAGCTAAGGAGCCTTACAGCCCGGCGGGGGCTGGCCGAGCCACACCCCACGTGCCTGTGCCCAGAGGGCTTCAGTCAGCCGCTCACTCCTCCAGGGCACTTTTAGGAAAGGGTTTTTAGCTAGTGTTTTTCCTTGCTTTTAATGACCCCATCCCCGCCTGGAGTGGCTAGAAGCCAGCAGGCACCCATGTGCTACTGACAAGTGCCTCAGCTTCCCCCCGGCCCGGGTCCGGCCGTGGGAGCCGCTGTTACCTGCGTTCTCTGCCAAAGACTCGTGGGGGCCGTCACACCTACCCTGTGCAGCGGAGCCGGACCAGGCTCTTGTGTCCTCACTCAGGTTTGCTTCCCCTGTGTCCACTGCTGTATGATCTGGGGGCCACCACCCTGTGCCGGTGGCCTCTGGGCTGCCTCCCACGGTGTGAAGGCGGGGCTGGTGCTCATGGCACTTGCTTCTTGCTCCCACCCCTGGCAGCAGGGAATGGCTTTGCCTGACAACACCCAGCTTTATGTAAATATTCTGCAGTTGTTACTTAGGAAGCCTGGGGAGGGCAGAGGTGTCCCATGGCTCCCAGACTCTGTCTGTGCCGAGTGTATTATAAAGTCGTAGGGGAGATGCCCGGCCCTGGGATGCTGTTTGGAGATGGAATAAATGTTTTCTCATTCAAAAAAAAAAAAAAATTAGTGAATGCTTTTGTAAAATAGCAGCCAAACCAAGACCAAAATGTTTCTTTAGTGTACTTTCATGCTTAATGCTGACAGATAGCATTGTTTGAACTCACAATCAATTTTTTATATATACCTTTTCATTACAAAACAAATAATATTCATGGCAGAAAATGAAGAAAACCAAAAAGCAAAAATAAGATAAGAAATTTCACCTGAAATCCCAACACTTAAAATGCCATTTAAAATATTTTCCCAAGTAGCCCCATTTTTTAAAATGAGCAAATTAGCTTCCCACTTAACTTCTTTCACTTAATACTAAACTGTGAATAACTTTCACAGTGTGATTTTCATTTCTGAAATTGCCCAGCTTCTAAGGCCCACTGCATGCAAGGAATTTAGCTAAAACACATAGTCCTTGAGGAGATGACAGTCTAGAAGCAGAGACAATATACACTGTAGTTAATGACAGTTAAAATGTCCTTAACAAGATTAAAAACTCGTGGGAAAAGAATGAAATCCTGTCATTCACAGCAACATGGATGAGCCTGGAGGACATAAGGCTAAGTGAAATAAACCAGGCACAGAAAGGCAGATACCACATGATCTCTCTCATGTAGCGTCAAAAAGGTTGATCACATAGAAGTAGAGAGCAAAACAGTGATTACCAGAGCCTGGGGAGGGGAAACAGGGATGGGAAGAGGTTGGTCAATGGGCACAAAGTTACAGTTAGACAGGAAGAATAAATGCTGGTGTTCCCGTCCATAGTACGATGACTACAGCTAATAACAATGTAGAGTATATTTCAAGTGAGCTAATAAAGAGGATCCTGAAAGTTATCACCAGAAATAAATGTAAATTTTGTGGTGAATGATATGCTAACTACCCAGATTTGGTCATTATACAATGTATACATGTAGTGAAACATCACACTGTACCCCATAAATGTGTACAATTATTATATGTCAAATATAAACACTTTTTTTTTTTGAGACGGAGTCTTGCTCTGTTGCCCAGGCTGGAGTGCAGTGGCGCAATCTCCGCTCACTGCAAGCTCCGCCTCCTGGGTTCACGCCATTCTCCTGCCTCAGCCTCCTGAGTAGCTGGGACTACAGGCGCCCACCACCACGCCCAGCTAATTTTTTTTGTATTTTCAGTAGACACGGGGTTTCACCGTGTTAGCCAGGATGGTCTCTATCTCCTGACCTCGTGATCTGCCTGCCTTGGCCTCCCAAAGTGCTGGGATTACAGACATGAGCCACAGTGCCCGTCCTAAACATGTTTTTTAAAAGAACACACAAAAAAGAATAAAATTCCCTGAGAACTAGCTTTATTTCTTCCATTTCTGTGGTCTCCTGGTCTCAGACTGGAATTGTTTTGTTATTAAGTAAAAACCAGCCCTCAACTGGCCAAAGCACAAAGGTAAGTCACTGACTCATGTAACTAAACTCCCTAGGAACAGACCCAGCTTCAGGCAGAGCTGGATACAGGCTGCTCATCTGCCTAATTTGGTCTGGGTGCTGCTCCTTGGCTCTTGGTTAGCTTCCTTTCTGTTGGTTCCTTTCTCCTTTGCAGAGGCAAAAACAGCACACGCTTTTAGTTGGAGTCTTGCTGCCTCCTGGGATGTTCTTCACCACCATCCTGGGGATTCACTTTGACTCAATCTTGGGTTGGGTTCTTTGTCTCCTTATCCCATATATTCCTCTTCTTTGATTTGCTCTCTTATTTTGGTGGAGGCTCCACTCTACTAGTTTCCTGAGAGAAGCTGCCTTGGAATGAAATGTTTTGAGACTTTGTATGACCAAAATGTTTCTTTAGTTTACCCTTGTGGTTAATAGTTTTGCTGGTGTGAAAGAGACTGCCAGTGTTACATATATCTTGTCCTCCTTTCTTTCCTGGGTACATGACGGGATTACCTTTGCAAAGGACTAACAGTATCTTTGCAGTTAGGTAGTCTTGTGATGAGTGTAGCCAATAAAATGAAAAAAGAAGTGTGTGACCTCCAGGCCCAGGGAATTAATAGCTTGGGTGCTACTCCAGGCTCTCTTCCCCTGCTGCAGGAGCTTTGGAGGCCCCTTGTTTCAGAGCAACATCTCAAGGTGAAAAGAACCTGGATACCTGAATCACAGGATGGAGGGGATCACCTGCCAACTTGCCTTTGCATGAACAAGAAGGAAGCGTTGTTAGGCTGGCCTACTGAGATGCTAGGGTTTCTTTCTTTCCTTCATTTTAAAATTGCAACGTTATCTCAGTGGAATAGATTATTCTTAGGTGCATCGTTCATATAAAGAAAAATTCATGTAATCCCAGCACTTTGGGAGGCCGAGGCAGGCGGATCACAAGGTCAGGAGATCGAGACCATCTGGCTAACACAGTGAAATCCCATCTCTACTAAAAATACAAAAAATTAGCCGGGCATGGTGGCTGGCGCCTGTAGTCCCAGCTGCTCAGGAGGCTGAGGCAGGAGAATGGCGTGAACCCGGGAGGCGGAGCTTGCAGCGAGCTGAGATTGTGCCACTGCACTCCAGCCTGGGCGACAGAGCGAGACTCTGTCTCAAAAAAAAAAAAAAAAAAAAAAAAAAAATTCAAAACACTCCTGAGGGATACAAAGAAAAGTCAAAGAGGTGGAAATCTGTAATCTTGGAAAGGAAGATTCACCACCAAAACAGTAACCATAGTGGAGAGTGTGTTAATAATAAAGTTGATGCAATTCCAATAAATATCCCAACAGGATTTTCTTTTTTGAGGGAGAGCGAAACAATCTGATTCTAAAGTTAATGTGGAAAGAAAAACTCTAAGGAAATATAAAGTTAAATTCGGATCTCACACCTGACTCCAGGATAAATTCTAGTTGATTAAAAAATTAAATGTAAAAAAAAGATACCATAAAATATTAGAATAAACAATCATACTTGTTTTGAATCAAATGCTGGGGAGGGCATTTCTAGGTACAACATAAAACTGGGGAGCCATCACAGAAGAGTTTGATAGATTCAATTATTCTAAAATAAAAAAGAAAAAATCCACATGTAAAAACCCTCCCCAGGCAAAGTCACAAGACAAACAGTAAACTGGCGAGCATTTGCAACTCAAATCACATATAAAGAATAATTTCATTGCTGTATGTTTTAGTCCATTTGTGCTGCCATAACCTGAGATGGGTAATTTGCAATAAATAGAAATGTATTAACCCACAGTTCTGGAGGCTGGGAATTCCTGAGAGGTCAGTGTCTGACAAGGACCTTCTTGCTGCATCATCCCATGGTGGAAGGCAGAGGGCAAGAGAGAGGGCAAGGGGCTGAACTCACTCTTTTATAATAACATCAATCCCACCCATGAGGGCAGAGCCCCCATGGCTTAATTACCTCTTAAAGGTCCCATCTCTTAATAATGTTACAATGGCAATTTAATTTCAAGGGTATGTGCCACCACACCCAACAAATTTTTTTTGGTATTTTTTGCAGAGATAGGGTTTTGCCATGTTTCCCAGGCTGGTCTCAAACTCCTGGGCTCAAGCGATCCACCTGCCTGGGCCTCCCAAACTGCTAGTATTACAGATGTGAGCCACTGCACCTGGCCTTGTCTCATTTTAATGTCTCTCTGGACCTGATAATTAAAAAGACTTGCATTTCTCAGATAAAAGTGATTTTCTTTTTCTCAAAAGGATATGAACAGAGAGAAAAGAAAATGCATATGGATCTTCAAAGATGAAATGATGTTCAGTCTCACTCATAATAAGTAATTTCACACAAACTACAATGGGATATAATTTTTCACCCACTAGACCAACAAATACTTCAAAATTTGATAACACATTGTATTACTGAGGATACAGGGAAACAAGGACAATCACAAATTACTTGTGGGAGTCTAAATTGTTTGTAACCCTTACAGGGCACAATTTGACAACATCTAGGAAAATTTTGCATGCAAATACCCTTTGAACCAGCAATTCTCTTTTAGGAATTCATTTATATTTATAGATATGTGACATGATGTGTGCACAAGTCTCTTCATGGTGACACTGTAACAGCAAAGACGAGATAAGCTAAACAGTAGTCAACAGGGGATTGCTTAAATAAATAACAGTACAGCCACACAAAGAAATATTCTGTAGCTCTAAAAATGAATAAAGAAGCTCTTTATGAACAGACATGGATTCATCTCCACTGCATATTGCTCAGTGAAAACAGTGAGTTGTAGAGTATGTCTACATTATACTACTATTTGTGGTTTTCTTAAATGAGGAAAATATGTATAGCTTTTGCATGAACAAAATATCTCTAGAATGAAGTATGTACAAAAATCTGTTAATCATGACTGTTCATGGGAAGGGGACTGGATAGGAGAGAAGGTGGAAGGGAGAATTTTCACCATTTATACTTTGAACCCATTGATTTTGGGACCAAGTGAATACACTGCTTATCTAAAAATTAGAAATAGTTAAAATTTAAAAAGAAAATGTGCAGTGGCTCACGCCCGTAATCCCAGCACTTTGGGAGGCCAAGGCAGGCAGAACATCTGAGGTTAGGAGTTTGAGACTAGCCTGGCCAACATGGTGAAACCCCGTCTCTACTAAAAATGCAAAAATTAGCCAGGCATGGTGGTGGGCGCCTGTAATCCCAGCTACTCGGGAGGCTGATGTAGGAGAATTGCTTGAACCCCGGAGGTGGAGCTTGCAGTGAGCTGAGATCGCGCCACTGCACTCCAGCCTGGGCAACAGAGTAAGTCTCCGTCTCAAAAAAAAAAAAAAAAAAGAAAAAAAGAAAAAAAATGTGAAGAGAACAGTTTGGGCACTTGAAACCTACCTTTCAGCATCATTGGTGATGTAACCCTTGGGGTGGTCAGTTTATAGGCCACACGTGTGAGAGTGCCACTCTGCTGTCTAGTCTATCTTAGCAATTTTAGGGACACTATTGCTGTGAGGAGTGACACTGTCCCTGTCCACCATACGAGAAGAATGTGGGTTTTGGTTTCCATTTGCTAAGATGACATTCAGCTGATATAGTCCAGAGGAAAGAAAGGAAAACAGAGCAACTCCCTTTTGATATCTTAGTTGATGACAGCCATAATTAGTGAGTAAGAAAAAATGAAAAGATTTCCAGTCGAAGATGACTGACTAAACATGAGAATTTACCCTTCCTCCCTGTTTAAATCCTATTTCAGGGACCAAAGGGATATAAAATGGAGAGTAATTCTGTAGCAGCATTGGAAATTTAGAAAAGGTGCTTTTTGTGTTTTAAAAATAGATTTAGGGGGTACAAGTGAAGTTGTGTTACATGGATATATTGCATAGTGGTGAAGTCGGGGACTTTTATTGCAACTGTCACACAAATAGTGTACATGACACTCATTAGGTAATTTCTCATCCCTGAGCCCCTTCTCACCCTCCCACCTTTTGGAGTCTCCAATGTCTATTGTTTTATTCTCAATGTCCATGTGTACACATTGTTTAGCTCCACTTATAAGTGAGAACATACACTATTTGACTTTCTGTTTCTGAGTTATTTCACTGAAGATAATGGCCTCCAGTTCCATCCATGTTGCTACAAAAGACATGGTTTCATTTTTTTAATGGCTGAGCAGTAGTCCATGATGTACATATATACACCACATTTTCTTTATTCAGTCATCCATTGATGGACACTTACGTTTATTCCATGACTTTGCTATTGTGAATAATGCTGCAATGAACATACAAGTGCAGGTATCTTTTTCATATAATGATTTCTTTTCCTTTGGGCAGATATCCACGAGTGAGATTCCTATATCAAATGGTAGTACTACTTTTATTTCTTTGAGAAATCTCCATACCGTTTTCCATAGAAATTGTACTAATTTATATTTCTACCAACAGTCTATAAGTGTTTCCTTTTCTCCACATCCTTGCCAACATCTGTTGTTTTTTTGACTTTTCATAGCCATTCTGACTGGTGTAAGATTTTTGTTTGTTTTTTTGAGATGGAGTCTTGCTCTGTTGCCCGTGCTGGAGTGCAGTGGTGTGATCTCAGCTCACTGCAAGTTCTGCCTCCCGGGTTCACTCCATTCTCCCACCTCAGCCTCCCGAGTAGCTGGGACTACAGGCGCCCACCACCACGCCCGGCTAATTTCTCTTTTCTTTTTGTATTTTTAGTAGAGACGGGGTTTCACCGTGTTAGCCAGGATGGTCTCGATCTTCTTGTGATCTGCCTGCCTCAGCCTCCCAAAGTCCTGGGATTACAGGTGTGAGCCACCGCGCCCGGCCAAGATTTTATCTCTTTGTGGTTTTAGTTTGCATTTCTCTGATGATTAGTAATGTTGAACATTTTTTCATATGTTCGTTGGTCACTTGTATATATCCTTTTGAAAAATGTTTATTCATGTCCTTTGCCCACTTTTTAATGGGGTTATTTTTTTCTTGTACAGTTGTTTGAGTTCCGTGTACATTCTGAATATTAGTCCTTTGTTGGATGCAGAGTCTGCAAATATTTTCTCCCTAGACTTCATAAATTACTTCAGTAAAGTTTCAGGATACAAAATCAATGGTACAAAAATCAGTAGCATTTCTATACACCTATAACAACCAAGCTGAGAACCAAACCAAGAACTCAATCCCATTTACAATAGCTATGAAAAAAATACCTAGGAAAATATTTAACCAAGGAAGTGAAAGATCTCTACAAGGAGAACTACAAAACACTGATGAAAGAAATTGTAGATGACACAGACAAATGGAAAAATATCCCATGCTCCTGGATTGGAAGAATCAATACTGTTAAAATGATCATACTGCCCAAAGCAATCTATGGATTCAATGCAATTCCTACCAAACTACTGTGTTAGTCTGTTCTCAAATTGCTACAGATACATGAAACTGGGTAATTTTTAAACAAAAAAGGTTTAATTGGCTCACAGTTCTGCTGGCTGTACAGGAGGCATGACTCTGGCATCTTCTCAGTTTCTGGGGAGGCCTCAGGACACTTACAATCATAGTGGAAGGCAAAGGGAGAGTGAGGAGTCTCACATGGTGGGAGCAGGAACAAGAGAGAGACCGGCAAGGTGCTACACCCTTTTAAACAACCAGATCTCATGAGCACTCACTCACTATACAGTACCAAAAGGGCATGGTACTAAACCATTCATGAGAAACTGCCCTCATGATCCAACCACCTCCCACGAGGCCCCACCTCCAACACTGGGGATTACAATTTCACATGAGATTTGGTGGGGACACAGATCCAAATAATATCAATTACCAATGTCATTTTTCACAAAATTAAAAAAAAATCCTAAAATTGATATGGAACCAGGAAAGAGTCTGAATAGCCAAAGCAATCTTAAGCAAAAAGAACAAAGCTGGAGGCATCACATTACCTGACTTTAAACTACTCTACAAGTCTATAGTAACCAAAACAGCATGGTACTAGTAAAAAATAGACACATAGATCAATGGAATGGAATAGGGAACCTAGAAATAAAGCCACATACCTACAACCAACAGATCTTTAACAACATAAACAAAAATATACAGTGGGGAAAGGACACCCTATTCAATAAATAGTGTTGAGAAAATTGGCCAGTCATATGCAGAAGAATGAAACTGGACCAATATACAAAAATTAACTCAAGGTAGGATTAAAAACTTAAATGTAAGACCTGAAACTATAAAAATCCTAGAAGAAAACCTAAGAAAAACTCTTCTGGACATTGGCCTACACAAAGAATTTATGATTAAGACCTCAAAAGCAAATGCAACAAAAATGAACAAAGAAAAACAGGACTTAAACTAAAAGGCTTCTGCACAGCAAAAGAAATAATCAGCAGAGTAAAACGACAACCTACAGAATGGGAAAAATATTTGGAAGGGATGTTTTTAAGAGATCAGAAGAGACAAAACATTCTTGAAGATATAAAGTAGATGGAATCAGATTGGTGGCAGTTCTAGAATTTGGGTGCAGAATAAACCTGTTAGCATTGCTCCAAAATAAAACAAGAAATTGTACTAAAGGTTTAGGTAGTGCTAAAGAGAAAGAGAGGGCTGGGCGCGGTGGCTCACGCCTGTAATCCCAGCACTTTGGAAGGCCAAGGTGGACAGATCACCAGAGATCAGGAGTTTGAGACAAGCCTGTCCAATGTGGTGAAACCCCATCTCTACTAAAAATACACACACACACACACACACACACACACACACACACACAATTAGCTGGGTATGGTGGCACACACCTGTAATCCCAGCTACTCGGGAGGCTTAGGCAGGAGAAGGCGGAGGTTGCAGTGAGCTGAGATCGCACCACTGCACTGCAGTCTGGGTGACAGAGCGATACTGTCTCAAAAAAAAAAAAAGAGAGAGAGAGAGAAAGAGAGGATGTTGGGGCTGGAGAATAGAATCAGTACTCTCAGGTAACAGATGCATGGAGTGGGGACAAGGAGGATACCTACTAAGAAGTCAAGCAACTCGGAGAATCTAAATGTCAGTCTGTCTAGTCACAGGTCAACTCGTTGCTATGTCAGAAAAGCAATCAGTTCTAGAAAATTAAAAACACATTCTAAAATAAAAAATCGAATGACTGTTTCACAAAGAATGGGCCTAACCGAAGATCTTATCAGAGAGCTGAAAGACTGAATAGAGGAATTCTCTTAGAATACAGTGCAAAACAAGATGACAGGGATAAAGCCGAATAAGTCAGCAATTATAATTAATATGACCAATGTGTAGTGCTCATAGAGTACTTGGGTTCAAATCCTGCCCAATCCTTTCTGATCTTGGGTAGGTCATGGAATCACTCAAATCCTCAGTTTCTTCAGCTGTTAACTGGGGACAACCAGAAGAACTACCTATAGGCTAGGTCTGAGCACTGTATAAAATAACGCGGGTAAAGTGCTCAGTAGAATACCTGAATTGAGAGGACTCAATACTGCTTAGCTACGTTCCTATCACTATTAATATTACTAATGGGCCATCAGACATGCTAAAAATAAATACCTACAACAGAGTGGAGACCCTGTCACTAAAAACATAAATAAATAAGTAAATAAAATATACAACCACACTAACATTCACAAAAGTATTCTAAAATAAAATTATTCAGGAATGTTGAAAATTAAATGACAAAGGTAGTCACTTATTTACAAAATCTGTGAAAGATGAGAAATGTGAAATTAAAAAAATGGAATTTAAAGCCAAAAATATTCAATAGGACAGATTTTATATTTACACATAAGAATACGAAGACACTAGAAGAGCAATGAATCTTTATGCCTGAACAACATGCTATCAGAATATATAAAGAAAAATGAATTGATAAGTTAACAGTCAAAATGAGAGGATTTAGTAACTTTCTCAGGAAAGAACTGATTTAATAGACAAAAAGCAGTTTTAGATTTTGAGATCACAAGGCTGACTCTGTAGTAATATACAGAAATTTGAACTCAGTATAGAATATACACTCTTTGTAAGTACACGTATACTATCTACAAAAATTGACATAGTAATAAACCAAAAAGTCTCAATGAATTTCAAAAAGCGGAAAACATTTAGGCTAATTTTCTAACTACCATGCAATAAAACCAGAAATTAGAAATAACAAAGAAAAGAATATCCCCAATCAAAAAAAAAAAAAAAGAAAAAGAAAGAAAAAGTTATATGTATTTGGAGATAAAAACAAAGCAAAACAGAGAGGCTTTCTGTTATTTATGCGTAAACCAGGAAATCATGGTTGCGATTGCCAACAGTTTATGCTGGGACAAGGGCTCAGTGTAGTAAAGCCAGCAGGATGTGGCCAAAAAATGTAAGAAGACAAGGGAAAATAAATGAACTCTAAATATTAGGAGACAAAGCATAGAAAGTAGAAATTTTAAAATAAAAAAGCAGAAATTAATGAAACAAACAAACAGGGCAAACAACAAAATTTGTTAAGCCCCAAATCGAGTTCTTTGAAAAATAGCTAATACAACTGTGAAACTACTGGCAGACCTGACCCAGAAAAAAAAAAGGAAGAATTAGAAAAGAAATATAACTATAAATAGGGAAGAGATTTAAAACTTGTAATCAACTCTATAGAAATAAATTGGAAAATGTGTAAGAAATGAATATTTTTATAAAAATGTAAACTACCACAATTAACGAAAGAGTCAGAAGACCCAAATCCTTGCTGGTTCTGTTGAAGAAATGGAAAAGGTAGTCAGAGGTCCGGCCCTGAAACAGGCGGCAGATATAGGTAGTGTTATGGGGGATGCTAGTGAACCTTCAAGGAGCATGTGATTCCAGTTATTCAAACTGTCAGAGCACAGGAACAGATGGAAAGTTTTCCTTCTCCTTCCAAGTCTAGCAAAATCTTGATAACAAAACTCATTTGAACGATAAGTATATGAAGTAATGCATATGTTAATTAGCTTGATTTAGCCATTCCACAGTGTCTACATATATCAAAACATCATGTTGTACACCACAAATATATACAATTTTTATTTGTCAATTAAAAAAATAAAGTCAAAACAAAACAAATTTGCACTCAAGGGGTACAGAGGTTTGCATGGAAATGCTTCAAAAAGGCCTGGAAATAATCCAGATGCTAGCAGGCTACCTCCTAGTGGCTGGAGAAAGAGGGCTGTCACTTTTTACCCTACACACTTCTGTACAATTTTATCTTTTTTCTTTTTTTCTTTTTTTTTTTTTTTTTTTTGAGACGGAGTCTCGCTCTGTCGCCCAGGCTGGAGTGCAGTGGCGGGATCTCGGCTCACTGCAAGCTCCGCCTCCCGGGTTCACGCCATTCTCCTGCCTCAGCCTCCCAAGTAGCTGGGACTACAGGCGCCCGCCACTACGCCCGGCTAATTTTTTGTATTTTTAGTAGAGACAGGGTTTCACCGTGTTAGCCGGGATGGTCTCGATCTCCTGACCTCGTGATCCGCCCGCCTCGGCCTCCCAAAGTGCTGGGATTACAGGCTCTTTTTTCAATAAGTATGTATGAGTGGATTAACAATGGAATGATTGTTTAATGCATTCATTATTTTATTACTTTTTAAACCATAAGAAGAGGTAGGAAGTATTATCTACATAAGGGGTTGGCAAATTTTTTTCTGTAGAGAGCAAGATAGTAAATATTTTAGTCTTTGGGGGCCATGCGGTCTGTTGCAACTACTCAACCTTGGTGGCTAGCATGGAAGAAACCACAGACTATATGTAAATGAATGGATGTGGCTGTGTTCCGTTAAAATTTTATTTCAAAAACAGGCTGCAGGTTGGATTTGGTCCACTGCCATACTTTGCTAAATCTGATTTCTATATCAGTGGGGAAACTGGTATTTTGATATATTTTATTAAGCCTCAGTCCAATATTTTATTCATTTATTTAAAAATATTTACTAAAGACCTTTATGTTCCAGGCACTGCTGTAGGAACTAGGAGTACTGGGAACATACCAGTGAATAACACAAAGCCACTATCGTCATGGTGGTTGCATTCTATTCTGAGAAAACAGACAACAAGCACATGCAGAACAAAAACAACAAAACAAAACAAAACAAAAAACATGCTCAAGAGTGATCAATGCTATAAAGAAAACAAAGCAGGATAAGAGATAGAGGGCGCTGGAGTGGGGGTTGGTACAGTTTTAGAGGGGATGGTAAGAAAAGCCTCTGGGCCGGGCGCGGTGGCTCACGCCTGTAATCCCAGCACTCTGGGAGGCCGAGGCGGGCGGATCACAAGGTCAGGAGATGAGACCATTCTGGCTAACACGGCGAAACCCCGTCTTTACTAAAAATACAAAAAATTAGCCGGGCGTGGTGGCGCGAGCCTATAGTCCCAGCTACTCCGGAGGCTGAGGCAGGAAAATCGCTTGAACCTGGCATGCGGAGGTTGCAGTGAGCCGAGATCGCACCACTGCACTCCAGCCTGGGCGACAGAGCCAGACTCCGTCTCAAAAAAAGAAAAGAAAAGAAAAGTCTCTCTGAACGATATGTGACCATCAGGGAGTGTGAAGTCCTGAGCCAGAACCAGGAGAAGGCTGATGTGTCTACAGGGGGCTGAGAGGCGGGTGATGGGGTGACGGTGGTGCAGGGAATCCAGGGTCTGGGCAGTGACTCGGAGGAAGACAACATGGTGAGCAGTTGTAAGATCCTGAACACAGTTTGAAGGTGGAGCTGGCAGGAATACTGGTGGCTGGGATGTGGAGTGAGGGAAAGAGAAGGGCGGAGAATGATTCAAGTCTTTGGACAGAATGGCCATTTGCTAAGACCTGAGCAAGTAATGGGTTTGGTGGGGCGCTAGTTCTGAGTTGTTGTTGTTGTTGTTGTTGTTGTTTTGAAGACGGTGTCTCACTCTTGTTGCCCAGGCTGGAGTGCGATGGCGCTATCTCTGCTCACTGCAACCTCCGCCTTCCCGGTTCAAGCGATTCTCCTGCCTCACCCTTCCAAATAGCTGGAATTACAGGCGCCCACCACCACACCCGGCTAATTTTTTGTATTTTTTTAGGAGAGACGGGGTTTCGCCATGTTGGCCAGGCTGGTCTTGAACTCCTGACCTCAGGTGATCCACCCTCCTCGGCCTCCCAAAGTGCTGGGATTACAGGCGTGAGCCACCGCCTGGTTTTGCATGTGTTGTTGGGGCTGCCTGTTAGACTGCAAGTGGCTTCTGTGAATAAGCAGTGAATTGGAGGGTCTGGGGTTCAGGGAGGGGTCAGGCTGGAGAGGCAAATATGGTACTTATAGGGTAGAGGCCCATGAGATCATCAGGAAAACACTCGGAGAGTGTGCAATGAAGAAGACCTGGGGCCCCGGAGCAATATAAGGATACAGGATCCAGGATTCAGAAAAAGAGAGGAAAAGCTGGGCAGGAGAGCAAGGAGGAACAGGGGGAAGTGTGAGCCTCAGAACCCAAGAGAAATGTTAATGAAAGGCCAAAAGATGAGAACCAAGAAGGTTCTCACTGGCAACCTTAACGGAAGAGTGGGGTACAGAATAGGTTCAAGAAGGAATGTGATGTGAGGAAGTCAAATCCAGCGCTTGGAGGCCCCGGCTTTGGGACAGAGAATTGGTCCCTGCAGAGCACGGTCTGAGGCCAGTGTGACTTTCACCTCTGCTCACTGCAGGACAACCAGAGAGCTCCATCCCAGGCTGAGCTGGGCTCTGAAATTAAAAGGTGGATTGAAAAGGTTCCTTCCCCTTTTGTGTGTATGTCGGGGTAGGAGGGGGTGGAGGGTGAGGGCTGCTGGAAGAAGGTGAGGAATGAAACAAAAATGGGCAATACATTCTGATAAGCATGTAAACAGGGGCCAATGCAAGGGTGTATGGAAACAGAGGAGGCTCCCATCCCATTTGTCCAGGTCTGTTCAGTGGAGGACAAGGGGAGTTTGAAAATAAAATGCCCAAGGATTTAATCAACCAAAGAGCCAGGACCCTCCATACGTACGATGTTGCCATGATGACCATGCCCGTGTGGGTGGTAGTTTGGCCGTTTCCTATCCAAGGCGGACGCCCCGGTGGGCAGGGGTAGGTGGGAGGCCTGTGTTTCCATCCTGAAGCTTAAGAACCAGGCCAGCCCATCTCGGGTTTGTGTCTGGGCACATGCACCCTGTGGGTGAGATGCACCAGGTCATTGTAGGCCACAGGCTCTGGAAAGGGCACAGAACACGGGGCCTGAAGCAAGTCACTTCAGCTCAGAACCTCAGTTTCCAAGCCTGCCATTTTGGGGAACTGGGGTTCATGATACCAGGGAGTGAAAAATTCTAGGTATAATACATGACCAGCATTTCTTTCTACTTCTCCCACACGATTCCCTTTTCAGCAGATTAAATGTTTGTGAGCCAAAGCACAACGTGGGCTTCGCTTCTCTCTGCATGCTTCAGCCTTGTCCAGACATGGCGTGTCACCTGTGTCTCCGGCAGTCACCAGCTGTCCTCCAGGCTGCTGCTGTGGGCTTCTCATTGGTGGATCCGAGGTCCTGGATACTGTCGCCTTGGTGAATGCACAGTGATGCGTGTGGGGAGGTGCAGAAGCTCTTCCGAGTTATTCTCTGCACTTACAGATTGAGTTTATCCCGTGATGAAGCTCAAAATCAGTTATGCTTTTCTATCTCCTCTGTTGTATTTCTCCTCAACGTCCACTTCTGTGAGTGAGTAAGGTTGTCTGTTTTGACAGCTGAATGAACAGAAAAAGGAGGTTTTAAAAGCAAAAGTCTGCTGTGTCCCAGTTTCCCAGTTAACTCCATTCTCTCTAGCCATTCATGGCATGGAGACAGAAAAATCACAGAGCAATCAGAGTGCATTTTCTGAAATCAGTCTCAACTGCGGAGTGGGAACGTGCCACTCTGAGGAACTTCCTTCCGGCCCGGCTTTTGTGACATGTCGTGTGGTAGCGGTCGTATTCCATCCCACCTTGTCCTCCAATGCTGAGCTCAAGGATTTGGGAAAGCACATGGTCCCACCCCGAGGTCACAGGGAGGGCTTTCGCCACAGCAGATGTGTGTGCCGTTCACATGTCCTCGACAGCCAGCGGAGTCACAATTGATTTTGATGTTAATATGGCAAAATCCATTAGGGAGAAAAACTTTCCCCCATTCATTGACTCACAACCCAAGTAGAAATTGTTTTTTGACATTATCCACATTCCTGTTCTTCCCATGAGGCATATTTGAGGCGGGCAGATCACCTGAGGTCAGGAGTTCGAGACCAGCCTGGCCAAAATGCTGAAACACCGTCTCTATTACAAATACAAAAATTGGCTGGGTGTGGTGGTGCGTGCCTGTAATCCCAGCTACTTGGAGAAGCTGAGGCTGGAGAATTGCTTGAACCCAGGAGGCGGAGGTTGCAGTGAGCCGAGATCTCACCACTGCACTCCAGCCTGGGTGACAGAAAAAGACTGTCTCAAAAAAAAAAAAAAAAAAGAGCTGACATTCTAGGTGTTTAATAATACCATACTATCATATCTAGTGTGATAAAATAACAACATGCATTTTCCACAGGACTATATTTCAAAAGAGTATGAGATGATTATATTATATTTTTAGACCAAAGTTTCACTGATGCAGAAAAATCTGTAAGTTGCAGGTTTATTTTTAATAAACAAAATCGACTTTATGCACCTTGTAGGTTAACCTAACCGACATTATTGTAATTTATTCAGTAGGTAGGGAAGTTTGAACTCTACTCTTGAATTCATGGCGGGATATATTAATAGTAGGGAGCATGCGGGGAAGTACGCAGACATTGTTAGCAATAAGCAGTGAACACACAGAGAGTGGTGATATAAAGATAAACCAATACAGACAGAATGTCCAAATAAGGCCCCAGTAGGGCATGTTTTCCACGTTTCCTAGCAGGGTTGGGAATACCCTATTTAGATTTTCAGACCAGAAAAGGGTAATGAAGTCAGAGAGATTAGCCTGGGCAGAAAGGGAAGAATGGACCAGGGGCCATCCATTCTTCCCTGTGCTGGTGAGAGCACAGGTCACGGCTACAGAGAGGGGGGTCAACCTAAGGATGCAGGCAGGGTTGGCTATAACAGTTCCTTGGGAAATGGAAGTGTAGGAATATTGTTGGCTTAGTTTTAAACCCAGAAGAGGAAATAGCTCTGGAACTTAGGCTGGGGGATGGGGGCAGAAAGGACTCAGGTCTTTATTCCTAGACTACTCCAGTACATATCTTACCCCATGGGCACCTGTATCAACAGACTCTGAGGGAAAGGTTTGCAGCAGACATGGACCTTGAAAATGCTGGAAAAAGAGAAGGTGCTGATCCTCCCCAGGAATCAGAAGACCAAAAGCCTTAGAAACTCAAAGAAAGAAAGCTATAGCAGGGGGCCTACTTTGGCTCCCAGACTTCAGCTCTCAGGGCCAACATAGAGCTATGATTTGAGGACTGTTCTTTCCATCTGTATTAGTTAGAATTCCTCCAGAGAAAGAGAACCAACAGAATACAAACACACACACACACACACACACACACACAAAGATATTGAGATAAACATCTCAGTATATATGTGTGTATATTTATATACACATATAAAATTTGATGAAATGTATTTTAATGAATTGGCTTAAGAGACTGTGGAGCAGTAGTAGATCCAAACTATGCAGGGTTGACCAGCAGACTGGAGACCCAAGGAAGAGTTACAGTTAGATTCCAAATGCAGTCTGTTGGCAGAATTCCTTCTTTCTCAGGAAGGGTTAGTCTCTGTTCTATTGTCTTTAACTGATTGAATGAGATCCCCCACATTTTGAATAGTAATCTGCTTTTACTCAAAGTTCACCAATTAATTTATTAAATTATTTATTTGAGATGGAGTTTTGCCCTGTCGCCCAGACTGGATTGCAGTGGCGTGATCTCAGCTCACTGCAACCTCCACCTCCCAGGTTCAAGAGATTCCCCTGCCTCAGCCTCCTGAGTAGCTGGGATTGCAGGCGTGCGCCACCACACCTGGATAATTTTTTTTTTGTATTTTTAGTAGAGACGGGATTTCACCATGTTGGCCAGGCTGGCCTTGAACTCCTGACCTCAGGCGATCCACCTGCCTCGGTCTCCCAAAGTGCTGGGATTACAGGCGTGAGCCACCGTGCCCAGCCCAAAGTTCACCAATTTAAATGTTAATTTCATCCAAAAAAAAAAAAAGAAACATCCAGAATAATGTTTGACCAAAGATCTGGGCACTGACCTGGCCAAACTGACACATAAAATTAATTATCACACCATCTTAACACTGTCCCTGGGTAAAGGACTAAAAAAGAAAAGACAGAAGGAAGAAGGAGCTAGGACCCAGGGATAGGTAGGATGTATCAAGGAATAAGAATCAGCATACTGTGTTTCCACAAAACACAAGAAAGAAAGTAAAAATCTAGAAAGATCTGCAGCACTGTTTAATTCAGTACATGTGCCTCAGGTATTTCTGGGGGCTGGTTGGGGGGCCAGTCCCAGGCAAACTGAAGGTGCGGAAGCGGTGGTGGGATTAGCTTAGTCAGCAGGCCTGGTACGCATGGACTAGTTGCATAAAGTACTGGAAGCCTTGGACCTGATGGTTGTCTTCAGAGTAAAAAAGGAGGTAAGCAGAAAAATGCAGTCTACAAGCTGCTGAGTCAGTTACCACTTAGCATGACTTGAGTGCCAAAGATATGACAGGCATAGAGTAGTTTGGGGCACAGAAGAACAGATCAGAGGAGGTTACAGGTTTTTGTGCATTTAATCCTTACGACAAATTTATGAGACAGGTGCTGTTCTTTATCCTCATTTTCCAGATGAGAATCTAAGGCATAGAAAGGTTTAGCAGTTTGCCCAAGGCTGCACAATACTTGTGATGCTTAATTTTGTCTTAACTTAGCCAAGCCGTGGTGCCCAGTTGTTTGGTCAAACATCAGCCTACATGTTGCTATGAAAGTATTTTTTTAGATGTGATGAACTTTTTTTTTTTTTTTATTGAGACAGAGTTTCACTCTTGTGACCCACACTGGACTGTAATGGCATGATCTTGGCTCACTGCAACCTCTGCCTCCTGAGTTCAAGCGATTCTCCTGCCTTAGCCTTCCGAGTAGCTAGGATCATAGGTGCCCACCACCACACCCAGCTAATTTTTTTGTATTTTTAGTAGGAACAGGGTTTCACCATGTTGGTCAGGCTGCTCTCAAACTCCTGACCTCAGGCGATCCACCCGCCTCGGCCTCCCAAAGTGCTGGGATTACAGGTGTGAGGAGTCATGCCTGGCCAGATGTGATGAACATTTATATCAGTAGACTTCGAGTAATACATATTTCCCTTCATAATGTGCATGGGCCTCATCCAATCAGTAGAAGGCCTTAAGAGCAAAGACTGAGGTTTCCTGAGGAAGAAGGAATTCTCTTTAAAACTGTCACATGGAAACTCTGCCTGAGTTTCTAGTCTCCTGCCCCATGGAATTCAGATTCAAGACTGACTGCAACATTGACTCTTACCTGAATTTCCAGCCTGTCAGTTTTCCCTACAGATTCTGGACTTGCCAGTCCCCATAGTTGTGTGAGCCAATTCCTTAAAATAGATCTCTTTCTCTCAGCATGTGTGCATATTACAGTTACATATAAATGAGGCTCTGTCTCTCTCTCCATACTGAAAGCAGGAAGTAGAAGAGGAAAAGAAACAGAAATCACATTTTTGTCAAATCCCAGAGGCACTTGCAGTCCAGAATCTTGTATTAGGAAGGGCAGTGGGTGATGGGGCAAACCTTACCTCCTGGATGGGGCTGTCAGGACTTCATGTCTCCATGGAGGGGGCCCACCCCAGAACCACCAGCTCAGCCCCAGCCAGCAAAAGCCTCCTGGCTCTTCAGGAGCCTGCTATCACAGGGAACCCAAGTCCACCCACGTCAGGCTCAGGGACCTTGGAGGGCTTTGTCCTGCGATTACATTGGTCTCTATCCAGCAAAAGAAAAGTTGGAAAGCAGTCTGTGTGCTTTCTAAATGAACACACTGTGATAATGGGGGCCCAAAGTACATATTTCTAATAACAAACCTGATTAGAGGTAAAATTAATTGTATATGCTATTTAAACATAGTATATGTTGAGTTGTATATTATATTTTTTTACAATACTTACTCATGGTTGTGCCTTGGATGCTTATATGCCATAAGCAAGTTAAAGAAAACATATGGCTTACATACCAACTATTGACGTTCCATTCATGCCTTTATTTTTTATTGTTTATTTTTATTTTTTTTGAGACAGAGTCTTGCTGTGTTGCCCAGGCTGGAGTGCAGTGGTGCAATCTCAGCTCATTGCAACCTCTGCCTCTCAGGTTCAAGCAATTCTCCTGCCTCCACCTCCTAAGTAGCTGGGATTACAGACTCCCACCACCACACCCACCTAATTTTTGTATTTTTAGTAGAGATAGGGTTTCACCATGTTGGCCAGGCTGATCTCGAACTCCTGACCTCAACCGATCTGCCTGCCTTGGCCTCCCAAAGTGTTGGGATTACAGCATGAGCCACCATGCCCAGCCTCCATTCATGCCTCCAGAGGTGGGAAGGACACTGCATGGAGTAGGGACCATTTGGATCGTTGCTTTGTGTTCTCATTTTATGCAAATTCTTCCTATCAGACAGTCTGTACCTGCAAGGAATAGCCATGAAGGCTTACCGCAGTTCAAGTGTTACTCTAGCCCACAAAACACATAATTTATGAGCCAAAAGAGAAGCTGGAGGCCATTTATGTTGGAGCAACTTCAAAATGTCTCACCAACAATTAAGACTATTTTTGTTTTCCTTTCGGAGAAGCATTAGCACACATTTTAGAGAATGACCGCTTAATTTATAACCTCTTACTCATATTTTAGAGGTTTACTACTGAAGGGCAGAGTTATTTGGAATGTTCGGAATGAGTTGCATCATCTTGTTTTAGGCTCCAGCAAAGAACAAAAACTAAGAACAGACACCAGGCACACACTTCAACGGCATCAAGTGCCCACAGTCAAATGGAGTCAAGTGCCCACAGTCAAATACCATTCTTCTCATACTGCGGAACAACCAAAAAAATCACACAGTGGCCTAAGTATGTCCTAGAAAATATTAGCATCAGCAAAACAACGTGTAAGTAGCCAAAGGACGCAGTGGAACAAGAACTATGAGGAGAGGAAGAAAATGAAAAGTAAAAAGACAGGCCTTTTTAAAGATTACAAACACACCGAGAATGTTAACATACTTGTTACATAATTGGAGACTTTGTTCTTGATCTTCAGTGTCAAAAGCACTGCTACGATCGGGTTGAGTTCCAACCCTTGCTTTTTCTTCTGCAGCAGATGCATTTTGTAAGGTCCTATGGGTTTATTCTGCATTATAACACAAATGGGTATCACATTTCTGGCAAGCTCACCCACTGGTTGCTTTTCTTTTTTAAAATTATAACAATATGTTGCTGGAGATTTAGCTATCCCAAATTGTATACAAAAGAACAAACATTATTCAGTTTACATTTCTCTAAACAAACATCCATTCATTCATTGAAAAATAAGTCATTACCAGTTGTTCAAAATAAATAAGTGCTTGTCTCGGCTAGGAATAGAGTGGCCCTTTTTCAAAAGTGCATGCTGCTATTTTTCTGAACATGCGGCTTTGAGAGGAAATACCCATATTCTTTTTTAATTTAATTTAATTTTATTTTATTATTATTATACTTTAAGTTTTAGGGTACATGTGCACAATGTGCAGGTTAGTTACACATGTAAACGTGCCATACTGCTGTACTGCACCCATTAACTCGTCATTTAGCATTAAGTATATCTCCTAATGCTATCCCTCCCCCCTCCCCCCACCCCACAACAGTCCCCAGAGTGTGATGTTCCCCTTCCTGTGTCCATGTGTTCTCATTGTTCAATTCCCACCTGTGAGTAAGAACATGCGGTGTTTGGTTTTTTGTCCTTGTGATAGTTTACTGAGAATGACGATTTCCAATTTCATCCATGTCCCTACAAAGGACATGAACTCATCATTTTTTATGGCTGCATAGTATTCCATGGTGTATATGTGCCACATTTTCTTAATCTAGTCTATCATTGTTGGACATTTGGGTTGGTTCCAAGACTTTGCTATTGTGAATAGTGCCGCAATGAACATACGTGTGCATGTGTCTTTATAGCAGCATGATTTATAGTCCTTTGGGTATATACCCAGTAATGGGATGGCTGGGTCAAATGGTATTTCTAGTTCTAGATCCCTGAGGAATTGCCACACTGTCTTCCACAAAATACCTAGGAATCCAACTTACAAGGGACGTGAAAGACCTCTTCAAGGAGAACTACAAACCACTGCTCAATGAAATAAAAGAGGATACAAACAAATGGAAGAACATTCCATGCTCATGGGTAGGAAGAATCAATATCGTGAAAATGGCCATACTGCCCAAGGTAATTTATAGATTCAATGCCATCCCCATCAAGCTACCAGTGACTTTCTTCACAGAATTGGAAAAAACTACTTTAAAGTTCATATGGAACCAAAAAAGAGCCCGCATCGCCAAATCAATCCTAAGCCAAAAGAACAAAGCTGGAGGCATCACACTACCTGACTTCAAACTATACTACAAGGCTACAGTAACCAAAACAGCATGGTACTGGTACCAAAATAGAGATATAGATCAATGGAACAGAACAGAGCCCTCAGAAATAATGCCGCATATCTACAACTATCTGATCTTTGACAAACCTGAGAAAAACAAGCAATAGGGAAAGGATTCCCTATTTAATAAATGGTGCTGGGAAAACTGGCTAGCCATATGTAGAAAGCTGAAGCTGGATCCCTTCCTTACACCTTATACAAAAATTAATTCAAGATGGATTAAAGACTTAAATGTTAGACCTAAAACCATAAAAACCCTAGAAGAAAACCTAGGCATTACCATTCAGGACATAGGCATGGGCAAGGACTTCATGTCTAAAACACCAAAAGCAATGGCAACAAAAGCCAAAATTGACAAATGGGATCTAATCAAACTAAAGAGCTTCTGCACAGCAAAAGAAACTACCATCAGAGTGACCAGGCAACCTACAAAATGGGAGAAAATTTTCACAACCTACTCATGTGACAAAGGGCTAATATCCAGAATCTACAATGAACTCAAACAAATTTACAAGAAAAAACCAAACAACCCCATCAAAAAGTGGACAAAGGACATGAACAGACACTTCTCAAAAGAAGACATTTATGCAGCCAAAAAACACATGAAAAAATGCTCACCATCACTGGCCATCAGAGAAATGCAAATCAAAACCACAATCAGATACCATCTCATACCAGTTAGAATGGCAATCATTAAAAAGTCAGAAAACAACAGGTGCTGGAGAGGATGTGGAGAAATAGGAACACTTTTACACTGCTGGTGGAAATACCCACATTCTTTGCAATATTTAAAAAAGGGCTTCATGGAATCAGGGGAGGAAGGAAAAGGAGGCACCAGAATCACTTTCAAATATGGCTTCTTCCTGGGCCTCTGACCGATGATGCGCACGACTTCCCCATCTTGGGCTTGGGTTTGGGCTTGGTCCCTCTTGAGCTTGGGAACCAGAATCAGAGGGGGTTCTGGCTGACTTCTAAGACTCACCAGTTGAACTCGTCTTGCTCTTCCTCGGGATCTGACCATGATTTCTGCCTCTGCCTGGACAGCACCTTCACAGCACACCTGGTTGAACGCTTCTGCCACTTGGTTCCCTCATAGGCCTTTCCACCCTGCTTCCCATCAGGCCCAAGAGGCAATGGTCCCCAGCAAAGAGCTGATAGCACATGGATTGAAACCTTCTGTGGGTCCCCTTTAACTCTCAAAGCCCGCCCCACGCACCTCTTCACCCACCCCTGCCCAAACCACCCTCCACCTTTGTTCACGTCTTCTGCTCCTCCAGCTCCTGAAGGCGGCGTCCATCCTCCCATCATCGTGTAGTCAGTGGCAGCCCTGTGCCTGCTGGTTGTAAACACATAAGCATACAATCACACTGAATCACGTCACTGTGGAAAAGCCCATCCCAAGAGACAAGCTATGGGAAAGATGGTTTCGGGAACCACTTTCCCTGAGCTTTCCTGGTATGTTCACACTTCAATTGCCCTTCTAGCTCTAGCTCTTGCTCATCTTCCCAATGGGAGAAGGTCAGGAACAAAAGAAATGTGGTGGCCACTTTAAGAGGTGGGAAATGCTGTAGGGATGAGCCTCTTGCCCCTACTCCCCAGTCCCTGGGAGGTGGCTCTTCCCCTGTAATTAGAGGTGCCAGTCATTCTTTTTATGGTACAAGTGACCTGTTGCAACAACCAGTATTGTCCACAAACAACATTAAAATGTGGATATAAAACATGAAGAGACAGTATAGGACTTCCAGGCCCCATGAATATCACTAGCCATGATAGCGAAATACCGCAGGTTCTTGCCTTCAGCTTTGTGCTGAATTGATAATCCTGCCTTCTACGGAGCACTCTGCAGCCACACTGCTCACTTGGAGCTTTCTTGCTGTGCTACCCTAGGATGCAGTTATTTAATAGTCTGTGTTTCTAATCACGGCAGCTGATTGTTTTTGTATCACAAGAACTATAAGGCTTCCTCAGAATTTATATGAGCTGAGTCTACCCCATACAGTGAGAGGAAATGGATTTCCTTCTGAAGTTGGATGTCGTTATAACCGATCATAAATCACCCTCTTTGGGGGCACCCACAAAGGGTGAGCCCCATTGAACACAGATGGATCACCCAGTGCTGAGAGGGACTTGAGACTTTGCAAAGTACTTGCTTTATAGCCTGGGATTGATTATTACCCAGGGCATCACTTACAAACATTAGTCTGAAAGTCTACATTCTGACCACTGGTATGACATTCAGGTAGCAAAAGAACTTGAACATTTTCAAATTTTCTTTTTTCTCTCTTTCTTTTCTTCCTTCCTTCCTTTCTTTCTTTTCTTTTCTTTTTTTTTGAGACACAGGTATTATAAGGTATTATAATAATAATACATTATTATTATTATTTTTGAGACACAGCTTCGCTCTTATCACTCAGGCTGGAGTGCAATGGCATGATCTCGGCTCACTGCAACCTCCACCTCCTGGGTTCAAGTGATTCTCCTGCCTCAGCCTCTCGACTAGCTGGGATTACAGGCACCTGCCACCATGCCTGGCTAATTTTTGTATTTTTAGTAGAGATGGGGTTTCACCATGTTGGCCAGGCTGGTCTCGAACTCCTGACCTCAGGTGATCTGCCCGCCTCAGCCTCCCAGAGTGTTGGGATTACAGGCGTGAGCCACCACGCCCAGCTGAGAATTTTATTTTTCAAAAAAAAAAAAAAAAATCTCAAAAACAATCTCTCCAGTTAAACTCTGGTAATATAATTGCTATATCTTTTTTTAAAATACAACTTTTAAGTAGTTTTAGATTCTCATGGAAGTTGCAAAAACATGTAGCTTTCATTCAGCTACATAGATGAATAAATACTTCTCAGAAAAAAATTGTATTACATGACAGCCTAAAGTAACATAAGAAGCCATTCATAAGTATTCATTTTCACCAACTTGACTTTTTCAGGGGATTGATTATTTTATTCAATGTTATGGGGGCTGTGGAATGGAAGGGCTTGTAATTAACCCACAATTTGCCACAACTATCCTAAAAGCCAAGGGCAATTTTTCCAGAGACAAATCTTAAAATATATGATGTCAATATATTGTAAAATATAAAAGCTTAACTTTATTACAAAAGCTTAAAATATAAGCCTGGGCCCTTATGGTTCTGTCTTGGAGAAATGTAGGCAAATGAAGACCAGCAACCAAATGCTGCTTCAAAATAGTTCAAATCCTTTTCTTGCAATTCTCTAAAACCTGAATAGGTCCACATGCACACAGGCCATCGTATCACAAAATAGGAATTCCCTGTTCTTGCATCTGTCCCCGTTACTCCTGCAACTTTCCCAGAACATCCGCTGCAGTTACCTTCCCCAAACCCTTCTCTTCTGACCAGCCCTGTTCACCTTTTCTTTCTCACACTCTTCTTTCCCTCCCCCACTCTTCATTTCTTTATGACATTGGTCAACCCAAACCCTCTCCTAGCAAGAAAGAATCTTTTCTCTTGAGAAGGAAGGAGGTTGGGAAATTAGAATAGGCAATTATAGGTCTCTCTTTGGAAGGCTGGGAGAAGAGAAACAGTTGGGAAGACTTCCATGCCAGTTTTTTTTTTTTTTTGAGATGGAGTCTCACTCTGTTGCCCAGGCTGGAGTGCAGTGGCACCATCTTGGCTCACTGCAACCTCCGCCTCCCAGGCTCAAGCCATTCTACTGCCTCAGCCTCCCAGGTAGCTGGGGCTATAGGCATGTGCCACTACACCCAGATAATTTTTTTGTATTTTTAGCAGTGACAGGGTTTCACCTCAAATGATCCACCCGCCTCGGCCTCCCAAAGTGCTGGGATTACAGGCGTCAGCCACCTCACCCTGCCCCATGCCAATTTTTTTAAATGACAACTTTATTGAGATGTAATGTGCATACCACAGAAATCACCCTTTTAAATATATGTAACATATTTAATATATTTTAAAATATTTACTATATTAAATATTAACATATTTATATTTATATAGCATATTATATAACATATTTATTATATATTATATATTTATTATAATATATATAATATATAATATATTAATATAAAATATATACTATATATTATATTAATATATCATTATATATGATTACATATTATAATATATTAATACAATATATTATATTAATATATGATATTATATTATCATATATTATATAATATATGATATATCATATATTATATAATATATGATATATCATATATTAATATAATACTAATCATTATAATAATATATTATATAATGATATATAATAATAATATAATAATTATATTATATATTTATATATAATATTATATTATATTATTTTTATTATTTATTTTTTATTTTTTATTTTTTTATTTTTATTTTTTATTTTTATTTTATTTTATTTTATTTTTTAAATTTATTTTTATATTTTTATTTTATTTTATTTTATTTTTTTATTTTTTATTTTTATTATATATTATATTATATTATATTATAATATTATTATATAATAATAATGTAATATATTATATTATATATATTTATATCATATTATATAACATATTTATATTTATATAACATTATATAACATTTATATTTAATATTAACATATATTTAATATATTAAATATATATAACTATATATAAATATTTATATTAGTTCAGTAGTTTTTGGCATATTCACAGTTGTGTGCAAACATCATAATCTAATCTCAGAACATTTTCATTATCTCAAAAAGAAATACTGTATCTGTCAGCAGTCACTTCCCATTCCCCCACTACTTCTGCTCCTGGCAACCACTAATCTACTTTGTCTCTGTGGATTTTCCTATTATGGACATTTCATAGGAACGGAAACCTACAGATGTACGTTTTGTGATGGGCTTCTTTCTCTTAGCATAAAGTTTTAAAGGTTCATCTGTGTTGTAGCATGCATCAGTAATTCATTTCTTTTTACAAAATAATATTCTGTTGTGCAGAGAGACCATATTTTGTTTATCCATCTGGTTGATGGGCAATTGGGTTGTTTCTACTTTTTGGCTATTATGAATAATGCTGCTATGAACCTTCTTAGACCAGTTTTTCATGGACACATTTTCATTTATCTTGAGTTTAGGAACCAAGAATGGAGTTGGTAGATCATACGTCAACTCTAGCATTTTGAAGAACCATGATCATTTTTGTGCCTCTACGTGCAGAATGAAAGCTAAGTCCAGCTTCCTTAACCTATTAATATTTTATGTCTTGCACTTAAAAATCCTCATTAAAACAAGAAAGATATAAATATTTCTATAAGATGATTAGAAATCATCCCTCAGGTTGTGTCAGGAGCTGTGCACGGTTTTATTGGGCATCACAGATGCTTACTTCTATATCACGAGATTTTAGAGAGAAGCATTGGGTATTTTTATTAAAGTAAAAATCAATGCAGGGTTGAAACTCATGATTACATACTGTGGCTGGGTACCTGATATTTTGGTTAGATCATAATTAAGCTTACTACTTTTTAGAGCAAACTATGTCCTTACCTTTGTAATAAAGAAAAAAACAGGTGAGTAGGTAAGGGCAGAATTCCTCCAGATGAGAGCAGAAAGCACAGAAGGCACTTGCACCTTTGAAAAGGAGCTACAGGAGAAAAGCCTCCACTCTCTTGGGATAGCAATCCTGAGGGAGGATCTCTCGGTACTCCTTTAAGGAGAACAGCCATCAGACGCCAAGTGCGGGAGCGCCTGACTCACAGTGAATTCCTTCAGGATCTTCTCTTTATAACTCATCAGTATCCGAGAGCCACTTGTTCCTCTTCTCCTTTTCTCTCTGTGTTCTTGTCTCACTGTCATAAAACCAAGACTTGGCTCTTCTCTCAAACATCCTGGTGTGTGGAGAACTCGGGAAATATCTCCCTCCTGGGTCTTGCTGCTCTGTGCCCTCCGTGGGCAATGTCCACACCGCACCGACACCTACAACCAAAACCATACTGCCACCTGGAATTATTACAGATCTGCGGGAGGAAGGGAGGCTTCAGATTAAAGCCAGGAGCTGCCCAATGCTGACCGTCCTGTCCCAAGACAATTGTGCTGCACTAATCAACCCCTTGCCGCAGTAAACTTCAAAAGACGAAAAGAGATGCAGTCTGGCTAACCCCTGATCAATGTAAATCCCTCCTTTATCTCCAAATAATCATTTCCCCAGCTCCCCACACCCTCAAATGATGACTTTCAACACTTTGAATATAACAGGCTCACAGTCTGTATTCAATGGTCTCATCATAAGGCAGGAAGCCCTATCAGGAACTGCGCTGCTCTCCTATCCCTACACTTCCCACCACGTAGTTCGGGGTTAGGCAGGGAATTGCAGTAAAGCTATACACAGTAAAGAAAAGTTGGTTTGTGTGTGTGTGTGTGTGTTGTTTGTTTGTTTTTTGAGACCGAGTTTCGCTCTTTGCCCAGGCTGGAGTGCAGTGGGACAATCTCGGCTCACTGCAAACTCCGCCTCCCGGGTTCAAGTGATTCTCCTGCCTCAGCCTCCCGAGTAGCTGGGATTACAGGTGCATGCCGCCACAGCCAGCTAATTTTTGTATTATTAGTAGAGACGGGGTTTCACTATGTTGGCCAGGCTGGTCTCGAACTCCTGACCTCAGGTGATCCACCCACCTTGACCTCCCAAAGTGCTGGGATTACAGGCGTGAGCCATCTTGCCCGGCCGGCATTTCAGTTTTATTAAACTGTCTACTGCATGCCAGTTCTTAGTAGCACAGTCTCTTTTTTTGTTTTAGAAACTCAAAACCTTCTAAGTGATCACCTGGTTAAATAATGCAATCCCATAAATGACCCCTCTCTTCTGATCCATGCCTGGTGTCCATTTAATTAAACCAGATTAGAAAAAGGGATTATTGCTGGCTCAGGGAGGCTGCTGCCACAGACAATGCCTCACTTCGGATTGTGCAGATATAATATGATTGCTCCAAGCCAGCCTTCATGTTTACACCTGCCTGGAAGCTCTCAGGCCCTGGAGTAACCTCAGGACACTCCTGGCCCTGTCTGCGGGTAACCAGTTCTTCTCTCAGATGTGCGGTCTGTGCTGTTCCTCCCCATCTGCCAGTACAAGTAAGGTGTGGCACCTGGGCCCTTCTCCCACTCACATTGCCTGTGTCCTCTCTCTAAAAGTCACCTTAAGACCATGCGGGTAAAGAGGAGTGACTTAAAGGAGCTCAAATTCATCTTACTTTTTTCCAGTTGGGAAATTGGCAAAAAGTTCTGTAGTTATGGAAATATTCTTGCCAGTTTATAGAAGCAATTAGATCTTTTTCTATAGCATCTGTGTGGAAGATTTCCTTTTCAGGAAATCAAAACTCCTTTGAGTGGCCTGACAATAGTAACCATAAGAAAATAATTTTCCTGGAATTGCTTCTGAGCTCGTTTGTGAACTGGAGAGTATAACTTTGTGTCACTATACTCCATTTTACTAACCATGTGGTTCAGATGCTTTGTCATTTTGGAGCCTTGGTGACCCTGGAGAGACTGCGTCTTCCAGGGTTAGCCAGTTCCTAGAGATAGCAAAGAACTTGCCTGAAAGCCTGCCTTTCATACACAAATCAACCAATCCATTACAGACCAGCCTGGCCAACATGGTAAAACCCTGTCTCTGCTAAAAATACAAAAAATTAGCTGGACATGGTGGTACATGCCTGTAATCCCAGCTACTGGGGAAGCTGAGACAGGAGAATCTCTTGAACCTGGGAGGCGGAGCTTGCAGTGAGCCAAGGTCGCGCCACTGCACTCCAGCCTGGGCGACAGAGCGGGACTCCATCTCAAAAAAAAAAAAAAAAAAAAAAAAAAAAAAAAATCAAGCAATCCAGTGCTCATACCCCAGCCCCCTCCTTTCTCAGACTCCTATACTCTGGGCCAGGATCCACCTGCCCTAGTCACCCCAGGGCCAGCTACCAGAATACTACGGACAGCCGTATGCCCCAGTCAATCATGCCCCAGAAATTATTCAAACCAGTCAGTGCTAAGTCTGCTTACCCTGCCTCACCTGTCCCTTCCCGTGGAAACCACAAGAAAGGCTCTTGCCCTCGTTTTCCTCCTGCTCTGTCTCCTGACCTACCTGGTGCCCCTTCCTCTTGGGAACAGTAAAAAACTCTCTTTCCAGCAGCAGTCATCTCCTGATCTGTTGGCCTCATCACACCTGAATCATAATAATACCTATCTTTAATAACAGCCATGGAAAGTATAAACCTGGGGTTGGGCTGGGACAACATTGTGAAGCTCTTTTAGCTTCATGAATAACGGGGCCGGGGGCAGTCACAATCCCTGCTACACTCTTCAGCAGTAGCAATTTCTGGAAATGCAGCCCTCATTGAAGCTTCCGAGAGAAAGAGTGCCATCTTGTGGTATTTTGTAGTTTCTTAGGCCATTTCCTTTCTCTCTCGCTCTCTTTTTTTTTTTTTTTTTTGAGACTAAGTCTTCCTCTGTAGCCCAGGCTGGAGTGCAATGACACGATCTTGGCTTACTGCTCACTGCAGCCTTTGCCTCTTGGGTTCAAGCGATTCTCCTGCCTCAGCCTCCTGAGTAGCTGGCATTACAGGTGTGCGCCACCACACCTGGCTAATTTTTGTATTTTTAGTAGAGACGGGGTTTCACCATGATGGTCGGACTGGTCTTGAACTCCTGACCTCGTGATCCTCCCGCCTCGACCTCCCAAAGTACTGGGATTACAGGTGTGAGCCACCGCGCCTGGCCTCCTCTCTCTTTTAAATAGATCATTTTTAGAGCAGTTTTAGGTTCACAGCAAAGTTGAGCAGAAAGTACAGACAGTTCCCATATAGCTCCTGCCCCTACACATTCACAGCCTTCCCCACTACCAACATGGGCACCAGAGTGGTCCATTTGTTACAATCAATGAACCTATATTGATGCACCATTATTGCCCAAAGTCCATGGTTAACATTAGGGTTCGCTCTTGGTGTGTTGGATATTTTACGGATTTGGTTGAAAGTATAATAACATGTGTCTATAATTATTGTATCATAGAGAGTAGTTTCACTGCCCCCAAATCCTCTATGCTCTGCCTATTCATTCGTCCCTCCCTTCAACCCCTGGCAATGACTGATCTTTTCACTGTTTCCATAGTTTTGTTGCAGGCCATTTTTACTCCAAGATTTTCTTTGTTTGGCTGTCCACTTTGTGCTGGGTGTGTAATATAGACTCGTGATGAGTAAGAGAGACAGCCTGGAGCATCTTGGAGTCCATATTGGGATGGACTCATGAATTCCTGTATTTTCCTACTCCAGGAAAGAGGTGCAGGTAAGGATAGAAAAAAAAGTCAAGTAGACAAATAAAAATAATTAGGCTGGGAGCGGTGACTTACGCCTGTAATCCCAGCACTTTAGGAGGCTCAGGCAGGTGGATCACCTGAGGTCGGGAGTTTGAGACCAACCTGACCAACATGGTGAAACCCTGTCTCCACTAAATATACAAAAATTAGCCAGGCGTGGTGGTGGGCGCCTGTAATCCCAGCTACTCGGGAGGCTGAGGCAGGAGAATCACTTGAAGCTGGGAGGTGGAGGCTGCAGCAAGCTAAGATCACACCATTGCACTCCAGCCTGGGTGACAAGAGTGAAACTCTGTCTCAATAATAATAATAATAATAATAATAATAATAATAATAATAATGTATTATTTACAGGTAAAGTAAATTCTGTAGTGTTCAAGAGATAAAATAAATTGTCTCAAGCAAAAGTCAAACTAGGATGATTTTTTTTTGTTATTCAACTTATTTAGAAATTAGGTTTTTTTGTTCCTGTTGAATTGTTTTGTTCTGTCTTAGGTACTAAAAATAATCTTTCATTCTTTGGAGCTGCTGATATTTACTATGACAGGCAAACAATTGCCCTTCTCCATACCACCACATTTTTGTTGTTAATATTCCTGGTGTCCATAAATGTTTTTGCTTCTTTCTTTTTTTGTCTTTGCTTATTCAATTACCTTTACCTAGAAATGCCATCTCCTTACATCTGTCTATGCTTCTTAAGGACTCGCCCAAATGTTATCTCCTGCAAGCAACAGAAATCTCCACTAGCTCACCACCACCTCTAACTTCTTCCTGGATTTACCTATTTAGGCATCAGTTATTTACTTTTTACTAAAATACATGAGAATTTAGCTCTTATACCACCCACTTCCCCTTCCTCAAATATTATCTTTAGTCATATAAGTAATCTCTAATTATCATTAGGACTTTGTAGAATAAAGCCAAGTTTTCTAGAATATTTAGGATAGGATATTTCTTTTCTTGGCGCTGCTTTTTGTTTTGCAGGTCTTCCTCATAGTAGTAATTTTTAATTTAAAAAAATGCTGTTGTAGCCCTTTCTGTGAGATCTCCTTCTCTTTTGAAGCCTTTGGCTCCTCTGAGCCCATCTTGGCAGGTTGTTCTTTCGGTTGGCTGTGCAGATGCCATCTTGAGGTTTTTCACATCTCCTCTCCTAGAGTAGATCCATTGTTTCCTGGATCCCATGTCATCTTTCTTGGCTTAACCTTTCTCATTTTCCCTGACAACATCCTCAAATAAAACTCTAAGAAAGCATGCAGTGGTATCTTTTCTGAGCTCTAGCTTCCAAAAAAATATGACCCAGTGTTTGAGTTTTGGAGCCAGTCCGAGATAGGTTTGAATCTTGGTTCTCCTACTTATTAGCTGTATGTCCTTGGGCTGATTCCCTAATTGCCCTATGCATGAATTTTCCATTTGCAAAATGGGGGAACCAGTAATAGTAGTAGTACCTATGTTTTTAGGGAGCTATGAGGATTTATTGAACTGGTACATGTAAACCATTTAGAACAGTGCCTGCTGCATATCACATCCCCATCAGTATTCACGTCTCTCATATTCTACCCTCACACTTGATTGATAGTTTGGTTGATTATATATTTCTAGGTTGAGGATAATTTTACCTTAAAATTTCAAAGTCTGTGCTGTTGTCTTCTAACCAGTCGTGGTGGTGAAGCCTCATGCCATCCTGAGTTTCACTTATTTATGCATGACTTTCTCCCTGGAAGCTTTTAGGAGTTTGTCTTTTCCTTGTTGAGCTGAAATAGCACAACAGTGTACTTAGTGTGGGTCTTTTTTCATTCATTGTGCTGGGTACACCAAATGGACAGGCCTATGGATAGGCTCTTTCAAAGTTGGAGTCTTGAATCTTGTCATATTTTTGTTGTTAACTTTCTCTTTTCCATTTTATTTGTTCATTTTGAAGTGTCTGTTAATTGGATTTTAGACCTCTTGTCTTGAGTCTGGTATCTCACATTATTTCTAAATTTTTTTTAAATTTTAAGTTCTGGAATATTTTTCTTATCTTTCGACTTTCAGGAAATTTTATTTGGACTATCATAACTTTAAGTTTTGTTTTGGTTATTTATTGTTGCTTAACCAATTATCCCAAAACTTAATGGCGTAAAACTACACATATGTCTATCTGTCACTACTGTATGGATTAACTGGGGCTAGCTGGACAGTTTTCTTGCTGGTCTTATTTGGCAGCTCTCACTGTGCGGTCAGACAGTGTTAGGGACTGGTCATCTGGATGCTCAGCTGCAGTGGAATGTCTGAGACGGCTTCTTCACCCACAGGTCTGCTGCTTTGGTGTTTCTTCATGTGGCCTTTCTCTCTGCATAGCATCTCATCCTCTCGAATCTCTTCATGTGGCTTTTCTTTCTCCAAGAGGGTAGCCAATTCTTATTTTTGGCTTCCAGAAGCACAGAAATGGAGCTGCCAGGGGTTCTTAAGGCTTAGACCTGGAACAGGTCCAGTGTCATTTCTACCACATGCTATAGGTTAAAGTGAGTGTTGGGGCCAACCCAGATTGACTATGGGATGGGCCTGTCTAAGGACATGATGACAGGAGGTATGGCTCATTGGAGACCAACTCCCAAGATGGAGCATGAGTTCTAAGAACTTTTTCTTCTCTGATTATTTCTTATTCATATTGTTTTGTTTTATACATGTAATATATTCACAAGTGTCTTTATGAAGTGATTTTGATACTCTTTGTCTTCTCCCTGGCATCTCTTTGTTCTTTAATAATTTTTTTTCTTAGTTTATTTTGGTCTTATTTTTCTTTTTAAAGCCTTTCCTTAAATATCTATTCTATGTTGCTTATCATTTGTAGTCTTTTTTTTTTTTTTTTTGAGACCCAGTTTCGCTCTTGTTGCCTAGGCTGGAGTACAATGATGTGATCTCGGCTCATCACAACCTCTGCCTCCCAGGTTCAAGCAGTTCTCCTGCCTCAGCCTCCCAAGTAGCTGGGATTACAGTCATGTGCTACCACGCCCAGCTAATTTGTGTATTTTTAGTAGAGATGGGATTTCTCCATGTTGGTCAGTCTGGTCTGGAACTCTCAACCTCAGGTGATCCACCCACCTTGGCCTCCCAAAGTGCTGGGATTACAGACATGAGCCACCGCGCCTGACCTGTAGTCTTTTTCTCATTCCTTTATTTGCTCATTCATATTTGAGAGAGGTACTAAAAGACTGGGAGCCGGGGTGTGGTGGCTCACACCTATAATCTCAGTGCTTTGGGAGACTGAAGTGGGAGGATCACTTGAGCCCAGGAGCTCAAGACTAGTTTGGGCAACATAGTGAGACCCCATCTTTACAAAAAAAAAAAAAATAGCTAGGTGTGGTGACACCCATCTGCAGTCCCAGCTACTTGGGAGGCTGAGGCAGGAGGATTGCTTGAGCCCAGGAGGTTGAGGCTGCAGTGAGCTCTGATCATGCCACTGCATTCCTGCATTCCAGCCTGGGCGAAAGAGCAAGACCCTGTCTCAAAAAAAATAAATAAATAAAAATAAAAATAAATCAAAATTGATTGGGAGTTCTTTGTGGCCAAGACTTGTCAACTGATAGCTTTTAGGGGGAATGTATGCTGATTCCTAATTGTTATCCTCCATCCCTCTATCTTATCTCCTGGTGCAATCATAAATGATGGCTGGATGACTACTCCATTCCTCTGGATGTAAAATCTACATTGTCTTGCCTGAGGTGGATACGTTTGCTTGGGTTCTGTTTAAGGAGATGGGGCCAGCAGTGTGTTTCAGGGCCTGTGAAATGTGTTCTCTATCCGGGCTTTTGCTTAATCTCTGTTTTCAGTCTTGCCTATCAGTCCCACTGTCGGGGGTACCTCGTGTCTGGGTCTAGAACCTTTCCAGGTTGCTGTGGGACAGATTAGCCTCCTTGTTCTCAGTATCCCCCTGACCTCCACCTTTGTTTGCTTTGCTCCATGAATTAACCATTTTCCATGTACTGTCATTGTCTAATGAAGATGAATTCTCTTCTGTTGGTAACCCCATTCCTTTTTTGTAATTGTGTGCTTATACAATGTTTATTCTTCACTGTATTTCTATTGGAGCCTCAGGACAAAGAGCAGATGGTAAGAATATGTGTTCAGTGTTAAGTTTTCCTTCTGTAAGACATCTGCAACTTGTGTTTTTCACTGAATAGATCATGGACTTAATGCATATAGAGCTACTTTGCTTTTCATGATTTTGCCTTCAATTATATGTAGAAATATAATTTGTGAATTGCCTAATGAATTTTTCCTAATTTTGAATCATCTTTGCATTCCTATAATAAACACTGTTAGAATGGCTGTGGTAATATTTTATTTTTGCATTTTTACTTCTGTATTAAATAAGATTATAGTTTTGTTTGTTTCCAATAAGGCTGTTATTTCATTTCAGTATCAAGGGTATGCAGGGCTGAGTTGGGAAGCTTTACATCTTTTTTCTAAGATCTAGGATGTAGATCTGGTTTACACAGTAATTTTCAACTGCAGGAGTATTTTGCCTCCTATGGGACGTTTCGAAATATCTGGAGACATTTTTGTGGTTACAACTGGTCAAGGTCGGGAGGTCTTATTGGCATTCTGTGGGTAGAGGGAATGTTACTAAATGTCCGACAACACACCAGGAGAACCCTCCACAAAGAATTATCTGGCCAAATATATCAGTATTGCTGAGGCTGACAAATTCTGGTTTAAATAAATATCCAATTTGGAGGATGAGTCTTTGTCTTTTTCCTTCTTCTGCGTATTGGTCTCCAGATTTTCCACTTCTTCAGTTAGTTTTTGTGACTGTAGAATCTTAAAAAAAAAAATGAAAACTTTGGCCGGGTGCAATGGCTCATGCCTGTAATCCCAGCACTTTGGGAGGCCGAGGCAGGTGGATCACGAGATCAGGAGATAAAGACCATCCTGGCTAACATGGTGAAACCCTGTCTCTACTAAGCCAAAATACAAAAAATTAGCCAGGCGTGGTGGCGGGCGCCTGTAGTCCCAGCTACTCAGGAGGTTGAGGCAGGAGAATGTTGTGAACCCGGGAGGCGGAGCTTGCAGTGAGCCAAGATCGCGCCACTGCACTCCAGCGTGGGTGACAGAGCGAGACTCCATCTCAAACAAAAAAAAAAAAAAAAAAAAATGAACATGTCATCCATACTTCTAAGGTGTTGTAAAGATGTGTAAAGTTTTCACTTTTTGCATCATATTCACATGTGGCTATATGCCCTTTTCTCTTCAAAGTTTTCTTTATCTTGATTACTTATCAGAGGCTTGACTGTTTTATTATCTCAGTCTTTTGAAAGAATCCTCCTTTAGTTTTATTTTTTAAATCTAGTGGTTTTTCTTTTTCCTTTTTCCTTAGGTCTTAATTATTTCCCCCTTTTTGTTTGCTTTGCTTTTCCTAGTTTAGTGGATCAATGTAATTTAAATTGCTTTTTAAACAAACATGTAAGGGTATACATTTTCGTTGGGTGCTGTTTGACTTTGTTGCACAAGTTTTAAAATCTTTTTTTTAATAGCTTGTATTTTCTAAATTATTTTATTGCATCTTTTGTTCACATTGCTCTTACTATTAATTTTTTATTTTTATTAATTAATTAATTTATTTATTTAATTATTAGATGGAGTCTTGCTCTGTAGCCAGGCTGGAGAGCAGCGGCATGATCTTGGCTCACTGCAAGCTCCACCTCAGAGGTTCATGTCATTCTCCTGCCTCAGCCTCCCAAGTAGCTGAGACTACAGGTGCCTGCCACCATGTCCGGCCTTTTTTGTATTTTTAGTAGAGATGGGGTTTCACCGTGTTAGCCAGGATGGTCTCGATTTCCTGACCTCATGATCCACCCACCTTGGGCTCTCAAAGTCCTGGAATTACAGGCATGAGCCACTGCACCCTGCCCAAAAAGCTTTGTGTTTTTACAGATATTAGACATGTTTCTTGTTTAAGAAAAAAAATCTTAACGAAAACGTAGGAGAATAAGAGAAACATTTTTCCAAAAAAGAGAAATCATTGTGATTATTTTATCTTATTAGAATGTTGGATAATATAGTCTGCTTCATTAATCATCAAGCATGCTATGCATTTTCCATTTTTATAGGATCTGTATCTCAGTTAAGGTAATACTGGTAATTTTTGTACTGTAATCAAAGATGAAAAATATAGGCCAAAATCATGGACCTTGCATAGAAGCTGGATAATGAAGACAGCTATGGAGAAAAACATAGATACACACACACGGACACACATATATATAAAGTATACACACATATATTTTTTAAAGTTTTAAAGCTTTTAAAGCAAAAGCCGGCCCCTCTTCTCTTCCAGAGTGGGAGGCCTCTCCCCTCTCTTAGAGTGGGTGGGGAGAGCAGTTGCCATGGGCAGCTTTCCTTGTGAGCCACAGGTCCCTCTGGACACACTGCTTTCTGGCCACGCCCCCTTTCCTTTTCATCTTTCTCATTGACCAATGGGCTTGGAGCATTAAGGCCACGCCCCTATTCCGCATTCTACTGGGGCCCTGGTTACGCCTCCTCTGGCTCAGTCACACAGCTGCCTGGTAGGTGACTGGAGGCCTTGATCGGTTCTCATTGAGATTTTGCTGCTGTGACCCCAACCCTGCCTCCCTCCCCACCCTGCGATGGCAGAAGAAACTCAACACAACAAATTGGCTGCAGCCAAGAAAAAGGTAAAAACGCACTAGGTCATAGCCCCTCAACCCAGCCACAGATCCCCTCTGATGACAAGACCCCTGCCAGAGTCTATACGACTCCTGAGGCACACTGGACTGGTCCCCCCTACCCCGGTGCCTCTGGGCTACCCCCACCAAAGTTTTGTCAGTCAGCCCCACCCCTTCAGCAAGCAGCCCAGTCCTTGCCCTCGCCAATCACCCCAGGGTGACTTTGGGTGGGTGAGTCCTGGGGCTTCCCGCTCCATTACTGGGCCCTCATCTCCTGCCGCCCCAAGCTTGATCTCCCTGGGCTCTTTGGGCTCTCATCTCCAAGGAGCCAGGCCCCACCCTCGCCAGTCATCCCTGGGTGACTTTGGACTGGTGACTCCTGGGACTCCCTGCTGCAGACTGTGCCCTCCCCTCCTGCTGCCTCAAGGTCGACCTCCCTGGGTTCTTTGTGCTGGCGTCTCCAAGGAGCTGGGTCCCAACCCTGTGCTTCCCTCCCCCATCGTGGAGCAGCGACTTGGACATGGTGCTGACATGGTCCCTCCCCCCGACCAGGAGGAGTGGAATGTTGTGATGTCACAGTCCACCTAGTAACTGCTGTTACTGCAAGACTGGCCTTTGATCTTACGACCCAGTCCCCTAAGCGTTCTCACCCCGTTTCTGGTTCCTCTGGTCACAGCACAAATTTCCAGCTGGAAGGGGAATGGAGACTATGGGACCTAGGAGCAAGAGGTTCCAGGCTGCCTCACTCCCTTACAGATGTTGACGGTGGGAAAAGCCTACACTTCCCCCATGAACTCAAAACGTTGACAGTATCTCTGGGTGGCAATGAGAGAATGCGTTTGGTTTGGTTTTCTCCCAGGCTTCTACTTTCCAGAGAGATTTTAACATTTTTTTCTGAGTTCTCCACCTCATATTCTAATTCTCCATGGTTCTGGGACCAGACTCTCCTTCAGTCAGTGGTCTCTGAAGTGACATTTGCTCATCTTCTGTGGAATAGATCTTGGGAAACTGAACTTGACACCTTGAATCTTCCTCATATTATCTCAACCTTGGGTACTTTGAGTGCCACAGGATAAATGTGGGACATCTTTCTGAAGCATCAGTTTCCCTTGATTCTCTTGAGATCAAGAGAAAAAACATGAATGTACTTAGGGATGACAGTCACATAGGTTTCTAAGAGTATACCAGACCTCTCTCTGAAATGAGGCTTGGGTTGTCCTCTTTCTGATAAATTCTGATTTAAGAGAAAGGCTGCCTTCTGCCATGAGGACACATTGATATAAGAGTTTGAGAGGTACTGGTGCACTTCTTCACACTAACAGACGTGTGAGGATGTATGACTCTAAACCACATGGCATACAGTTCCTGCCTACTTAATGTTTACTTTTCTACCTCTGCCTCTGGTTTTGGTCCCTGGCAGCTGCTGATTCTTGGCAAAACCTCAGAGCTTGGAGTCAGAAGACTGAGTTTCAAAGTTCCAGTATTGCCTTTTTCTTTTTTTTTTTCTAGCCATGATATCAATCCTTCTCAGTCACTAAATGAGTGTGACAACACCTTGTACAGTTGTTGGTGTCATTAAATCAGATGGTGTGTAAGTGTATTTTGTAAAAACTGTAAAGGAGGATGTGGCTGTAGGGGCTGACGGTTCTCATGAGTATTACTGCTCTTCTTTCCAACAGTTAAAAGAATATTGGCAGAAAAACAGCCCTAGAGTTCCAGCAGGAGCGAACAGGAACAGGAAAACAAATGGCAGTATCCCTGAGAAAGCCACTTCTGGTGGTTGCCAGCCACCTAGGGATGTGAGTCTTGGCTGACCAGGCTTCTGGGGACAGGGGGCCCAAGGGGCAGTAGAGGGTAATTGTTAAGATTGTGGATGGACTGCTGGGTACTGGTTAAGAATTCTGGCTTTAGCCGGGTGTGGTGGCCCACGCCTGTAATCCTAGCACTTTGGGAGGCCAAGGCAGGCGGATCATGAGGTCAGGAGATCGAGACCATCCTGGTTAACACGGTGAAACCCTGTCTCTACTAAAAATACAAAACATTAGCCAAGCGTGGTGGCGTGTGCCTGTAGTCCCAGCTACTCAGAAGGCTGAGGCAAGAGAATGGTGTGAACCTGGGAGGTGGAGCTTGCAGTAGCCAAGATTATGCCACTGCACTCCAGCCTGGTGACAGAGCAAGACTCTGTCTCAAAGAAAAAAAAAAAAAGGAATTCTGGGTTTGAATCCTGCCTCTCCATCTGCTCTGCTAGGGATATGATTTAGGGCAAGTTGCTAGACCTCATCGGGCCTCTCTTTTCACATCTGTATAATAGAGGTGTTATTGTTTCACTTCCATTTGTGAAGTTTAAATGAGATTTGTTATTGTTGTTTTTATGTTAATCCCTAGTACATGGCCTGCTGTAAACACTCAGGACACCCAGGATATGGTTTGATTTTCCTCATCCCCAGTCTCAGGGGGAAACCAGGACAATGAGAACAGCCACTTGCCATCAGGAGTCACTGAAGGGGCCCCAGGATGGGATGGTGGGGAGATAAGAACCATGAGAGAAGTTGGCACAAAGGAGTTATGGGACAAAAGGTCCAAGATAGGCAGAAAAGAAAATGTTGCCAGTTGATGGGGAAGAAAGGAAGTCAGAGGGCTCAGACACTGTGGGGGACAGAACATCTCCATGTGCACTCTCATCTCTTGTAGTCAGCAACAGGTTTCCACAGGGAAGGCCCTACATCATCTGCTACCCTGAAAGATCTGGAGGTAAGAGGCTCTGGGCGGAGGTGCAGTGACCCTTCGGGTCAACCCTCCAACCTCCTCCTCCAGGTGGGACTGGGTGCCCCTCTGCCAGCTGAGACAGCCCACACACCCCAGCCCTAATGATTGTTCTCTCTACCTCTCCCCCCACTCCTGCTCCACCTCCTCCTCTCTGCATGCACCTCAGAGCCCGTGCCAAGAACGAGCAGTAGTCCTGGATTCAAGGTCCGTAGAAATCAGTCAACTGAAGAACACCATCAAATCTCTGGTAAGAGTCCACTGGGGTCCCCTGATTCCACGCTGCCAATCCTGGGCTCCAGTTTCCCCTTGGGGCCCTGAAGAAAGGGGCTGGGGGTCCCTGGTGCCTGGGACAAATAGGGAGCTTGGGTGCCCAGGCCTCACCTGGAGGGACCCCAGAGCATGCAGCATGGCTCTTCTTTTGCTGCCCTCTTTGCCGACTCTCTCCTCTCCAGACACCCCTGCTCGAGTCCTTGCTACACACGCCCTGGGGTTGTTGCCTCTTGGGGAAGTGCTAGCCTGACTGGTTGTCAAGGGCCCCGTATTTCTGCCATGACTCAGTCCCTAATTTGCTCTTTGATTCTGGACAAGCCACCTCTCCTTTTTGGGCTCGTGTTTCCAGAGGAGGTAGTGAGTATCAAAGGTCTCTGTTAGCTCTCGAGTCTGAGATTTAAAGGCCCCCTAGAACGGAAACCTCAGGGCTAAGGGCTCCTGTCTGTCCTTTTCCATCCTATATCTGCTGTAAAGAACCGTACCTGGCCCATACATGCTCAGTAAATGTTTATTGAATGAACCCACTTCTCTAAATCACAAGCTGCCAGAAGGAGGGGCCTTTCTGAAACTCCATCTCTAGAGGTTTATATTGCTGTCCTCTCAAGAGATTCCAGATTCAGACTTTGAGTTCTGTGGCTGTGGGCAAAAGCCAACAAAGACCCAAATCCTCTGTCCTTGGGAGCTTGAGGAGAGTTTACCGGTTCGTGTTCCCATTATGTCTGAGAACTTTGCCTTTAAAATCCATTCCTGGCCCCTGCCTACCGCTTCCTGGTCTGGGGAATAGAGTTGAGGGGGCCACCCTCCATCACCTTATTTGACTCTCCCCACAGAAACAACAGAAGAAACAAGTGGAACATCAGCTGGAAGAAGTAACGTGATTTCGTTTCCTCGCAACATGACTGCTGGGTTTGGGGGGCACTCAGACATACAGGCCCCAGTCTCGTCTCACCCACTCCCAGCCTGGGGATGAAGGCTCACCCTTCAGATTCCACCCCATCCCCACAGGGCCCCTGATAACCTGGTCCCATGGGTGGGCCTGTCCTGGGGCATTGGTGGCATTCTGGGGGCATGTCTCTTGCTGTGCCATCTCTGCCTCCCCCTGGTAAGAGCTCTGTCTTCCTCTTCCTACAGGAAAAGAAAGCAAACAACAAGAAACAGAAAGCCAAAAGGGTGCTAGAGGTGAGTGGAGGGTGTGCAGTTTCCTCCTGTCCTCCGGAGAAGGTTTCTTTCCTTCTCTTTCAGCACTTGCTTGGCTTTTCTCCCAAAGGTTCAAATCCAGACATTGAACATACAGAAAGAGGAACTAAATACGGACCTGTACCACATGAAACGTTCTCTCAGATACTTTGAAGGTGGGAATCTGGGCACCCTGTCATCCTTCAACCTGGCACTTTGACAGGTCTTCAGGGGGAGTCCTTTGGGCCCCATCTCAACTCTCTCATTACAGAAAAGTCCAAGGATCTGGCTGTCCGCCTGCAACATTCATTGCAGCGTAAAGGAGAGTTAGAGAGTGTTCTCTCTAATGTCATGGCCACACAGAAGAAGAAGGCAAACCAGGTGAGTCCAACCACCTGCCCCATCCCCTGGGAGCCTGGCTTTGCAGATGGAGGAGTGAGCCTAAAGGTCCCTTCTGCAGGATGGAGTGTCCTGCCCAGAAGGCAGCATGGCCATTTCTTGCTACTTTTTTGTATGGTTTTTAATGGCAGCCTGGGGCTGAGTCAGCTGCTGTGGGTGAGTTGGGGGTCACTGTGTGGAGTGAGCACTGGACGCAGAGCTTGGAGGCCAAGTGCCTGCCCCGCCCTTACCTGTCTGTGGTCTTGGGCAAGTCCTAGTCCTAGGTGGGGTATTGGGTACTTGTACTGTGAAGGTACAGAAGAGTACCTTTAGTATGTTACCATTTCTGTAGAAAGAGGAAACGTGTGTGCGTGTGTGTGTGTGTGTGTGTGTGTGTGTGTGTGTGCATACTGTGATAATATACATAAAACATGTCTGCAAGGGTTCATAAAAAATTCAGGAGAGAGCAACAAGATGGCCGGGAGATACTTCCCTTCTGTACCTTCTGAGTTTTGGACTATGCAAATGTATCATCCTTTCAAAAAGTGAACAAAAGATTAATTTTCCCCTTCCTATCTGTGCCCCCATCCCCAGCAAGAAAAACGGGCTTAGAGAATTGGATAGACCTGGGTGTTTATATCCCAGCTCTGCCTAAGTGAACTTAGGCAAGCACTTAACCTCAAATACTCCATGTTTTTTCATCTCCACAATAGAGGGAATCATAGTAACTGTCTCCTATGGTGGTTGCGAGGATTAAATGGGATTGTTAGCACGGTACCTGGTGAAGCATTCCACAAAGGTTCAAACAGTGGTAATAATAACAGTAATAACAATAGCAATATTATCTGATCTCTCTGGGCCTCTGTTAGCCAGCTATAAACTCAGTCTCATTCCCTGTCCGTTCCAACTTTACTGAGTTCTTTTAAAAACCAGACCACGGGCTTGGAAATGCCTTGATCTTTACTGACCGAGTTGTATATTGGGCCTAGCCCTAGCCCTTTTAAGGGGCACTGTGTGGAAATGCCCAGGCTCTCCAGATTGAAACTTCTCACTCTTCACCATCCAGTTGTCCAGCCGCAGCAAAGCACGTACGGAGTGGAAGTTAGAGCAGTCCATGCGGGAGGAGGCACTACTGAAAGTGCAGCTGACACAGGTGAGGTTTTCTGAGGGAGTTATGTGGAAGGAAGATGACCCCAGGTGGCCAGGAGCAGGTGAGGACCAGTGACAGCCCTTCCTAAGTTCTGTGCCCATTCTTGCAGTTGAAGGAGTCATTTCAACAAGTCCAATTAGAAAGAGATGAGTATTCTGAACATCTAAAAGGAGAGAGGGCCCGGTGGCAGCAGAGGATGAGAAAAATGTCGCAGGAGGTGAGATCTGACCCTTCAGCCCCCCCACATTAGATAGGTCACTGGATCTTTCTGGTCATCTGTAAAATGGGAATAGTAGAGCCAGAGGTGGTCATGGGTCTGGGCTTTGTGGAGGTGGGGGCAGAGAGGGAGAGGGCAGCCTGTCCAGCCACCAGCCCCTCTCTCCAAGGCCCTTTCCCCTTGTGCTTTGGGCAGATTTGCACATTAAAGAAAGAGAAGCAGCAAGATATGCGTCGGGTAGAGGAGCTGGAGAGGAGCTTGTCCAAACTCAAAAACCAGATGGGTAAGATGGGGCTGGCATGACCTAGGAGCAGGACTGGCATCAGAGGGCTGTGAGGGTGGCTTAGAGTGCCCCAGGGAGGTGGGTGGATGGAAGGGCTTTGAGGCAGAGGGAAAGAGATCTGTGCCAGGAGACGGCGAGTCTTGTCATCTCAATGAGTCTCAGTGTCTCAGTGTCCCCATCAGGAAAGAGGGCCCGTTGTCAGCCACCCGCAGTGCTCTTTCTCTGAAAGTGCTTTGGAAGACTGGCTACCATCTGGGTGCGAGGAATCATTAGCAGTGAGGCCAAGTTTGAGGAGCCTGAGAGGAGCTGTGCGCCAAGAGGAGGGTTTTTCTTTTCCGAGAATCCAGAGGCCCTTATTATCTGCTTCCTTTGTCAGCTGAACCCTTGCCCCCGGAGCCCCCAGCAGTGCCCTCTGAGGTGGAGCTGCAGCACCTGAGGAAGGAACTAGAGAGAGTGGCAGGAGAGCTCCAGGCCCAGGTCAAAAAGAATCAGCGCATAAGTCTCCTGAACCAGCGACAAGAAGAGAGGATTCAGGAGCAGGAAGAGAGGCTTCGGAAGCAGGAGGAGAGGATTCAGGAGCAGCACAAGAGCCTTCAGCAGCTGGCCAAGCCACAGAGCGTCTTCGAGGAGCCGGTGCGTTGCCCAAACTGGGGAGCTTGCCCTCCTCCCTAGCCCTCCGGGCCTTTGTTTCCCCACCTCTAAAATGGGGCAGTGTAGCCCTCACATGAAATGTTACTTCTAAAGGCACCTGTGAGCCAGGTGGCTGTGGGAGAGAGGGAGTGATTTTTCTAACCTGCCTCCAGCCTTCCCAGTGCCATGGGAGGCAGACACCAAGTTCTGGGGTCTCCAGCTGCAGTGGGTGGCTGCTGATTGCTTCTCTCTGTCCAGAACAATGAGAACAAGAACGCACTGCAGTTGGAGCAGCAAGTAAAGGAGCTACAGGAGAAGCTTGGCGAGGTGAAGGAGACGGAAACCTCCACCCCATCCAAGAAGGGCTGGGAGGCGGGCAGCAGACTCTGGGGAGGGGAGGTACGAGGCCAGAGGCAGCTTCCAGCCTGGGGGCTGGTGACCACAGCACCCCCCAGGGCAGTCCTGTTTCTTGCTTCCTGCCTCTGACTTTTAAAGGTGGGTAGCCCTGGGATCCTCTCAGGTCTGGACATCATCATCCTAGCTAGAGGCATGGAGCCCCCAATCACAGGGGAAGAGACAGTGGTATAACAGGCTCCTTATGCCAGGTGCAGTGGCTCATGCCTATAATCCCAGCACTTTGGGAGGCTGAGGCAGGAGAATCACTTGAGGTCGGGAGTTTGGGATCAGCCTGGCCAATGTGGTAAAACCTCATCTCTACTAAAATTACAAAAAAAAAAAAAAAAAAATTAGCAGGACATTGTGGCGCATGCCTGTAATTCCACCTACTCGGGAGGCTGAGGCACGAGAATTGCTTCAACCCAGGAGGTGGAGGTTGCAGTGAGCTGAGATTGCACCACTGCACTCCAGCCTGGGCCACAGAGTGACACTCTTGTCTGAAAACAAAACAAAAAGACTCCTTAGATTGAAACTGGATTCCAGCCTCGGTTGCACTGGTCACCATTCAAGTACTTTGCATCTCTAAGTCTCTGTTTCTTTAACTTCAAAGGGAAGTTAGCATTTTCCTTACAGAGGTGCTGAGGATTAAATGAGAAGAGGGTATGAGATTTGAGGCTGGGGAAGGAGGCATGGGGTTCTAGGAAAGGGAGGCAGTCACTTAGGCCTGGAGTAAGGGGACAGGGGCCTGGGCAGCTGACAGAGCCCCACAGTGCCCTCGCTACCCTATTAATGGGCCCAGAATCTGGAAACCAGCCACCACGTGCCCTCACACCCAGGGTCTTCCTGCAGGTGGAGCTGAAGAGCCAAGAGGCTCAGAGTCTGCAGCAGCAGCCAGACCATTACCTGGGTCACCTGCAGCAGTACGTGGCCACCTATCAGCAGCTGGCTATCAGCCTGACTGTGAGAAGGAGGCGCTGTACAGGCAGTGACTGCAGCAGACCCAGCTAATGAACCAGCTGCAGCAGCAGGAAGCTTGGGGCAAAGCGGTGGCTGAGATGGCCTGCCAAAAGTTGCAGGAGACCCAGGGGAGGGAGCTGCCGAGGATGGGGCTGTGAGGGGGATGACCTGGCAAACTCCACCCCTTCTCACTCTGTCCTGGCCCCTTAGGAGCACCTGGAAGCTGCCAGCCAGCAGAACCAGCAGCTAACGGCCCAGCTGAGCCTCATGGCTCTCCCTGGGGAAGGTACGGGAGACTGCTCAGAGGAAGAGGAGAGAGCCCCAGGAGGAAGGGGGGACTGCTAGCAGCATAGGATTGAGGAGTTGGAAGAGACCTTTAGAACAGCTGGTCATTATGCCGACCGGGTGCCTGCACTAAGTTCGGCATCAGTGTGGTGACCTCCTGTGAGCGGGGGGTCACCAAGTTGCCTAAGGATGGCTGAACTGGCCAAGGTCAGAAAGGGAGCAGGTCAGAACTCCCACATCGACCAGTAGTGGGAGTGTGCCTGGGCGGAATAGCAAGATCTTGATTCTTAAAAGTAAAAATAAAGAACAACAGCTCATTCCTCTCTGGGGAGGGGCTGGCTCAGGGTTACACAGTGAGGGTGGAGGTAGAGGTGGGCCCACAGTACCTCCCTTGTTGGGTTGTCTGAAGACCCGTCTGGCCACCCCCCACAGGACACGGAGGAGAACATCTGGACAGTGAGGGGGAGGAGGCACCTCAGCCCATGCCGAGTGTCCCAGAGGACCTGGAGAGCAGGGAGGCCATGGTGAGCCTGACTCCCCCTGCACCCATTTTGCCACCTTTCTCTGTGGTCCCTCCAAGACCCCTTTATGCTCTTCGTTTCCCTGCCTTCTGATTTCTCTGGACCCTCACCCCTTCCGAGAGCCAGTGGTCAGACACCATTTCACCTGTGGCCAACAGGTGCACTCTCTGAGGCCCCAAGGGAAGGGGTTGCGCTCCACCTCTCTGCCCCATTTCTTCTGTGTATGCCCCTAGAAGAATGCTCACATCTTGCCCTCAGGTGGCATTTTTCAAGTCCGCTGGAGCTAGTGCCCAGGAGAAGCAGGCACAGTTACAAGAGCAGGTGAAAGAGCAGAGGGTGTGCTGCCAGCGCCTGGCTCACCCGGTGGCCTCAGCCCAGAAGGAGCCAGAGGCAGCCAGAGGCCCTGGAGCCCCAGGGCCTGGGGGCGAGTCTGTGAGTAGGGAGACCCACTGGGCCCTGCAGGAAGTCACGGAGAAGCTGGCCCATGCCAGGACTCACCTCCACCTTCTCCATGACTTGAAAATGCCACCTGAGGGCAGGTCGCTGCCGAGATGTGACTGCAATATTTTGGCTCCAGAGCAGCTTTATGGACCACCTGAAGGAGAAGGCAGACCTGAGTGAGCTGGTGAAAAAAAGAACTCTGCTTCATCCACCACTGGCGAGACAGACGCCATCAGTGAGTGGGAGGCCAGGGCACGGCAGGGGGAGCTACAGGGCCGTCGGAGGGGCCCCAGCGTCTGAGCCCTGTCCTCCCGCAGGAAAACCCATCACCTTTTATCAGAACCAGGGGGCTGTGCCAAAGATGCGGCACTGGGAGGAGGACACCATCAGGCTGGAGCTCAGGGAGGAGATGAAGGTAGGGTGTGCAACATCTCTGTGGGGGTGGGGGTGGGGGTGGGTGTGAGGGTGGGCGCAGGCAGCGGCATGGCAGCTGAGCACCCCTCCCTCCAGGTGAAGCTGCTGGAGCTGCAGCAGATGGTATTGCGGCTTACAGCAACTACAACAATGGGCACAGAAAATTCCTGGCCGCTGCCCACAACCCTGCTGATGAGCCCGGTCCAGGAGCCCCAGCTCCCCAGGAGCTTGGGGCTGCAGACAAGCATGGTGGTGAGTAGAGCCCTCAGGTGGGGTGGGCAGGCAGGAAGAGGGGGCTCCCACTGTGCTCAGATCCCTGCCTCCCTCTCTCCAAAGATCTTCGTGAGGTGAGCCTCACCTCCTCTGCCCAAGGAGAGGCCAGGGAGGATCCTCTCCTTGACAAGCCTACTGCACAGCCGATCGTGCAGGACCACCAGGAGCACCCAGGCTTGGGCAGCAACTGCTGTGTGCCATTCTTGTGCTGGGCTTGGCTGCCAAGAAGAAGGAGATAAACATCACCATCCTCAAAGAGCTGCTCAAGAAATTTTTAAATAAGAAACCAAGTTATGGGGTTAATCTCCTACACAATTCATTTACTTCCTTTGAATGTTAGACTCACTCATGATTATTTGTGTTTCTAATTTATAGTTTTAAGTTTATTTGTAAAAAGTTAAAAGAGAGTGGGTGTCTGTGGCTCTCACTGATGTTCACTCTGGCATCCTTTAGCATTTTTCTTTTTTAATTTCATAATTGTAGGTCATTAGCGTGCATATCGAGTTTGCCCTTACGTGGTGGGAGTTCAAACACACAAAGACCCACTCTTTGCCCAAAACTGTTCTCTTTGGTTTGGAATAGGCTGCCATGCTTTTTTAATGTTATTGCAGCATGTATATTCACTACAGAATTCAGACAAAATTTGCCTATGTTCTGCTGTTGTTTGATCTAATCTTAATCACAGTGAGCTCTTCATTAGCTCAATATGTAGTTTGCCCCCAAGTGTGCACTGTTTATTACTTTGTAATATGCCACTATGAGTACTGACATTTAGAGTTGTTTAAAGGCCAAGAACTGGAAACAGCCTTTCCTCCATTTTCTGTGTGTTGGTGATGGGAGTGATAACCTTTTGGGGGAGCTTTTTAAATCTCACAGAAGAGGAAAGTGGCCTCCTCTGGCAGGTACGTGCAGGATAGAGTGTGTTTCATCTGTTCCGGTGCCCGGAATTAGCAGTGTATTATGGTGGTTCCCTTAGGATTTGTATGTGCTCTGGGCTCATGAAGATACTGCATCATGAGCTGCAGCAGTTGTACTCTTTTTCGATGACCTAAAAAGGGCTTATTTCTGAGGAATGAAAGGTTCCCATCATTGACTGTGGATGTGGGAAACCTTTCCTAGCTTAGAGCATTTGTATCTACAATACATTTTAAAGTCAGAGTTCATGTTACCTGTTTTAATCACATGACTACATGTCCCAGTACACAAAAGGGCACTGGTTGGCATTCTTCTTAATGTATTTAGTGAAGATCATAAGAAATCCTTTATGAGTTCAAACGTTCCTGGAACAGGCATACAGGCTCTAGTCAAGAATGAATTAGAGTGAAGGAAAGCTGTGTGACACCTGGCATTCCTCTCTGTTCACGGAGATTCTTTGAGGCTTGAAGATTGATTTTACCATCTAGACCTCTTTGGCTAATACCTATTCTTCAACCACCTTGGTTACTCTGACATAGGAATTTACTTCTTTTTCTTTGAATGGAAAACACTTTAAAAAATAATAGAAACATTATTATAAACTAATATATGTGAGATACTTAGTTGAAACAAAAAGGAGTTTTAGTAGACGGTATTGTACTCTCTTTGAAAATCAAGGAGAAGTTTATGAAACTTAAAATGTGTACAAACTGCAGTGCAATCTACTGTTCGTGAATGTCAATGTATTATCAGGAAACGTGTCTATACAATCACAGAGTTATATTTTCTCACAGACTTCTTTACAAAGTGAAATATGTTTTTGTACCTCTGGGTTTCTGTTCGGGACATATTTTGTGCAATATTTATGTGATTGTGCCTATGCATGATGAATGAATACATTTCAGTTATATATTGCCTAAATCATAACTTGATGATGCTTGGGAAAGACTCAACAGTTAAAACTTCATGAAGTTCTAATGTCTGTGTTCCAAAACACATCACATTGTTAGGATGCAGGGAGATAGGTGTGTGTGCTCCCTGCGGTGGGGATTTCTAGTTACTAGATCATCTCCATTTTTAGCATTTGGCATCCTCATGATACTTCTATAAATATGACATTAACAGGAGAGCAACAATACGATTTTACCGATGGAATAACAGATTTGCTGGCATTCACTGAAAGAGTGCAAATATTCGGTCCTTGTGACTTCCACTGACTCTTCCAAATTTTATGAATGTATCAATGTATTAGATAAACCCAGTTTCAGAATGATAAAGAAAAAATTTAGACCAAATAATGCAGCTAATTAACAGTGGTACGATTTGTAGCCCGTGGGTTTAAAATGCACTTAAAGTCCTGTTCTCGCCTTTTATTTTCTGAACTTGCCGCTTTTGCATTCTTTGAGTTCAGTTTAAAGACAGTTACTTTAAGAGCATTTTAAACCCTCGGGCTAGAAATCGGACCACTGTTAATCAGCCACATTATTTGGTCTAACGTTTTTTCTTTTATCATTCTGAAACTGGGTTTATCTAATACATTGATAAATTATTGCAAAGGTACTTTTATCGTTGAAATCACTTCACTTTTACCCTGATAAATATCAGTGACTAGGAATGACCTTCGGATAGCGTTTAGCATCTGTAACCAATCTGACAATAATGTGTTCATGAGGTGCCTATGGATTAAATCACACACTGGCATATTTAAGCTGAAGGTCAGTCTGGAAAATAAATTTACTATATTGACTGAAATACCACTCTTTGTGTAGGTATTTGTCATATATTTAAGAAAAAGTTAAAAAGAATGGAAATTGTATGACAATAACTCAAGTCTTTCTCCAAAGTGCATGCAGTCTTTTGCGATACCTCATTCAGCCGAGTATTTGTGCTCTTCCTCATTCAGTATAAGGCAGCTTTCAGTTTGCTTAGAAGGCAACATTGGAATGTTAGAGTTCATCAGAAACATAGAATTTTAAACTGTGAGTTCCACTGAATACATTTTAATGTCTGTAGGAAGAATCAAAACACCTATTTAAAGATGGCAATATATAATAATCATTTTAAAAGTATTTGATTCAACCTGATAATTTTCCAGAAATGAAAAAAAAAAATCAGCTCTAAAACCAAAGCTGATTTTAGAAAATTTGAAAATGTAAATCAGCCCTATCCATAATATAGTTTCTCTAAAACTTTATTTTAAAGAGTCATTTTAAAATAATATAACTATTAAAAAATGTAACTGCTATCTTAATGTTCTGAAATAATTTAAAACATTTTAAAATATGAATACTGTAGTATAAAAGAAAGAAATGGTGGGAACGAAAAGCAGAGAAAGAAATGCCAATTCCAGTCCAAAGTTTTATTTGCCAAGTTTTCTTAGAATGAATTTTACCAGTTTATGAATTATTGTAAAGAGAATGTGTCGTGGAAATACTGAAAGATTTTTCCCTAGAGTGGCCTTATTGACTGCTGGTGTGATGCCACTGTAATGTAATAAATTATTAAGTTGTTTCAATGTGTTGTTTTTGTCTTAAAATTTTATTTTGCGTTTCTTGAAAACTATAGTATTAAAGGTATTGATACTGTGCAAATGCTGGGCATGCTTGGCATGAGATAATGTGTTTCATTTTTACAAAGTTGTAATATAACTATGCAAGTGTTTCTTAAAAGAACACAAGATTTTAAAAGTTATGGGATTAAAAAAGTTATGGGGTGAAAAAGTTATGGGATAAAAAATGTAAAAACGTTGTGGCAAAAAAACTTGTGGGAACAAAGTAGAAAACAGTATTATGAAAAGTTACCAAAAAAGTTATGAAAAAGAAGTTACGGGATTCTTTTTTAAAAAGTCATGGAATAAAAATAAAAATTAAAAGCAGGCCCCTGTCAGCAAAGCCTGGAGAAGTGGGGCTGGGGTCTCCACCGCCACCATGTCCCTACCACCCCTTCCCAGGCACCCCTTTACAATTAGGGTAGCAGGACAAGACCTCTGTCTAATGGGGAAAGACAAACAGACCCTTTGCCACCCTGACCAGGGCTGAGTCCCTAAATTTCTGGATGATGATGATTGTTATTTAAGAGCCAGAGGCTGGTGGAGTTGGTTTGTTTGGAGGAGGCCTGATGTCCCCCTTACTCTCACCATAGCAACTTTTCCCTCAGGGGGGCTCCCTTCTTATTCAGAGAGGCAGGACAGTGGGGCTAACTGTGGACCAGGCGAGGGCACGGGCTGCTGGGGTGGCCCCCGTTCCCCGGTGTACACATTGTGTCTGTGTAAGGTTTTGTATATTCCAGAGGGTAGGGCCACCCCTGTGTCATACCTAGCTGAGGTTGGAGCCGGCACATGGGGAGGAGGTTGTAATAATTATTTGTGGCTGGGAAACTTATTTATTGCTAGCATAGGACAGAGGAAGGAGGCGGGGATGGGGTCATGGCTCCCTGGTGATGCGACTCCTGTTTATTTTGCTTTTTATTTTGGAATAAATGGATTTAGCCATACTGCTCGGCCTGGTGTGTTTCCGTTTCCCTCACTGGGTCCTGGAGTTTGTGCCACCAAACAAGGAGTCCCAGAGTGTCTTGAGCATGTCCAGCTAGGCTGTTGGGGACCTTCCAGGCGTGTTACCTGTATGCTGCCTGGTGGCGCCTGGGGGATTCCAAGGGGACTGCCATGTAGTCTATGGGGCGCAGTCTGGCCCTGACAGCCAACAGGCTCAGAAGCCTGATCTAGCGGTGGCCGGGAAGACAGGTACCAGCACCTAAGGGCACTGACTTCCACCCAGCCCCGGCATCTTCCGTTCTATCCCCTTGTCTCCCTCTCCTGTCTGCACCTGGTGGCCTGTTCTGTCTGTGCCTCCAGAGTGCCGGCTGCCCTGCAGGCTCCCTCTGGGCTGAGTTCATGGCCCTGCCCCCTGGTGGCCAGAGCCGGCTTCACAGGATAAGAGCCCGCTAAGCTCCAGGGGCTTTCCAGGAAAAGTGTCCCTTGGAAAGGGCATGGCCTTTTCACTGCTCCCAACAGCACCCTAGAAATGGCTTGGCCTTTCCCCTCCCCTGAGCTCCACAGAGAACACAGCCAGCAGAGGACACACTTCCCCGCCATCCAGAAGCGGGTTTGATTCTCAGCCAAGGGACAGCAGGACTGGTAGAGACTGTCAGGCCACACAGCTGCCTGCACAGCACTCCCATGCTTGGTGGGGGGGGGGGGGGCGGGAGGGATGGCGGGGTGTGTCTCTCCATAGGCTGGGCGTGACAGGGAGGCTCACTGAAGGTAGCGCACTTTGGAGGGGCAATGTCAGGGGTTAGCTTTCTCTTGTTTGGCCACAAGACTCCAAAAGGACAGCACGGTGACTGATTCCCAGCGCTAGAGGCGAGGCGGTTGGCCACATGTAGGTGTGTGTGTGTGTGTGTGTGTGTGTGTGTGTGTGTGTGTATGTATATGGGTATTTGTAGATATTTCTAGAACAGGGCAGGGGCATACCACAGAGGGGGGCACAAGTTTTCAGCAACGGTCACACCTGGATGTGTCAGCTCACCGCAACAATAGACGAAGTCACAGATGAAGGGGGCTGCCTTTGGGGCTGGGGGAGCCACTGCCAAGTCACAGAACAGCCGCCCAGGCAGGCTTGGAAAGGGAAGTCTCTGAGAAGAGGAGGAATCTGTTTAGAGGTCAAAGGGGGGCCTGGGGCTCTCAGGATGGGATGGACTTGCCTGAGCCGATTGGCTGGCAGTTGGAGAGAAAGCAGAGAGAAGACAGGAGAGAGAAAAGCGAGCATATCATCTCACACCAGTTAGAATGGCAATCATTAAAAAGTCAGGAAACAACAGGTGCTGGAGAGGATGTGGAGAAATAGGAACACTTTTACACTGTTGGTGGGACTGTAAACTAGTTCAACCATTGTGGAAGTCAGTGTGGCGATTCCTCAGGGATCTAGAACTAGAAATACCATTTGACCCAGCCATCCCATTACTGGGTATGTACCCAAAGGACTATAAATCATGCTGCTATAAAGACACATGCACACGTATGTTTATTGCGGCATTATTCACAATAGCAAAGACTTGGAACCAACCCAAATGTCCAACAATGATAGACTGGATTAAGAAAATGTGGCACATATACACCATGGAATACTATGCAGCCATAAAAAATGATGAGTTCATGTCCTTTGCAGGGACATGGATGAAATTGGAAATCATCATTCTCAGTTAACTATCGCAAGAACAAAAAACCAAACACCGCATATTCTCACTCATAGGTGGGAATTGAACAATGAGAACACATGGACACAGGAAGGGGAACATCACACTCTGGGGACTGTTGTGGGGTGGGGGGAGGGGGGAGGGATAGCATTGGGAGATATACCCAATGCTAGATGACGATTTAGTGGGTGCAGCGCACCAGCATGGCACATGTATACATATGTAACTAACCTGCACATTGTCACATGTACCCTAAAACTTAAAGTATAATAATAATAATAAAAAAAAAGCGAGCAGAGAGCTGGTGAGGCAAGTGCAGAGCACAGGTGTGCCACAGCAGCTGTGGGAGGGCCAAGGAGTAAAGGGTGCACGTGCGGGTGTGGCAAGGTTCCTGGAAAAGAGGGGCTGGAAGGGAAAGGGGAGGAAGACAGAGGGAGGAGCCGGAGTTTCACAGGTAGTGCCTGGGGGCTGTGGCAGCCCTCCCCACCCCACACGTGCTGGCCTCTTCCACGGCACCCAGTGCACCCACTGTTAAGACTGATGCTCAGCCCCTTTGGGCTTCCCTCTTCTCTGGGCACCGTGTCTTCCAACCCACTTGTCCAGGGCCACCTCTCGCCTTGGGGAGCCCAAAACAACAGCCACCAGGCCTGATAGAGAAGAAACACTGCTTGAACCAGGATGATGAAGCTAAAAGGGATGGATGGGTGGAGTGATCGCCGGAGCCCCCTCTGGGGGGTCAGAAAGCCCAGGAACCCTTGAAGGGTCCCTGGGGGAGGAAAGGAGGGCATGCAGCTGGATGCCACTGGCTATAGACTTATAAGTCTAAGAGGGGAGCCTCAGCTTGTTGGGGGTTGCAGGTCGGATAGGTGAGGCTGGGCCCTTCCTGCTGGGAAAAGCAGAAGAGGGAGAGTCTATGGCAGGGGAGGTGGGTGGGCTTGTGGGGCGGAGGTCAGCTGGGCCAGCAGGCACTGTGGTCCCCTTGGCTGAATAGCAGAGGTGACCTCTAGGAGCAACACTCCAAGGTGCGTGAGCCTGCTGGCCAGCAATAGTGCTTCAGCGGGGGCCAGGGACCCTGCCTTCAGTCACACGCTAGCAGCTATGATGGTACCTGGGAGGGAGGGAAGGGGCCTGTGTTTCCTGCCTGGCCTGTGAGGTGTGTTGTGGGTTGACCGTGTGTATGGGACTCTCAAGGTTTTATCCTATCTCACCACTGCATTGCCGACAGATAGAGGAGGTGGGACTCTGACTATCACCCCTGCTCTGCAGTGGATTTGGCTCTCAGCACTCCCAGGCTGGGAGCTGGATGCCCTGCCCTGGCAGCATGACTCAGACTGCCCAACAGGTGCGGTGTGCACAGGAGGACTATCCTAGGACTCTGGCCGCCTCAGAGTACAGCCCCACACACCACCCCCTCTAAGCTCTCAGCCCTTACACCATAAACCACGAGCTCTGTGACGGCTCCAGGGAGCACCCATGTCTACCAGCGTGGGCACGGAGCCTGTTCCAAGAGTCCCCAGGCTCAGCCATGGGGGCTGGGGGGCTTTGGGGCCGTGGGAGCCAGCCTTGGTACCTGCATCCGGCAAGGACGCTCTGCACCTGCAGGCAGGAGTTGTCCACGGGCCCCCATGTGCGTGCTGATGGTGGTCGTGTTGATGTCGCCGATGATGCCGAGTGCCTCCTTCAGCACGTGGTACATGCGCAGCATCTCGTCGCGCCACTGTGCCTGCTCTGCCGACTCTTCCATCAGCGTTTTCTGGTCCCCACGTGAGTACAGGTTGGACAGCAGCTCCGAGAAGATGAACTCCTTGGTCTGAGAGCGGGCAAAGAGGGAAGGAGGTTGGGACCTGATGCCTTTGCTGCCCTGGCCTCCTGCCGGGCCCTGCTGGGACTGTGTGCTGGACTTGGAGCCCTGAGTATGGCTTTTCAGACGCGGCTTCTACACCGCTTAGACTCAAAGATCTGCCTCCCCACCGCCCTTTTCTCACTCAGATAGGGACACTGAGGTCCAAAGGAAAAGTCACCTGTCCAAGGTCACACATCTGGGAGGGGACCCAGGACCTATCATGCCACCAGGACACCGGTCTACTCAGTTTCTTAAAAATGTTTTTTGGAGATAGGATCTTGCTCTGTCGCTAGGCTGGAGGACAGTGGGCGAGATCACCACTCACTGTAGCCTCAACTTCTTGGGCTCAAAGTGATCCTCCAATGTCAGCCTGTAGAGTAGCTAGGACTATAGGTACGTGCCACCACCAAGCCCAGCTATTTTTAAAATTTTAGTGTAGAGATCAGGTCTCACTATGTTGCCCAAGCTGGTCTCGAACTCCTGGGCTCAAGCTATCCTCTTGCCTTGGCCTCCCAAAGTGCTGGGATTACAGACATGGGCCACTGTCCCCAGTCCCACGTTATATTTCTATGAGACAGCTCTGGTCTGGACTGTGCCTCCCTCCCTGGACCTTGGTCCCATAGGGCTGGTCAGCATCTCCCCCAGGCCAACATGGCCACCTGCATCCCCAGTGCTACAGGAGCCCCCTGCCCCTATGAGGCGGTGCATGCACGTTGTTGATCATGACGTGCATGATGGTCTTGGGCATGACACCAACCATGAGGTCCCACACGGTCTTGTTGACAATGGCCATGTAGGAGTCCACAAGGTTCTGGGTGGTTTCCATTTGCCGCTCCAGCTATGGGTCCATGGAGTGCATGAAGCTGTCGGAGCCATTCTCCTCAGCCTTGCTGTCCTGTCATGGAGAACACAGTGGCATCAGGGTGGCCAGGCCATGCAGCCAGGCTCCAGGAATCCCTAGGATCTCAGCACCTCCAAGGGTACCTGGAACATTGAGGCACAGAGAAAAACAACTGGCGTGAACATGCACCGAGCTCCCCACACGCTCTAGACGGTTTCAGGTATCTGCCTCTCAGGACCCCAGACTCCCCTGATTCAGTCTCCTCTTAGTTCTGACTCTAGTGCCCAGAATCTGCCTCAAGTTACCAATCCAGAAATTGGAAAAAAACATCTCCAGGTCCCCTGTTGGAGACCTGGCCAGAGCTTGTGCCAGGCTGCAGACGCCTGGCAGGGGGCAAGAAAGGGGCATACTCACTTTCCCCTTGTCCTGGGAGGCCCATGCACCAACACTGCCACCGCCGCCGCCACCAGGGAACACGGCAAAGTAGACACACACAGAGAGGAAAACGGGAAGGGTTGAGTGAACCTGGGACACTGCACCCCAACTTTAATGTGTTGTGGAATTCAGTTAGCTAATATTTTATTGAGGATTTTTGCATCAATATTCATCAGTGATATTGGCCTGTAGTTTTCTTTTTTGGTCTGTGTGTTTGATTTTGTTATCAGGGTAATGCTAGCCCTGTAGAATGAGTTTGCAAGTATTCCCTCCTTCTCTATTTTTGGAATCGTTTGGGTAAGGTTGGTATTAGTTCTTCTTTAAATGTTTGCTAGAATTCAGCAGTGAATCATCAGGTCCCAGGCTTTTCTTTGCTGGGAGACTTTTTATTACCACTTTGATCCCATTATTTGTTATTGGTTTGTTCAGGTTTTGGGTTTCATCATGGTTCAATCTTGGTAGGTTAGATGTGTCTGGAAATTTATCCATTTTTGGTAGGTTTTCCTATTTATTTGCACACAGTTGCTGACCACTAGTGATCCTTTGAGGTTTTTTTTCTTTTCTTTTTTTATATGGAGTCTTGGTCTGTCGCCCAGGCTGGAGTGCAGTGGCGCGCTCTCAGCTCACTGCAAGCTCTGCCTCCCGGTTTCACGCCATTCTCCTCCCTCAGCCTCCCAAGTAGCTGGGACTACAGGCGTCCGCCACCACGCCCTGCTAATTTTTTGTATTTTTTCCGTAGAGACGGGGTTTTACCGTGTTAGCCAGGATAGTCTTATCTCCTGACCTCCTGATCCACCCGCCTTAGCCTCCCAAAGTGGTGGGATTACAGGCGTGAGCCACGCCCCCTTGGGACAGGGACACACACACACACACATAGACACACACACACACACACACACACACACACACACACACACACACACAGAGTTGGTAGTTGTGCCGCCCAGTCGCGAGTGTGAGGAAGGGACCAGATCGGTCGGGCAGAAAGGTGCTGGGTCAAGAGAGGAGGGGGCAGCCGGTAGCGCGGGCACGCCGGGTGCGCGCGGGGCGCGCCGGGTTGAGGGGTGAGGGGTGAGGGGTAAGAGGTGAGGGGCGACGAGGACCGGGGCGGGGTAGGGGCAGCCCTTTCCCAGGCGGTAGCGGGGGCAGTGGTGCTGTTGCCCTTTTAAACTGCGGCTTGACGGGAGCCGCGCCTCCTGTCGGTGGAGTCGGTTATAAAGGGAGCAGCCCCGCAGGCCGCCACATAGCTCCCGCCAAGTCCTCGGTGCCCCTTGCCATTTTCCAGCCGCGCTCCCACGAGGGTCACGGCGGCGGGGAGAGGTGGAGCCGCGAGAGCTCGGCCGGGGGCCCCGCCTGGTGGTCGCGGCCATGACAGCGGCTCGGGACTGGCTCCTTTTCCGCGCCCCTCCCGCCGGAGGTGAGGGGAAGATGTCCATGTCCGGGTTCAAGGGCAAACCGAAGTTACTGGCCTCTATCTTCCAGGAGAACCAGGAGCCACAGCCGCGGCTCACGCCCCACCGCAACATTAAGGTGAGTCGCCGGGTGGCGGCCTGGCGGGGCAGGGCGAGGGCGGAAAGCGGGTGCCCAGAGTCCCAGGAGAAAGGGGAAGCTGCCCCAGAGAGGCCGCGGTTCCCCGCCCCTTTCTCCCGCAACTGGCCCGCCCGGCAAGGCAGAGGCTTGGGTGGGAGAAGGCGGAGGGCGCGTCTCTCCAACTCCTAGCGCGGGGCTGGCTTGGGGGCTGCTGGCCCCTCTCGGCCCCTGTCGCTGCGCCTCGAGGTGGGAGCCCGCGGCTGCGGGAGCTCTCTTGGGACCCATGGTCGCCCTCAGTCAGCCCACCTGCTCTAGGGACCGCGACAGGGCGGGGCAGGGCGGCTCCCGCGTTGTTGGAGCCCAGGCGGGGAAGGGGAAAGGCCTTTAAGATTTTCGGTTTTTTGGCCGGGCGTAGTGGCTCACGCCTGTAATCCCAGCATTTTGGGAGGCCAACCGGGCTGATCACTTGAGGTCATGAGTTGGAGACCAGCCTGGCCAACATGGTGAAACCCATCTCTACTAAAAAATAGAAAAATTAGCCGGTCGTGTTGGCAGGCGACTTAATCCCAGCTATTTGGGAGGCAGAGGCAGGAGAATCGTTTGAACCCGGGAGGCGGAGGTTACAGTGAGCTGAGATCGAGCCATTGCACTCAAACCTGGGGGAGAAGAGCGAGACTTCTCTCTCTCTCTCTCTCAAAAAAAAGTTTTCTTTCTTTTTTTCTTTTTGTTGAGACAGAGTCTCACTCACTCTGTCGCCCAGGCTGGAGTGCAGTGGCGCGATCTCGGCTTACTGCAGCCTACCTCTCTTGACAGTCCACTGGTTAAAGCGATTCTCCTGCGTCAGCCTCCCGAGTAGCTGAGATTACAGGCGCCCGCCACCACGCCTGGCTAACTTTTGTGTTTTTAGTAGAGACGGATTTTTTAGTAGAGACGCGGTTTCACCATGTTAGCCAGCATGGTCTTGATCTCCTGACCTCATGATCCACCCGCCTCAGCCTCCCAAAGTGCTGGGATTACAGGCGTCAGCCACCGCGCCCGCCCTCTGTTTTGTTTTATACATGTAATATATTCACAAGTATCTTTACGAAGTGATTTTGATACTCTTTTGTCTTCTCCCTAGAATCTCTTTGTTCTGTAATAATTTTTTCTTAGTTTATATTGATCTTATTTTCCTTTTTAAAGCCTTTCCTTACATATCTATTCTATGTTGCTTATCATTTGTAGTTTTTTTATTTTTTATTTATTTATTTATTTATTTATTTATTTTTTATTTTTTTTTTTTGAGAGGGAGTCTCGCTCTGTTACCCAGGCTGGAGTGCAGTGGTGCAATCTGGGCTCACTGCAAGCTCCGCCTCCCAGGTTCACGCCATTCTCCTGCCTCAGCCTCCTGAGTAGCTGGGACTACAGGTGCCAGCCACCACGCCCCAACAATTTTTTGTATTTTTTAGTAGAGACGGGGTTTCACCGTGTTAGCCAGGATGGTCTCGATCTCCTGACCTCATGATCTGGCCACCTTGGCCTCCCAAAGTGCTGGGATTACAGGCGTGAGCCACCGTGCCCAGCCCTGATTCTATATTATAGTGAGTTGTACAATTATTTCATTATATGTTACAATGTAATAATAATAGAAATAAAATGCACAATAAATGTAATGTCCTTGAATCATCCCAAAATCATCTCCCCCAACCTTGTCTGTGGAAAAATTGTCTTCTGCAAAACTGGCTCCTGATGCCAAAAAGTTTGGGGACTGCTGGCATAAGTGGTCTCATATAGTAGTTGTCCTTTTGTGCCTGGCTTATTTCACTTAGCATAATGTCTTTAACGTTCATCCATGTTGTAGCATGTGCCAGAATTTCATTTGTTTTTAAGGCTGAATAATATTCCCTTGTATGTATTTAATATGCCTTTTTATCTTTTCCTCTGTTGATGAATACTTGGGTTGCATCCACCTATTGGCTATTGTGAATAGTTTTGCATTGCCTGTCTTTCTCATGATCGCCATCCTATTTCGCATCTAGCAGGTGTGAAATTCCATTGATTGAGTGATTGATTGAGACAGGGTCTGACTCTGTCGCCCAGTCTGGAGTGCAGTGGCATGATCTTGGCTCACTGCAACCTCCATCTCCCAGGCTCAAGCAATTCTTCTGCCTCAGCCTTCCGAGTAGCTGGGATTATAGGCATGCACCACTACCAGCTGGCTAATTTTTGTATTTTTAGTAGAGACAGGGTTTCACCATGTTGGCCAGGCTGGTCTCGAACTCCTGACCTGAAATGATCCACCTGTCTCCGCCTCCCAAAGTATTTGGATTACATGTGTGAGCCACTGCGCCCAGCTAGTAGGTGTGAATTTCTATGTCTTAGTGGTTTTGATTTGCATTTACCTGATGGCAAATGATGTTGAGTATCTTTTCATGTGTTTATTGGCCATTTGTCTGTTTTTTTGGGGAAATACTTATTCCAAAATTTAACTTATTTTTAATTGGGTTATGTATCTCTTTATTATTTAGCTGTAAGAATTTTTTACATATTCTAGATAGGAGTTATAACAACTTTCTTCCTTTTTCTGGATTGTCTTTTTTCTTTCTTGATGGTGTCCTTTGAAGCAGAAAGATTTTAAATTTTGATATAGTCCAATTTATCTTTTTTCATTTGTGTTTTTTTGCTCCTTGTGCTTTTGGTGTAATATCTAAAAAAACGTTGCTACTCCAAGGTCACAAAGGTTTCTGCCTATGTTTTTTTCTATGAGTTTTATAGTTTATCAATATCTCTTATATTGAGCTCTTTTATCCATTTGAATTAATTTTTGCATGCGGCATGAAGTAGGGGGGTATAGCTTCATTGTTTTGCACCTAGACATCCAGTTATCTCAGAACTATCTGTTGAAAAGCTTATTCTTTCCCCATTGAATTGTCTTGGAACGCTTATTGAAGATCAATTGACTGTATATGTGAAAGTTTATTTCTGGATTCTATTCTTTTCTCTGTTCATCTGTCCTTATACCAGTAGCACACTCTTGATTACTGTAGCTGTTTAGTAAGCTTTGAAATCAGAAAGTATGAATCCTCCAGAAAGTTTTTTAAGGTGGGTTTGGCTGTTCCGGGTCACTTGCATTTCCATATGAATTTTAAGATCAGCTTGTCAGTTTCTGCAAAGGAGCCAGCTGGGATTTTAATCACAGTCGCATTGAATATGTAGATCAACTTAGAAAGTACTGCCATTTTAACAATATTAAGTTTTCCTCCATGAACACAGGATGTATTTGTACTAATTTAGGTCTTCCTTTAATTTCTTTCAATCGTAGTTGTGTTGAATGCAGACCTACTTTGAATTAATTCTAAGTAATTTTTATGCTACTTATTGGTTGACAAATATAATTGCTTTTAGTTTTTAACTGTAGTTTTGATGTAATGTGAACTGTATTTGGACCTTGTGAAGCTTATTTCTGCTTTGAAATTTAGTATAAATTGGTTATAATAAAATCTGACTGTGCTAATTTTTTGGTTATGTGAAATAGAAAATCAATGTAAATTTAAAAATTTATTCTGGGCCGGGCGCAGTGGCTCACACCTGTAATCCAAGCACTGTGGGAGGCTGAGGAGGGCAGATCACAAGGTCAGGAGATCAAGACCATCCTGGCTAACACAGTGAAAGCCCATCTGTACTAAAAATACAAAAAATTAGCCGGGTGTGGTGGTGGGCACCTGTAGTCCCAGCTACTTGAGAGGCTGAGGCAGGAGAATGGTGTGAACCTGGGAGGCGGAGGTTGCGGTGAGCTGAGATCGCACCACTGCACTCCAGCCTGGGCGACAGAGTTAGACTCCGTCTCAAAAAAAAAAAAAAAAAAAAAAAAAATTCATTCTGAAATGCGATAGATGTTGAAGCTCTTCTGGCAGATGGTTATAAAGAGGAATATATAATCATTCTATTGAGAAAATATAATCAATAATGTGAATACCTAAGGTAGTTTATTTTACATATATATCTCGGTATTTATTTATTTTTGAGACAGAGCCTCACTCCTGTCACCCAGGGTGGAGTGGAGTGGCACGATCATGGCTCATTGCAGCCTCAACTTCTTGGGCTTAGGTGCTTATCTCATCTCATCGCAGCCACCTGAGTAGCTGCGACTACAGGTGTGCGCCACCATGCATGGCTAATTTTTTGTATTTTTAGTAGAGGTTTCCCCATGTTGTCCAGGCTGGTCTGAAACTCCTGGACTCAAGTGATCTGCCCGCCTCGGCCTCCCAAAGAGCTGGGATTACAGGTGTGAGCCACTGTGTTGGCCTTATGTTTTATAATTTTTAAATGATACTTTTTATTCTATTACAAAACATATATAATTGTAAAAAACTTGTAAAATATAAAAGAGGACAAAGACAGTAGAAAAATTATTTACAATGTAATTCCCAAGTAAACACTGATTACCTTTTTTTTTTTTTTTAGAGCCTGTTGCTCAGGCTGGAGTGCAGTGGCACCATCATAGTTCACTGTAACCTCATACATCTCATACATTTTGATATTACTACTTCTGGTTTTATACATAATGTGTTCACTTTGAAGCAAGAGAGTATAATTTTATAACGATTATTTTCATTTAATGATCGTGATCTCATTGCAATTATTGATCATTTAGTTTATTCCTGAACATTTTGTTTTATATATTTTTGCTATTGTGAGTGGGATATTTGTTATAACTTGGCATTTGTGCCTACACTCAATTTACCTATAGGAAACTAATTTTTGCATACAATTGTTTTAATTGGTGCAGTGGCACAATCTCAACTCACTGCAACCTCCGCCTCCCAGGTTCAGGTGATTCTCCTGCCTCAGCCTCCTGAGTAGCTGGGATTACAGGCACATGCCACCACACCCAGCTAATTTTTGTATTTTTAGTAGAGACAGTGTTTCACCATGTTGGTCAGGCTGGTCTTGAACTCCTGACCTCGTGATCCACCCGCCTTGGCCTCCCAAATTGCTGGGATTACAGGCTTGAGCCACCGTGCCCGGCCTCGGCCTCTTTGTGTGTTTTCGTATATCTTTCATCTGAGTTGCAAGGGGCACCTTGGGTTTCCAGGAATTTTCTTAGCTAACTCTGTTCCTTTATCTATGACCCTTCCTCACTAGTTTTGGATAATTTATTTTCCTTCTTCCTTACTTCACTGATTTACTTTTCTATTTTATTTAGTTTGCTAGTCATTGTTTCTTTTAAGGTTCTTAAGCATAAATCCTTTTTTTTTTCTGATGGGAAATACTGGGGCATAGCACTAGGAATACAAATTATGTTTAAATAGAGCACAAAGAACCATCTCAAAGGAATAACTGATGGTGAATGTCTGGTGATTGATTTTATTATGTATCATCTCTAATGAGGCTTAATAAATAATTGAGGTTTAACACTTAGGTAACCGGTCTGTATTTAAGTCTGAAAATTTTTGTATGTTACAGTTTCAACTTCACATTGAATATTCTGTAAAGCAGAAATAAATTGATCAGCATTCTATGAATGAAAAATAAAGCCATGGGTCGGGTGCAGTGGCTCACACCTATAATCCCAGCACTTTGGGAGGCCGAGGCAGGTGGATCACCTGAGGCCAGGAGTTCGAGACCAGCCTGGCCAACATGGTGAAACCTTGTCCTAGCTACTGGAGAGGCTGAGGCAGGAGAATGACTTTAACCCAGGAGACAGAGGTTGTGGTGAGCTGAGATCGCGCCACTGCACTCTAGCCTGGTGACAGAGCAAGACTCTGTCTCAAAAAAAAAAAAAAAAAAATTAGCTGGGCATGGTGGTGCACACCCGTAATTCCACTACTTGGGAGGCTGAGGCAGGAGAATCACTTGAACCCAGGAGGCAGAGGTTGCAGTGAGCCAGGGTTGCACCACTGCCCTCCAGCCTATGTGACAGACTGAGACTCCATCCCTAAAAAAAAAAAAAAAAACAAAAAAAAACCATGCTGGTAATCGAAAAAGCAGTTTGCCTCATCAGAGTTTAGAACGTTGAATTGTAAAGATCTTTTTTGTAGTCCTAGCCAGTTTTAATGGTAACATGAGCAATTCAGTTACTTTCTCAGAGTTTTATATTTTTATCTGTAAAATGGAAATTATGGTACCTACAGTTTAGGATTTTTGTGAAAATCAAGTGAGACTGCAAGTGTCTTGAATAGCAGTGGAAGTACATTGATATAGGTGATATTTTACAGTGGTGTCTTCCTCAGCATCATATTAGTTCAGTGTTTTAAAGCTCTATATTAGTCACAGAAACAAAGTCAAATTTTTGTTCTCATTTCAGATTACAAGTGGACACCTGAGTCAGCAGGACCTGGAATCCCAGATGAGAGAGCTTATCTACACGACTCAGATCTTGTTGTCACCCCCATTATTGACAATCCAAAGGTGCAGAAAGCACTCTGACAAGTGAGTTGTAGACTTTACTGAGATCTGAAATCTGCATAAGATTTTCATTCAGAATATTATTTACTGTCTAATCTTTCCTGTTTCTCTTGTCCGCTACTCTTTCATTTGTGCTGCATGTCTGCATTTCCAGCTCCCGCTCTGTCTGCAACCCTTTCCTCTGCCTTCACTTCCGCTTCACTGGAGTTCTAAGTTTTCCCCCCTCTGTTTTGAATGAGTCAGCTCTGCTTCTCACTACTGCTTTCTTCCACATGCCACGGAGGGGTTGCCAGCCTCTTGACCTCAGACCTTAGCTCTCAGTCCCATCGTTTCTCCATCTGCACTAATGTGAATCACTCTAAGTATTCTAGTCTCTGATGTGTTTTGAAGGCAGAAGCAGTCAGAGGGCACTGCTCACCAGGCTGGGCTGGGCAGGCAGATCACACGGAAGCCCTGCCCTGTCACAGGTTGTTAATACTGCAGGGGAGATGGTGGGGAGACACTATGGGAACTTGAGGAGTCATGGTTCACAATGTACTTCTAAACCACTGTGAGTTTTTTTGCTTCTTGTCTTTTGGAATATAATACTTTATTGCTGGGGGATAATGAGTATTTACTTTAAAAAACAGATGCATTTCTAAGTCCCTCTGTTTTGTCTTGACTTCCAGCTCCCCAACATACTCACATTCCACTACTTATTCTCTATTTTAACTTTACTGCTTCTTTTACTTTTTTTTAGTTTTACTTTTATTTTTTATTTTTTTGAGACAGAGTCTTGCTCTGTCACACAGGCTGGAGTGCAATGACGCGATTTTGGCTCACTGCAAGCTCCGCCTCCCAGGTTCATGTCATTCTCCTGCCTCAGCCTCCCAAGTAGCTGGGACTACAGGTGCCCGCCACCACGCCCTGCTAATTTTTTGTATTTTTAGTAGAGACAGGGTTTCACCATGTAAGCCAGGATGGTCTCGATCTCCTGACCTTGTGATCCACCCACCTCGGCCTCTCAAAGTGCTGGGATTACAGGCATGAGCCACCACACCTGGCCTTCTTTTTCTTTTTTAAATATCTTTTTCTGTATTAATTCATGACTGTTTTTTTCTTGTCTCATTGGGAACATTAGTGTGGTTTAGAACAATGTAAGGGTTTTTGGATTCATGTTTATTTTCTAGATAGACAGCATTTTATATAGATGATTTAGCTGTTTTTCATAATGGAGCTAATTCTTTTTGTGAGTTCATATGTCTGGCAGTGTAACTTTATTATGCTAAGTTTGATGTGCATTGGCGCATTTTCAAAATGGGCTTTCTAGAACAATTTGTGATATCTTTCCCAGGGGTGTCCAGTCTTTTGGCTTCCCTGGGCCACACTGGAAGAAGAATTGTCTTGGGCCACACATAAAATACACTAACAATAGCTGATGAACTAAAAAACCAATAAAAAAAAATTGCAAAAAAATTCTTACGATGTTTTAAGAGAGTTTATGAATTTGTGTTGGGCCATATTCAAAGCCGTCTTGGGCCGCATCCAGCCCACGGGCTGCGGGTTGGACAAGCTTGCTTTACACAATATTCTGTGTTTCCTTTTTTCCTCTTATAACCATATTTGATAGTTTATGGGAAGCCTTCATCAGTGGAAATTTTTGTGTTTAACTTTTAATTCTAAACTACTTTTAGAGAAAAGATTAAAAAATAGTTGAGAACTCCTGTATAGCTTTTGCCCAGCTGCTCTTAATGTTCACATCTTATAGGTCTATAGTATAGTTAGCAAAACCTGGGAATTAACATTGGTATAGTGTTAGTCAGGCGGGATAATCCTTACCTGTGCCTCCTTTTGGAGGGCAGCAGAATGTGGTAGTTGGAATTGCATGATACTTGATTCATATCTCTGTGTAATGATGGCATGCAATACCCTGACTGCTCCTTTCGAATTCTTCCTGAAAAGGGAAAAATAAAACATGAGAATAGTGCTGCTAACTACCAAATGCATTTGAATTTTACCGGTTGCCTCTAATGTCCTCTTTTTTTTTGTTCCAGGATCCCACATTACAGTTAGTTGTTATGCCTCCTTAGTCTCATATAGTCTGTCCTAGTTTTTCACGGTTTTGTCAGAATTTCTCAGACTTTGCTTGTCTTTCATGACCTTGACAGTTTGTCTTTTATTTTGTTTTGTTTTGTTTTTTGTCACCCAGGCTGGAGTGTAGTGGCGCGATCTCAGCTCACTGCAACCTCTGCCGACCGGGTTCAAGCTATTCTCCTGCCTCAGCCTCATGAGTAGCTAGGATTACAGGCACCTGCCACTGCACCTGGCTAAGTTTTGTAGTTTTAGTAGAGATGGGGTTTTACCATGTTGGCCAGGCTGGTCTTGAACTCCTGACCTCATGATCCACCTGCCTAGGCCTCCCAAAGTGCTGGGATTACAGGCGTGAGCCACGGCACCTGGCCTTTGTATGTTTTTGTAATACATGTTATAAAACGTATGACTCAAGTCCTTGACACTTTGAAGAGTAACTGGTTGGGTGTTTTGAAGAATGTCCCTTAATTTAGGTTTGTCTAAGGGTTTCTCATGACTCGAATGAGATTATGAATTTGGATTATGAGATTAGAATGAGAATATGCATTTTAGTAAGAATACTACAGTAAATACAGTAATGCTGGTTACTTAATTAGTAAAGGTTTTAAAAATATTACATATAGAAGTTTTGCAGAAGTTAGGTATAGAAATGATGGTTGAATTTTTAATTAAAAGTCTCAAGATGCAGTATCTGGCTGTCCTAAGCTCATGGATCCAACTACATGGTTTCTTCACATTTCTCAAATAAATTATGCACTTTCCAATTCATGCTATTATGGCTTCCTTGAATGGTGTCTTCTCTGATATAATCATAAAGTTCTAGCCATCCTTCAAGACCGCAACCCACCTTCTACGTCTTCCGTAAACCCGGTGTCAAGTATATCAAGTAAAGTGCTTGCTGTATTCTCTAAACTACTATTTACAAAAAAAATTCTTTCTGTCCAGGGTTTTGTCTGTAGTTATGTCCTGCCTCTTTTGAATTGTGAAATATTTTCTTGTTTATCAAATGTTTGTCTCATCTTCCCAACCAGAAAGTCAGCTCGCTGAAAATAGGATTGTGTCTTTTATATCTTTGTATCCCCCTTAGCACTTGACATAGAGCCTTACCTTGGCAGGTAAGCAATAGATATTTGTTGAAAGACTGAATTTCTAATTAGACGTAAATTACCTAAAAAGTAAGCCAGGATGGGGTGAATTTTTTCTTTGAAGCTTTATTTTATTACAGATATCAATTGAAATGATTTTAAAAAATAAATTATTATCTATATATGTATGTTTTAATCTGAAAAGGCATCGTTCTTTTTGTTTTTGGTAACAAATTTTACACATTCTTTTTTTGTCCTCATTGATTTATTATCTGATATAAGGGACATATAAGGAGACAGATATCCATCTTTAAAATTGCCTCAAAAGTTTTTTTTTTTTTTAACCACAGATAAGGAAACAACCACCATCGGTTAAATTTGATGCAAAAATATTGCATCTACCAGCATTTTCAGGTAGGATCATAAAGGACTTATCGAACATGTAGACTGTCTGTATACAGATACGAATATGAAATTTATTCACAAATGGAATATTTGTATGTGAACAACTAAATTTATTTTGTCTTGACAATTGGTTATATTCTTGGGTCAGTGTTATGTGAATTGTAAATAATCTGTAATTCATTTGTGCCAGCTGTTGACATTTCTCAGCTGAGTCTGGGCTGCCCTGTCCTCTTGTGAGTGGGGAGGTTCCTGTAGATCTGGGCAAGTTTTCCTGTAGAGTGGGTGGGGGGCCTCCTCCCTTCCGTTCATAGAGCTGGTTGAATTTCCACCATTTATGGCAGGTGTAGGTGCACAGGGTTGGGGACAACAAGGAAGGATTGGGATTCTATTGGCGGGACCAGGACATTTGAGAACGGGACTAGGTGGTTCATGACTGTGGAGATGGTGTGGGAGTGGAGATACTTAAGGGATAATTATTACATTTCTGTTGAGCTAATGAAAATCTTATTTACGGTGAAAGTCAGAAATTTTTACATACCTTAAACTTTTTTTTTTTTAACAAATTATATTTTAAGCTGTTAAACTCAATTTGGGGAAAATTATTCATTGTGGCTAGAGTAGAATCTATGATTTGAAGTAAATTTAAAATATATTTAGGTTTAAATAAACCAGCTAAGGGTTTATATCAGTCAACTTAATTAGTGATAAAAACAACCAAAAAAACCTGTGTAGAAGGACGTTTTTGAAAGACCAAAGTGAAGCAAAATATTAATAGTGCTTTCAGTGCCAAGTAGGTCTATTTATGCAAACCTAGAGAATTATTATCGGGAAATACTATTTCCTTTTTCTTCTTTGAGTTACTTAGGAAATTATATTTACAATTTCTTTGTCTAAAGATTGAGATCAGCAAAAACATGTTAGCAAAAAATTTTAGGGAGTATCACATTTCCTAGATTTTGCCCTTTTTTTATAGGGATTTGGAGGTAGGAATTTCAGGTGATTTTAGCTATCATGTTATCCTCGTTATTTTTTTACAGTAATTTCATTGGAACTTTTTAATAACTGTGTGGTTTGTGCTTTTCTCAATATCTGAGAGTTGATTTATTTATACAAAGGCTTTTTTGTCTTTTACTCCAGTTGTATTGAACTTTGCATTTTGTTATAATCTAGGTTGTGAGACAATTCTGCTTTAGACATCTGCTTGGTTTGAAAGCATAGTTTTCCATTGAAGTGTTTAAAAAGTTTCCATGGATAGATAAAGAGATGAGGAATATAGAAGGACAAATAGAAGTAGTGTCATCTTTGGAGTATTTTTGGTGTTGACAGAGTAATGTTTTCTTTGTCCTCATCTTAGCTGTCGTAACTCTGTGTTTATTTCTCATGTAATGTTTCCAGCAGTTGTTTTTCTCATCATCATACTTTTGTTATTTTCTTTCCTTGGCAATGGATAAGTTATAATTTCTGAAAGACCAAGATTGGAATGACTTTTTGTAACAAGTGTGCTCGCAGATCGACTCCAGTGAGAAGAGCTCGGGGACCTCCTGAGCCAAGCTTAATCTCCTTTGCTGTTTGTGAGTGGTGGCTGGTCACCAGGAGGTGGCCACCAGGCTCCTCCTTTCCCCGCTGGTAGGCCTCTGTGACATGACTTATGCATTTAAATTTATGTTTTTTATAGAGGCTCAAACAAGTGCTAAAATAGCAATTTGATTTAACTACCATGAAAAAACTGATTTATCACGATTTTAGGTTTATGCAAATTATCCTCTGCTTAATCCTTACGTCTTAAAGTAGATAAGAGTAGACGGTGATTTTGAACTTTTTGTTGTTGTTGTTGTTTGTAATACTCAGGTTTCCATTTTATGTTAACTTGTAAGATTTTTAAAAAATATGTGAAATCAGGCCGGGCGTGATATCATAAGACAGACCTTTTACCTTCTCATCAGTGACTGGAATGAACGCCTGTAATCTCAGTACTTTGGGAGGCCGAGGCAGGTGGATCACCTGAGGTCAGCAGTTTGAAACCAGCCTGGCCAACATGGCGAAACCCCATCTCTACTAAAAATACAAAATTAGCAGGGCGTGGTGGTGCACTCCTGTAATCCTAGCTACTTGGGAGGCTGAGACAGGAGAATCACTTGAACCCAGGAGCCAGAAGTCGCAGTGAGCCGTGATCATGCCATTGCACCCCAGCCTGGGCAAAAAGAGCGAAACCCCATCTCAAAAAATAAAAACAAAAAACAAACAAAAAAAAATGTGATATCATAAGACAGACCTTTTCCCTTCTCATCAGTGACTGGAATTAACTGCCCATGTGGAACGGGTTGTGGGTGTTGGTTCCTTTACTGGGTCATCTGGTAAACTGCAAGGTTTCTGCTGTGACATTGAAGGCAGACATCAACCCTCTAAGACATTTTTTTCCTATCCTCTGGGAATATTACTTTTTGGACAATCTTGGTCCATTGGTAAGCTCATGGGAATTTGTCAGAGTTTTTTTGTTTCTTTTGGCTCATGTTTAGCATCGATTGGCAGAGTGTTTGGAGTCATCCTCAGAAAGGAATTACAGTGGTTCGGAGGTGTTTTCTGTAGTGGGCCCTCATTTGGGAATTGGCTTGAAAAAAATGTAAGTTCACTTGCTTCCAGGATGGTATTAAGATTGCTTTTTTTGATAGTTGGCGTGTGTCTATCAGGTAAGGGCTGTCATTTAGAGAATATAAAGTGGTAGGAGAAACTAAAAGTACTGTTCTTAGTTTTTATTTTAATCTTATTCGTATACAAGTGCCTTTGTAATTTAGCAAATATCATTTTTGGTGTACAGTATAAATTTCCTTTTTATAAAGATCTGAGTTTTTAACTTTGCTGTCACTTTCTGTGTTTCATGACTTAAATATTTTAATTTTTTCTTTTTTTACATTTACATTTTTTATTCTAGTTCCAATTGCTAATCCAGCATTTGTGGATAGCTGCAAACTGCGATATGTAAGTAACATTTACATTTTAAAAATTATTTCTCATGGTTTTATTAAGTAGTTACAGCATACATATTTATCAAAAGCAGAGTCCTAAGTAATTATCATAAATTTTCCTGATGTAATGATGAATTTACTCATAGGCAATTTTTATGGGCATTCCAATTATAAACTTTAGAATATTTAAAAATAGCCCTTCTCCTAATATAGATACGATTCTGGGATTATCTAAGCTACTCCTGGAAACTTTATTAACTGTTGTTGTTTTTTTATTTTCGTAGAGACAAGGTCTCTCACTATGTTGCCCAGGCTGGTTTCCAACTCCTGGGCTCAAGTGATTCTCCCATCTCTGACTCCCAAAGTGTTAGGATTACAGACGTGAGCCACTGCGCCAGGCTAACTGTTACTGTTTTGAGTATTGGTTATAAAATACTTCAACCCTGATCCCTGTGTATTAATTTAGTTATACTTCCTCAAAGTTTCCCTTGGGCACCCTTATCTGTCCCTATGTAGCACATAGCTTCCCTATGATGTTATTTATAATCTAATGAGATTAATTATGATTTATAAACTCCCGATGGAAGGAAGTGTCCTTACTTTTTATAGAAGCAACATACCAGGTGGAAAGCACCGTAGATCAAGTGTTAGAAGGCTCTGGGTTCCTGTTGCCTATAAGACTTGGCCAAATGATTATCTTTTTCTCAATCTCTGTTTCCTGGGGAGTGTGGGTGGGACAAGGAAATGGCATAGGTTTAGGATTCAGACAGACCTGGGTGTGGATCAAAGATCCGCTTTCTGGGCCAATTACTTTAATTGCTGAGCCGCAGTTTCCTCATCTGTAAAATTGGGATGGGATAACTACTTCATAGATTTTTGGTAATTATTCAACTTTGAATGTGGTAAATATGTGAGATACCTGGTATAGTGCCTGTTTCTTTCTTTCTTTTTTTTTTTTTTCTGAGTCGGCATCTCCCTCTGTCACCCAGGCTGGAGTGCAGTGGTGCGATCTCAGCTCACTGCAAGCTCCGCCTCCCGGGTTCACGCCGCTCTCCTGCCTCAGCCTCCTTAGTAGCTGGGACTACAGGCGCCCGCCACCACGCCCGCCCGGCTAATTTTTTTCACCGTGGTCTCGATCTCCTGACCTCGTGATCTGCCCACCTCAGCCTCCCAAAGTGCTGGGATTACAGGCATGAGCCACCGTGCCTGGCCGTATAGTGCCTGATTCTTAGTGGGTATTTCATTGACAGTGGGGTTGGGGTTGTAGAAGTTGTAGTTATTATCATGAAGCTTGCTTATCTCATGATTGTTAGGACAGGCACATGAAAAAACGGAGGTGAAAGGATTTTGTGAATTGTGGCAGTGGTATAATAATTATTCTTCTATGCTGGTGAAATATGGGTGAAACAATAGGAGTTTAGAAAATGTTTAATAATAAGGGTAATTCTTATTATACGTCTTCTAATGTTACTCTCGCAAAATAAAATCTGGTAATAGAAAGTAGGATTTTTAGGTAATGGTTGAGCATTTAATACTTTGAGAAGGCTTATGGTATGCTCATTAAAAATGAATCAATGAAATATGTATCTAAACACTTTTATTTAAAACGTGTTATATACCTGAATGGGGTGCTCCCTGCTGACATTTTCAGACAGACATTCCAAATCATTTCCGAGAACAGTCATCCCTCTGTATCAGCCAGGAGAATGGTTCTAGTATCCCCTTGGATACTAAAATTAACACATACTGTTTTTTCCCCCACTGTTAAAAATTGAGGTTTGATTGTAAAACAGTTTTAATTTGAATAAAATGATACTGAGGTAGACAAGTTCTCTGGTAGGAATCTTCTTTTATTCTCTTTCTCCATCCAAAGCCACTTCCAGCGAGGTTTTCTCTGACCTCAGGTTATATTACCTTGATAGCATATGATAAAGGGTCCTTAACTTAGTCTGGGAGATAATTATTATTGAAGTAGATACTTAGTTTTGTTTTGCTTATAAAAAATTAGAATCACATGATATAGTTTTTTATGTTTGTTTTCCCCCATAACATATATATTATGTATTTTAAATGTTATCAACATTTTAAAATAAAATACATAATACTTAAGGTAAACGTTTTATATGTTGTGAATATCTGATCATTTTGTTTACTATTTTTGGATAGTATTATAATGTTGTAAACAACATTTTGATGAACATTTTTGAGATTAAATCTTCGTGCCCGCTTTTTCTTTTTCCCTTTAGGAAAGATTCATAGAACTAGAACAAATGGGTAGAAGGCAGTAAATATCTTTGTGACTTCTGAAAAATTGCTGAAATACTCTTAAAAAAACATTGTATCAATAGATAATCCCAGTCAATGTGTTTAAAATGCCTTTTGTTAGAACTTCCAACGTTGAGTATTTATCAAATTGTATATCCTTTTATCCTTGCCAATCAACTTTATGAGGTATAATTCATATATAGTAATAGTGTAATACTGTAACTTTAAAATGTGTTACTTGTAAATTACACATAATTTAAAATGTTCCATTTTAGCTATTTTTATGTGTACAGTGACATTTAGTTCATTCCCATTGTTGTGTAACCATCACCACTATTCATTTCCAGAACTTTTTCGTCATCTTAAACAGAAGCTCTTTACCCGTTAAACATAACTTCCCCTTTCCTTTCCCTTCCCCAGTCCTGGTAACCTATACTCTACTTATTCTATCTTGGTAAATTTGCTTATGGTGAGTACCTCATATTGCTACTGAAACATCGAGGGGTTTGGTCTAGGTCCTGTTGCTCACAGCGCAGAAAGCCAATCACGGAGACGATGAGTGTTGCTAGGGAACAAGGCTTCAATTGGGTGCTGCAGCTAAGGAGATGGGAGATCAATCTCAAATTTGTCTCCTCGACTGACTAAAACCACAGGTTTATTTAGCAGGGAAGAAATGTAACCATGTATGGGAAAACAGGAGTTAGGGAAGGGTGAGGGAGAGGAGTTGGTCGACAGGAAGCAGGTAGTTGGTTAGGCAATTGTGATGGGTGAGGTGGTCTGGTGTCTTATGGTCCAGATGTGGTGATCTGGTAAGTTTCAGTTCCTTGATAACTATCTGGGAGGCCTGATGGTTGGTTTCCCAAGAAAGGAACTCAGATAAGACAAATGTAACTTTCTCAAGTTTTAAGACTGGGAGGGTCAATTTCTATCTTTATTTTAAAAGACTGTAAACATCAGTTCTATAGGACAATTGGGCTGGTTTCATTTGCAAGGTTTATCCATGTTGTAACTAACATGTGTCAGCATTTCATTCCTTTTTAAGGCTGAATAATATCCCTTTGTATGTAATATACCACAGTTTATCTTTTCATCTGTTGTTGGGCACTGGCTTGTTTATATCTTTTGGCTATTGTGAACAATGCTGCTATGAACATTAGTGTTTTCACACCTGATGGGTATGAAGTTAGTATCTCATGGGTTTGATTTGTATTTTGTGACTAGTGATGTTGAACATCTTTTTTTGTGATTGTTGGCTATTTGTATATCTTCCTTGGAGAAAGGTCTAGTCAAGTCATTTGCCAATTTTTTTTTCTTTTTTTGAGATTGAGTCTCGCTCTGTCGCCCACGCTGGAGTGCAGTGGCGTGATCTCGGCTCACTGCAACCTCTGCCTCCCAGGTTCAAGCGATCATTCCATCTCAGCCTCCCAAGTAGCTGGGATTACAGGCACCTGCCATCATGCCCAGCAATTTTTGTATTTTTGTAGAGACGAGGTTTCACCGTGTTGGCCAGATGGTCTTGAACTCCTGACCTCAGGTGATCCACCCGCTTTGGCCCCCCAAAGTGCTGGGATTATAGGTGTGAGCCACCGCACCCAGCTGGTAGATTTTTTGTTTTGTTTTGTTTTCAAGAAGGCCTCTCAGTGGCTTACCTCTGTGCCATGCTTTGGAGTTTGAGCTGTCTTCTCTTTACTAACTGTAGCTCTGTAGGACTTGGGAGTCAACCTTACCTTCTTTTTTCCTCCCTATTTTGTAGGTCTTGTTTGAGTTAGCTTTTCTTTTTATTCCAGGCCTGTAAATTTTACTAGATTGTCTCTAGGAATTTCATTTTACTAATTTGCTTCAGCCTGCCTGCCTGCCATCTCTTTTTACTAATTTGCTTCTGCCTGCCTGCCTGCTTCCTTCCTTCCTTCTTTCCTTCCTTCCTTCCTTAATTCCTTCCTTCCTTCCTTCCTTCTTCCCTTCCTCTCTCTCTCCCTCCCTCCCGTCCCTTCCTTCCCCCCTCCCGTCCCTTCCTTCCCTTCTTTTCTTTCCATTTATTTTGAGATAGAGTCTTGCTCTGTTGCCCAGGCTGGAGTGCAGTGGCGCAATCTTGGCTCACTGCAACCTCCGCCTCCCGGGTTCAAGCAGTTCTCCTGCCTTAGCCTCATAAGTAGCTGGGATTACAGTTGTACGCCACCATGCCCAGCTTATTTTTGTATTTTTAGTTTAGAGATGGGTTTTCACCATGTTGGCCAGGCTGGTCTCGAACTCCTGACCTCATGTGATCCTCCCGCCTTGGCTTCCCAAAGTGCTGGGATTACAGGTGTGAGCCACAATGCCCAGCCTCCTCACCCCTCCTTTAGCTATTATATTACTTCCTAGATTTCTTCCTCTCTATTTCACCCTTTTTCTGTTCCTGAAACCCCTACAGGATGGGTGTGGGAGTTTGTGTCTCATGACTCTTCTTTCAAATTTTCTTTTGCTTTCTCACTTTCTCTTGTTTATTGAGATATAATTCACATACCATAAAATTCACCATTTTAATGTGTACAGTTCAGTAGGTGTCAGTATATTGAAAACTGTTCAACCATTGCCACTATCTAATTTGAGAACAGTTTTCTCACCCAGTGAAACCCAGTACCCATTCTTCTCCAACCCCTGGCAACAACTAATCTACTTCTTGTCAGCTGATTTGCTATTCTTGATATTTCATATAAATGGAATCATACAGTGTGTGGCCTTTTGTGTCTAGCTTCTGTCATTTAGCATAATGTTTTCAAGGTTCCTCCGTATGGTGGAATGTGTGAGTACTTCATTCTTTTTCTAGCTGAATAATCTTTGTATGGCTATTCCACATTTTGCTTATGTGGTCTTGATGGACATTTGGGGTTGTTTCCACATTTGGCTATTATGAATAATGGTGCTCTGAACATTTGTCCACAGGGTTTTGTGTGAACATATACGTTTTTATTTCTCCTACAGTGGTGAGATTGCTGGATAAAATGGTAACTCTGTGTTGAACCTTTTGAAGAACTGCCAAAGTCTCTTTGTTAAACTTTTATTTTAGGTTCAGGGGTACACATGCAGGTTTGTTATATAGGTGAACTCATGTTATGGGGGTTTGTTGTATGAATTATTTGGTCACCCAGGCACTAAGCTTGGTAAGGACCAATTGTTATTTTTTCTGATCCTCTCCCTCCTCCCACCCTCCACCCTAAATAGGCCCCCGTGTCGATTGTTCCCTCTTTGTGTCCATGCAAACTTTCTTCTTTTATTGCTCTTCCTTGACTTTATCTTTGAGCTCTCAAACTTGATATTTATCCCCACTCATTTTATTATTTAGGATTTCCAGTTAATTTTTTAATTTCAACAATCATATTTGAAAGTTTTTGTTCATTTTCTTTTTCTCTGATTGGTCCTTTTTCCTAGCTGCCTATATTTGGTATATAATATACTTTTGAATTTGAGGATAAATATTAGGATTATAAAAATCCTCATCTTGGAGCAGAATTTAGAATTAAATATTGTTATTAATATTTAAGGCTAAACATTAGGATTATATAATATAAGCCTGGAACCTGGACTTTGAAAAAAAGGGAACAAAATTAGGATTATGAACATTGTATTCTTATCTCTTGAACTTGCAGGTCACTTCTTTTTCATCATGGTCCTGCTTTTTAATGCTGTTTATTTCTCAAATGCCTGGTGATCTCTGGTTCTTCATTTATATTATGAATAAATGATTAAATTGATTGGTATAGAAGTTGGCAATATGAGTTTCCTTTATTCTTGCCTAAGTCTCTTTCTCCAATAGCTTCTCCTTTAAAGAAAGGGCTGGTATGTGGGTAGGTGAGGCCTGTTGACTGGTTGACTTTAATTTGGGATTCCAGCTGGCTGAAGATCAGTAGGCAGGCTGGAGGCCTCTGCAATTGCCAGGGTGGGTTTTTCTTTGCAGTGGAGCTGGCTTTCCTCATTTATTCCCTTCCCCGCTTCGGTATCTGGAGGACCACAGTTGCTGCTTCCCACATCCATCCATCCAGTGAGCAAGGTGGATTGCTCACTGTAGGAATGATTTTCCACATTTACTCAGGAGGCCAGGGCTGCAGGGTTTATTCTGTGTACCAGGGAAGGGAGATGGAAAAGAGACAGGACCTGATTGGCTCTGCTGTTCCTTGTACAAGGACACAATTTTTCCTTGTGCAGTTGTTTAATCTGATTATTGTCCTGTGGCTCATTCTTTCTTTTTGTCTTTGTTTATTCCAAGTCCCTGAGGCTTCCTTGGGAACGTCTGTCTACCTGTGGTTCTTAGACAGGGGATTCCTTTGTTGATTCTCTGTCAGTCTTAATTCTATTTGTGCATGTCATCTGAGATTTTCTCAAACTTTCTAGTCCACTTTTAGCCCTCCTTTTTGTTTCCAATTATCATTTAATAAAAAGAGCTTGTATTTTAGAGACTCTGGAGGGTTCAGAAAAGTGAGTGTCAAGTGTTCAGTGTGCAATCATTAAAGACAGAGAATATCTCATAAGTTTGCATCTGTGTTACTTACACGATTGTGATTTACGGATGCTTTATTTCTTTCCCTTTCCCTTTTATTTTTCCTTTTGTTTCTTTTATGTATTTATTATTATTATTATTTTTAGAGACTCACTCTAAAAAAAAATAGGGTCTCACTGTGTTCCCCAGACTGGAATGGGACTACAGGTACATGCCACCATGCCTGGCTAAATTAAATTTTTTTTTTTTTTTTTTTTTTTTTTTAGAGACAGGGTCTCACTTTGTTGGCCAGGCTGGTCTTGAACTCCTGGCCTTAGTGATCCTTCCATCTTGTCCTCCTAAAGTGCTGGGGATTACAGGTGTGAACCACTGTACCTGGCCAAAGTTTTTATTTTTTAATATGATGTATAAGGTTTAGAAGTGCTTTATTTTATTTATTTATTTATTTTTGAGACGGAGTCTCACTCTGTTGCCCAGGCTGGAGTGCAGTGGCACGATCTCGGCTCACTGAAACCTCCACCTCCTGGGTTCAAGCGATTCTCCTGCCTCAGCCTCCCAAGTAGCTGGGATTACAGGCGCCCACCACCACGCCTGACTAATTTTTGTATTTTTTAGTAGAGATGGCATTTCACCATGTTGGCCAGGCTGGTTTTGAACTTCTGACCTCAAGTAATCAGCCTGCCCTGGACTCCCAAAGTGCTGGGATTACAGGCGTGAGCCACCATGCCCAGGAGAAGTGCTTTTAACTCCACACGTGTTTAGGTTTTTTGGTTTGTATTTGTTATTTTTACTTTTTTCCTTTTACTACATCAAAATGAGTCCTTTATAATTTCTGCCCTAGGGAATTCTAATAATTTTTCTTTGTGGTCCAATATAAAATCATTTTTAATGTATGCCATGAATGTAGTCAACTATTGATAATAATGTAGTACTAGTAGTTTGCTCAGTCAGCACAAATTGTCAGGACACAGTGGTAATTTCTGCATGTGGATTATCTCCTGATTCTTAGAACAACATGAAACCAGGCTCATGAAAGATGAGTAATTATCCCAGGGTACTGTCTCCCTCACCTCCAATGGTGGGCCAGAGCTAGGTCCAAGACTTTGAATTCTAGAGTGTTAGACACCATCCTATGCAGCCTCCCACTGAGTAAGGGTGGTCACTGTTTGTAGGGTGTAGAGTTTGATAGATACGTCTGTTACTTTGACTTCATTAGTTTTATTTAGAATGCTTGAATGTGTGAATGTATTGATTAATATATTCGTTATTGCCTTCTCTCTGTGCTTGGAAGAGAAGAAAATTGAAGTTTACCACTACCATGGGTTTACTTTGCGTGCTTTGTTATTTGGTGTATAAAGATTCACATCTTAGATCTTCTGTAGGTCATATGGTGTTTCGTTTAAAGGGAATCTTCTTCTGAAGAGTTTAGCCTTGAATTCTGCTGAGATTTACATTGGCAATCCTGTTTGCATTTTGTTTGCCTTGGACAGCCATACTTTTATGCACTCCTTTCCTACTAATGTGTTTATTTTGCTTTTGATGTTGATATATTTGTTCAACCAACATTTTTAGATGCCCGAGTGCGCTCCAAGCACTGTCTAGGTGTCACAGTGGCGATTGGGATACAGTCCTGCCTTCATGGATCTTCTGGGCTGGTCGAGGAGACAGACAATAAACCAGTCAATGAATGAATAAGTAACTGCAAAATTTTAGTTCTGCTCTAATGTGGTAGCCATTCACTTCATGGGGGTTATTTAAATTAGTTAAATTAATAGTAGCTTACTCATTCAGCATGTATTGTCGGACACAATGGTACTTTCTGCACATGGATTATCTCCTTTGATTCTTTTAACAACATGCGGTATGTATTGTTATCGGTCCTACTTACGAGGTAACCAGGACTAGGCACATGAAAGATGAGTAATTACCCCAGGGCACTGTCTCCCTCACCCTCAACTGTGGGGGTAATTTTTAAAATAAAAATTAAGGCCAAATACAGTGGCTCACGCCTATAATCCCAGCACTTTGGGAGGCTGAGGTGGGCAGATCAGTTGAGCTCAGGAGTTCAAGACCAGCCTGGACAACATGGTGAAACCCTGTTTTTACTAAAAATACAAAAATTAGCCAGGTGTGGTGACACACACCTACAGTCCCGGCTACTTGGGAGGCTGAATTGGGAGGATTACTTGAGCCCGGGAGGCATTGCAGTGAGCGGAGACTGCGCCACTGCTCTCTAGCTTGGATGACCCTGTCTTCCAAAAAAAAAAAAAAAAATTAATTTGAATAAAATTTGTTGTTCCTCACTTGCATGTGTCATATATTATGTGCTTGATAGTCATGTGTCTAGTGGATACTGGATTGAACAGTGCAGATGTGGGACATTTGTCAGTGCACGAAGGTTTGGTAGACAGTGGTGCCTTAGATGCCGTCATGGAGATGGGTTGGTTCTGAGGTACAGTGTCAAGTCACTGGGGGCACCTGGAGTGGTGACCTGAGAAAACCTGAATTTTGAGAAGGAACCTGTACTGTGAGGGTGTTGTCTATGGGGCATGTGGTACTTGTATTTAGGATTTTGGTAAAAAGTGACTATTCATAAGCTATTTAAAGTTTCTATTTTAAAAGTATAGGGTTTTTAGGTAGTGTGTTTTCTTTTGTTCTAATAGGAATTGTTTTGGTCATATTAGGGAAAATAATTGGCTTGTTGATACATTTTTATTTCCATTGATTAAATCTGGTAGCCATTATTTACTTTTATAGATTGAAAAATGGTTCAGTGTTTCAAAAGTATTTTGAGCTTGTCTTTGAAAAGAGATAGACAGGCAGGTGCAGTGGCTCAGACCTGTAATCGCAGCAGTTTGGGAGGCTGAGATGGGAGGATTGTTTGTCAGGAGCTCAAGGCCAGCCTGGGCATCATAGCGAGACCCCATCTCTACAAAAAGTAAAAAAATTAGCTGAGCGTGGTGGTGCACGCCTGTAGTCCCAGCTACTTGGGGGGTTGTGGTGGGAGGATGGCTTTTCCAATTATCCTACAGATATTTTTCAAAATGATTACTTTTAAACTATAATCTTTTTATTCAGAGGTAGGATGCTAGTTCTACAATTGCCTAGGTCTTCTTTAATTTGTATATGTTAAGAAATTTTAATGGGCAATTTAATAAGTGTTGAAATTTCTAAGAATTATTTCTGTATGTTAGAGTTGTGATAACGCAGACATTTTCCCTGAAGTACTTCTCTGAGTCTGATTTGTTTTCCTCCATGGGTGCCACATAGGTTTCTTTTAAGAAGGTAAAAAATAAAAGCTGACTAAGGTACATATTGATTATTCCAGACAACATGCAGACATCACTCAATGAGTGCAGTTCTCATCAACTCACCATTTGTTTCAATTAGAAAAAATTCTCATCAAAACTAATTTTTCTGCATGAAATACCTTTTCAAATCACACTGAATGTGATTTATTAATTGTGATTTATCAAATTCAGTTTTCTGCTGGATACTAAAGGCACACCTCATTAAGACTAGTGATTATGGAAATAGTACAATATTTTAGAAACTTTTGATTGTAAAAATTTCTTTTAAAATGAATACATACAGATATGTTATTGTTCAGATATTTAACACTTACGTAGAAACTCACTGATCTACTAACAAGTAGAAAAGAGACCTTTAGCCAAATGCCTCTGTACTCAGCAATAAAATGATTAATTACTGTGTTGCTCTTTTCTCTGGTTAAGGCTTTTAACAAATTTTGTTTTTCCTTTTACTATTACACCATAACTTGTTTAAATTTTGTTGCTGTTGCAGAATTACAGCAGACATTACAGTTCATGTCTCCCTGTGTATACGAGGGAGAGTTTCTCTGGGCTGTGTACATGGGGGAGTGTGGGCCTGACCTGTCACATTCAATTTTTATTTCACAGTCTTATATCTAATGCTCATCATTGCATAATGTAACTAGCTGGGGTTAGTTTCCTCAGTCCCTGACTCTTCTCTTCAGAGCCTGTTTTCTCTCCGTTTACAGATGGGCCAAGGTTGCTCGGGTGATTGGTTTACTGGCTTCGCACAAAACTGATCTCCAGGAAAATACACCTGTTGTTGAGGTAATGTCTTTTATGACTGAAATGTGATGAATGACAAGAAATACTGTTGTTGATTCTGTAATTTAGAACATGTGGCTTTCCTTGACCTTCACTTGACTTTTCTTTGTGGGATTGTGGAAATTGTTCAAAAACTTATCACCTCAACAGACCTTTAGGCTTAAACATAGCGGCTCATTTACAATGTAGTCCATCATTAAAATGGCACAGCAGAGTTAACAAGGCTCGTGAACCCTACTCATCATTATTTCATTTGTTTTTGAATAAGACTTGTTCATTTCCCGTTTTCTTGTAGTCTGTCCAACATTTTGTTACAGCTAATGTATTTCCTAATTAAATCATAGCTTATAATTCAAAATTCAAATTCTTCTGGCTTTTAGTGTTTTCGTATGAAAGATTACTTTCTACCTATTCTGTTAATGTATATTACACTTTATTGGTAATAGAGTGTTATACCTTGAACTGGGAGAGGCTCAAGAGTCAGTGTAGGTGAAAAGAACCAAGGCTTTTTAGGGGAAATAGCAAGAGGTCCTGAAGGAAGTTAAAAAGGGTAAGGGAGAGAGGATTTTGTAGAGCTGAAGCTGGTTGTGTGGTATTTGGGGCTTTAAGAGGAATTGGAAAACTTTCTATGTCTGTGTTGTCCACTATAGTAGCCAATTGGTATTTGGAGCCTCAAGAGGAATTGGAAACTTTTCTCTCTGTGCCATTCACTGCAGTAGCCAATTGCTGGGATAGTATACCAGCTGGCCTTACAGTGTCTGGGTGGAGATTAATATAATTTCACTGTATTTCCCTTGCTTACAATTACATCTCTATTTCCTGCAAACTGTTGGATCTCTGAGCTACTAGTAAAATGCCACTAAGTCTAATTGTTTCCTTTTTTGGGGGGCCTAAAATAAATGAATTGTGACCTGTGTGATTACTGATGGTACCCAACTTGGTTCTCAGAGATGTGTCGAGTAGATTTTTATCTAAAAGATTGAGCATATAGGGCAGTATTACCAGGAAGATGAGAAGGCTTAGGATCTTAAAAATGGGGGTTCCTTCTGATGGCTCAGAGCAAAAGGTCTCCAGTGAGATGGAGTAGCTGTAGAAGATGGGAGAGAACATAAAGTCCAAGACAAAGTCCCAAGATTTTAGAGGATATTCATGCATCGTCAGAGCAGGCATTTGTTGCTCAGAAGCTGTGAAGAAAGAGCCTCTGAATATGTAAAATATGACTGTTGAATTAAATGATTCAGTAGTTGCAGTAGATTATGGATACTTTAGGAAGCTGAGTTAGTGAATTTGAAGATCAGTTGGATGAATTCTCTTAGGATTCAGAAAGAAAGAGGATAAAGATTGTGAATTAAAAAGGCATGGATGATAGTTTCAGATGTGTTCCACTATCCAGTATAGTAGCCACCAGCCACTGTGGCTATTGAGTGCTTGAAGAACAGCTAGTCTGAATTGAGATGATCAACTTATAGAAAAGAATACTATGGGCACCCTGTAATTTCCAAACCCCTTGTTCTACTTGATCTTTTTCACAGCATATATCACCACCTGGCATTTTATGTATTTATTTCTCTTTCCATACTAGACTACAAGCTCCATTGGAACAGGGATTGTGAATTGTCTTGTTCAACACTCCACCCCCGTGCCTAGACAGTGTCTTGTGTATATCTAGATACTGACAAATATTTTGAAATAAGTGAATGAAAGTGTATCAGTATGCTTGGGACTCCCTGTAGCAGTGCCTGGAAGATGGTATGTTTTGCTGCTGCAGGAATTCTCAAGGGACTGGGCAGAGGGCATGTGAAGTAATCTGGGACCTGCTTGTCACCCTGGGTGATGTGCTGCCCTTGTTCTACTGGTACTTGCTGTTGCGGCTGCTGCACTCCCACTTGGAGAGTTTGGCCCAGCAGTTCCTGGACCATATTTGTTACTTGTGCTCACTCAGGTTGAGTTCTGTGGCCAGTTTGTATTCTCAAAGTATTTCTGCTACTCCAGTTATACTTTGTCAACGTTGTATTCCTGGTCCTGCCTCAACTGAGAGGAAAGGGTGGGTGTTAATTCCCGAGGTTCTTGTATCTTTGATTCCGGTACTGTTCTCTTCATGGGTGTTTGCTGATGCTTTATTAATTTGAAATGCAAGACCTTAGGGAAAATCATACTTATTTCATTTAAAAAATGGTGTGTACTGAACTATCTGGTGAACTGTTTTGAATTACACACACTGTATTGTGAACTACATTTGGTTGGATAGTAGGGAGCTTATATAATAACTTGAAATTGAGCCAGGTGCTCCTTTGTGATGCCATCTTAATTTTATTATTTCTCCACACCTTTTAGTTCTTTAGTTCGTTACTTTTAATGGCAAAATCTGTGAATTTCTTTTACATCAACCTATTTCCTGCTGTGAGCAATTGGCTGTGATAATTTAAGGAGCCACTAGAGGTCATTCAAGCACTAGAAAAAAAGTTGTGCAAGTTTTAAGAATTTGTTTCAACTTCTGGAAGCAGGATCTGTAGAGGCTGAGCAGGTACATGGTACCACGTTTCATCTTTTTCCTGGTTTTTTAGAAGTTTCTGCTACAGGATGTGTGGCTCCATTCCACTGGTGATTTTTACCATTTGAGAGGAATCAGATGAATGAAAACCATTATAGCCTCTCCAGAAAAATGCAGTCAGCACCTAGCACATGATTTCAGGGGATCTGAAAACTCTGCGGAGTCCACTGGTGAATCTTTGGTTCATAACTCCTGAGACCAGGTTTCTGTAAAACTCACAATTGGGTGCTTGTAGATAATTTTTCAGTAATCAGTAACAAAATTTCAAGTGTAAGATAAATCCTGAATTCTCTATTAGATTTACTATCAGTGAACAAGAAAAATTGTGGTTGAAGTTCCTGTAAGCATTTTATTTTTTATTTTACTTATTTATTCATTTATTTTTTGAGACAGAGTCTCGCTCTGTTGCCCAGGCTGTAGTGCAGTGGTGTGATCTCGGCTCACTGCAACCTCTGTTTCCCAGGTTCAAGAGATTCTCAGCCTCAGCCCCAGCCCCACAAGTAGCTGGGACTGCAGGTTCATGCCACCATGCCCCGCTAACTTTTGTATTTTTAGTAGAGACAGGGTTTCACCATATTGGCCAGGCTGGTCTTGAACTCCTGGCTTCAAGTGATCCACTTGCCTTGGCCTCCCAAAGTGCTGGGATTACAGGTGTGAGCCACTGCACCAGCCTGGTACTTTCTAATATTTTGGATGCTTTCTTACTTGCTAAGCACTTTCTCTTACCTGGAATGTTTTTTACATTACCCCCTCCCCCAGTGATCTAATTTCTACTTTCTCTTTAAAGCCCAGCTAACATTCCATTTTCTCCATCAGGCCTTCCCTAACAGTCCCAGAACTCCTACATTGCCTGGTGTGCTGACCTAAAGCCCTCATTAAGACCAGTAACAAATCAAGCCTATCTTATCAACTGACAACACATTCTGGAACCATGGCGTGTCCATGGATAAGACATGAAGTCCTTCTTTCAAGACTTGGTTTTCTGGTCCTGGAAAATACCAATATGGATAAAAGACCTTCAAAGCTGCTACGATGGGTAAGGAACAATGCACACAGTATACCATTAAGGCAAAGAAGATAGTCTTAATCCTGTATGAAATGCCAATGAAGATGTAATTAATGAATAGACATTTCATTGAAATGAAATCAAAAGACATTTTCCTTCTCTGACATAACAGAGTAGAACTCTCTAGTAAGAACACAAAACTGACCAGCCTGACCAATGTGATAAAACCCCCTGTCTCTACTAAAAAGACAAAAATTAGCCATGCATGGTAGCAGATGCTTGTAATCCCAGCTACTCAAGAGGCTCAGGCATGAGAATCTCTTGAACCCAAAAGGTGGAGGCTGCAGTGAGTCGAGATCGCACAACTGCACTTCACCCTGGGCGACAAAGCAAGACTTTGTTTTTTAAAAAAAAGAAGAAGAAGAGAAAAAGAAAAAGAACACAAAACTCTGGTTACTGCTCTATGAGAATTAAGTGAATGTGAAGGAGAAGTTGGAATAATATTACAAGTTGGTGAAATATTGGAATTCTGGTCTGTTGGTGATTGGTCTTCATCTTTCCTATAAGAGATAGCTCATTACACAATGTATTCTCATTTGTCTGAACGGGATTATTTCCCTTAAGGCGATGGCCTCTTCTGCATCTTTATGTCTCTAATGTCTAGCATGGGAACTACTCAATATATATTTCAGGTTGTTGACAATGATTGCTGCTGTCTATTCCATCTAGGTAAGGGTTTTTGCATTCAAAAGGCCCTTTGCCTTAAGACCTAAAGAGGTTTTGGAACATCAGCAAGCATCCATCTCGAGGTAAATAACTGGAATCCCAATGGGCTGTGTGTGTGTGTCTGTGTGTGTGTGTGTGCGTGCTAACTGGAATCCCAGTGGGGTTTGTGTGTGTGTGTGTGTGTGTGTGTGTGTGTGCTAAATGGAATCCCAATGGGGTTTTGTGTGTGTGTGTGTGTGTGCGCTCATGCCTGCATACACATGCGTGCACTTCTGGTACATTTTGAACAGGCATCAGATTATGTTCCCACAGCCCCTCTTCATCAAAATGAAGACCTTGTACGTCTGAAATACAGTTTGTGAAAGTCAAATTGTTATCCCTGTGACATAGAACAGCCGTTAAAAATGTATTTCACTGGAATGTCATTCTAAATGAATATTTTTAAATAGATATCCAAAAATAAGAAAATACAGTGATTTTAGTGTAATAAAACTGATTTCACAATTGTTTCAAGAAACTCGGAAAATAAAACTTCAAACTGGAAAAATGTGGCCATAAGAATGCATGGAGCCGGACGCGGTGGCTCATGCCTGTAATCCCAGCACTTTGGGAGGCCGAGGCGGACAGATCACGAGGTCAGGAGATCGAGACCATCTTGGCTAACACGAGGAAACCGCGTCTCTACTAAAAAATACAAAAAATTAGCTGGGCGTGGTGGTGGGCGCCTGTAGTCCCAGCTACTCGGGAGGCTGAGGCAGGAGAATGGCGTGAACCTGGGAGGCGGAGCTTGCAGTGAGCCGAGATTGAGCCACCGCACTCCAGCCTGGGCAAAAGAGGAAGACTCCGTCTCAAAAAAAACAAAAACAAAAACAAAAAAAGAATGCATGGAGTTAGTTCATTCTTCTCGCCCCCTGGAACTTCTGATCAAAAGTCAATACCTTTGTGACCTACAAGTCTCTTTATTTGCCCTCCATTATAGACTGAGCTGTTAATAACATTTAATGAGCTCACATGGATTCACTGGCTAATAAAGAAGAATAGAGTTGAGGACATTGCTGCCCTGTTTATGCCCAAAAATTACCCTAAACTGAAAGTTGCTTTGTGTTCCTTCACTCCCCTCTGCTGGTAAATTTTAATATAGTTCTTAATTTTTTTAAGTCAAATTGATAGAAACATCAATTGTGTTTTTAAAACTGTAAGAAAAAATAATGTTGAACATCACAAAAATGTACTCAATCTTTCCCAAAACCCATTTCTTTCCAGTTAGTTTTCATAACTGTAGGTTCTTAAAAAAAAAAAAATGAACACTTTGGCCGGGTGCGATGGCTCATGCCTGTAATCCCAGCACTTTGGGAGGCCGAGGCGGGTGGATCACGAGGTCAGGAGATCGAGACCATCCTGGCTAACATGGTGAAACCCCGTCTCTACTAAGCCAAAATACAAAAAATCAGCCAGGCGTGGTGGCGGGCGCCTGTAGTCCCAGCTACTCGGGAGGTTGAGGCAGGAGAATGTTGTGAACCCGGGAGGCGGAGCTTGCAGTGAGCCAAGATCACGCCACTGCACTCCAGCGTGGGTGACAGAGCAAGACTCCGTCTCAAAAAAAAAAAAAAAAAATGAACATGTCATCCATACTTCTAAGGTGTTGTAAAGATGTGTAAAGTTTTCACTTTTTGCATCATATTCACATGTGGCTATATGCCCTTTTCTCTTCAAAGTTTTCTTTATCTTGATTACTTATCAGAGGCTTGACTGTTTTATTATCTCAGTCTTTTGAAAGAATCCTCCTTCAGTTTTATTTTTTAAATCTAGTGGTTTTTCTTTTTCCTTTTTCCTTATGTCTTAATTATTTCCCCCTTTTTGTTTGTTTTGCTTTTCCCAGTTTAGTGGATCAATGTAATTTAAATTGCTTTTTAAACAAACATGTAAGGGTATACATTTTCGTTGGGTGCTGTTTGACTTTGTTGCACAAGTTTTAAAATCTATTTTTTAATAGTTTGTATTTTCTAAATTATTTTATTACAACTTTTGTTCACATTGCTCTTACTATTAATTTTTTATTTTTATTAATTAATTAATTAATTTATTTATTTATTGAGATGGAGTCTTGCTCTGTAGCCAGGCTGGAGTGCAGCGGCATGATCTTGGCTCACTGCAAGCTCCACCTCGGGGGTTCATGTCATTCTCCTGCCTCAGCCTCCCAAGTAGCTGAGACTACAGTTGCCTGCCACCACATCCGGCCTTTTTTGTATTTTTAGTAGAGATGGGATTTCACCGTGTTAGCCAGGATGGTCTCGATCTCCTGACCTCATGATCCACCCACCTTGGGCTCTCAAAGTCCTGGAATTACAGGCATGAGCCACTGCACCCGGCCCAAAAGCTTTGTGTTTTTACAGATATTAGACATGTTTCTTGTTTAAGAAAAAAAAATCTTAATGAAAACGTAGGAGAATAAAAGAAACATTTTTCCAAAAAAGAGAAATCATTGTGATTATTTTATCTTATTAGAATGTTGGATAATATAGTCTGCTTCATTAATCATCAAGCATGCTATGCATTTTCCATTTTTATAGGATCTGTATCTCAGTTAAGGTAATACTGGTAATTTTTGTACTGTAATCAAAGATGAAGAATATAGGCCAAAATCATAGACCTTGCATAGAAGCTGGATAATGAAGACAGCTATGGAGAAAAACATAGATACACACACACGGACACACATATATATAAAGTATACACACATATATTTTTTAAAGTTTTAAAGCTTTTAAAGCAAAAGCCGGCCCCTCTTCTCTTCCAGAGTGGGAGGCCTCTCCCCTCTCTTAGAGTGGGTGGGGAGAGCAGTTGCCATGGGCAGCTTTCCTTGTGAGCCACAGGTCCCTCTGGACACACTGCTTTCTGGCCACGCCCCCTTTCCTTTTCATCTTTCTCATTGACCAATGGGCTTGGAGCATTAAGGCCACGCCCCTATTCCGCATTCTACTGGGGCCCTGGTTACGCCTCCTCTGGCTCAGTCACACAGCTGCCTGGTAGGTGACTGGAGGCCTTGATCGGTTCTCATTGAGATTTTGCTGCTGTGACCCCAACCCTGCCTCCCTCCCCACCCTGTGATGGCAGAAGAAACTCAACACAACAAATTGGCTGCAGCCAAGAAAAAGGTAAAAACGCACTAGGTCATAGCCCCTCAACCCAGCCACAGATCCCCTCTGATGACAAGACCCCTGCCAGAGTCTATACGACTCCTGAGGCACACTGGACTGGTCCCCCCTACCCCGGTGCCTCTGGGCTACCCCCACCAAAGTTTTGTCAGTCAGCCCCACCCCTTCAGCAAGCAGCCCAGTCCTTGCCCTCGCCAATCACCCCAGGGTGACTTTGGGTGGGTGAGTCCTGGGGCTTCCCGCTCCATTACTGGGCCCTCATCTCCTGCCGCCCCAAGCTTGATCTCCCTGGGCTCTTTGGGCTCTCATCTCCAAGGAGCCAGGCCCCACCCTCGCCAGTCATCCCTGGGTGACTTTGGACTGGTGACTCCTGGGACTCCCTGCTGCAGACTGTGCCCTCCCCTCCTGCTGCCTCAAGGTCGACCTCCCTGGGTTCTTTGTGCTGGCGTCTCCAAGGAGCTGGGTCCCAACCCTGTGCTTCCCTCCCCCATCGTGGAGCAGCGACTTGGACATGGTGCTGACATGGTCCCTCCCCCCGACCAGGAGGAGTGGAATGTTGTGATGTCACAGTCCACCTAGTAACTGCTGTTACTGCAAGACTGGCCTTTGATCTTACGACCCAGTCCCCTAAGCGTTCTCACCCCGTTTCTGGTTCCTCTGGTCACAGCACAAATTTCCAGCTGGAAGGGGAATGGAGACTATGGGACCTAGGAGCAAGAGGTTCCAGGCTGCCTCACTCCCTTACAGATGTTGACGGTGGGAAAAGCCTACACTTCCCCCATGAACTCAAAACGTTGACAGTATCTCTGGGTGGCAATGAGAGAATGGGTTTGGTTTGGTTTTCTCCCAGGCTTCTACTTTCCAGAGAGATTTTAACATTTTTTTCTGAGTTCTCCACCTCATATTCTAATTCTCCATGGTTCTGGGACCAGACTCTCCTTCAGTCAGTGGTCTCTGAAGTGACATTTGCTCATCTTCTGTGGAATAGATCTTGGGAAACTGAACTTGACACCTTGAATCTTCCTCATATTATCTCAACCTTGGGTACTTTGAGTGCCACAGGATAAATATGGGACATCTTTCTGAAGCATCAGTTTCCCTTGATTCTCTTGAGATCAAGAGAAAAAACATGAATGTACTTAGGGATGACAGTCACATAGGTTTCTAAGAGTATACCAGACCTCTCTCTGAAATGAGGCTTGGGTTGTCCTCTTTCTGATAAATTCTGATTTAAGAGAAAGGCTGCCTTCTGCCATGAGGACACATTGATATAAGAGTTTGAGAGGTACTGGTGCACTTCTTCACACTAACAGACGTGTGAGGATGTGTGACTCTAAACCACATGGCATACAGTTCCTGCCTACTTAATGTTTACTTTTCTACCTCTGCCTCTGGTTTTGGTCCCTGGCAGCTGCTGATTCTTGGCAAAACCTCAGAGCTTGGAGTCAGAAGACTGAGTTTCAAAGTTCCAGTATTGCCTTTTTCTTTTTTTTTTCTAGCCATGATATCAATCCTTCTCAGTCACTAAATGAGTGTGACAACACCTTGTACAGTTGTTGGTGTCATTAAATCAGATGGTGTGTAAGTGTATTTTGTAAAAACTGTAAAGGAGGATGTGGCTGTAGGGGCTGACGGTTCTCATGAGTATTACTGCTCTTCTTTCCAACAGTTAAAAGAATATTGGCAGAAAAACAGCCCTAGAGTTCCAGCAGGAGCGAACAGGAACAGGAAAACAAATGGCAGTATCCCTGAGAAAGCCACTTCTGGTGGTTGCCAGCCACCTAGGGATGTGAGTCTTGGCTGACCAGGCTTCTGGGGACAGGGGGCCCAAGGGGCAATAGAGGGTAATTCTTAAGATTGTGGATGGACTGCTGGGTACTGGTTAAGAATTCTGGCTTTAGCCGGGTGTGGTGGCCCACGCCTGTAATCCTAGCACTTTGGGAGGCCAAGGCAGGCGGATCATGAGGTCAGGAGATCGAGACCATCCTGGTTAACACGGTGAAACCCTGTCTCTACTAAAAATACAAAAACATTAGCCAAGCGTGGTGGCGTGTGCCTGTAGTCCCAGCTACTCAGAAGGCTGAGGCAAGAGAATGGTGTGAACCTGGGAGGTGGAGCTTGCAGTAGCCAAGATTATGCCACTGCACTCCAGCCTGGTGACAGAGCAAGACTCTGTCTCAAAGAAAAAAAAAAAAAAAGGAATTCTGGGTTTGAATCCTGCCTCTCCATCTGCTCTGCTAGGGATATGATTTAGGGCAAGTTGCTAGACCTCATCGGGCCTCTCTTTTCACATCTGTATAATAGAGGTGTTATTGTTTCACTTCCATTTGTGAAGTTTAAATGAGATTTGTTATTGTTGTTTTTATGTTAATCCCTAGTACATGGCCTGCTGTAAACACTCAGAACACCCAGGATATGGTTTGATTTTCCTCATCCCCAGTCTCAGGGGGAAACCAGGACAATGAGAACAGCCACTTGCCATCAGGAGTCACTGAAGGGGCCCCAGGATGGGATGGTGGGGAGATAAGAACCATGAGAGAAGTTGGCACAAAGGAGTTATGGGACAAAAGGTCCAAGATAGGCAGAAAAGAAAATGTTGCCAGTTGATGGGGAAGAAAGGAAGTCAGAGGGCTCAGACACTGTGGGGGACAGAACATCTCCATGTGCACTCTCATCTCTTGTAGTCAGCAACAGGTTTCCACAGGGAAGGCCCTACATCATCTGCTACCCTGAAAGATCTGGAGGTAAGAGGCTCTGGGCGGAGGTGCAGTGACCCTTCGGGTCAACCCTCCAACCTCCTCCTCCAGGTGGGACTGGGTGCCCCTCTGCCAGCTGAGACAGCCCACACACCCCAGCCCTAATGATTGTTCTCTCTACCTCTCCCCCCACTCCTGCTCCACCTCCTCCTCTCTGCATGCACCTCAGAGCCCGTGCCAAGAACGAGCAGTAGTCCTGGATTCAAGGTCCGTAGAAATCAGTCAACTGAAGAACACCATCAAATCTCTGGTAAGAGTCCACTGGGGTCCCCTGATTCCACGCTGCCAATCCTGGGCTCCAGTTTCCCCTTGGGGCCCTGAAGAAAGGGGCTGGGGGTCCCTGGTGCCTGGGACAAATAGGGAGCTTGGGTGCCCAGGCCTCACCTGGAGGGACCCCAGAGCATGCAGCATGGCTCTTCTTTTGCTGCCCTCTTTGCCGACTCTCTCCTCTCCAGACACCCCTGCTCGAGTCCTTGCTACACACGCCCTGGGGTTGTTGCCTCTTGGGGAAGTGCTAGCCTGACTGGTTGTCAAGGGCCCCGTATTTCTGCCATGACTCAGTCCCTAATTTGCTCTTTGATTCTGGACAAGCCACCTCTCCTTTTTGGGCTCGTGTTTCCAGAGGAGGTAGTGAGTATCAAAGGTCTCTGTTAGCTCTCGAGTCTGAGATTTAAAGGCCCCCTAGAACGGAAACCTCAGGGCTAAGGGCTCCTGTCTGTCCTTTTCCATCCTATATCTGCTGTAAAGAACCGTACCTGGCCCATACATGCTCAGTAAATGTTTATTGAATGAACCCACTTCTCTAAATCACAAGCTGCCAGAAGGAGGGGCCTTTCTGAAACTCCATCTCTAGAGGTTTATATTGCTGTCCTCTCAAGAGATTCCAGATTCAGACTTTGAGTTCTGTGGCTGTGGGCAAAAGCCAACAAAGACCCAAATCCTCTGTCCTTGGGAGCTTGAGGAGAGTTTACCGGTTCGTGTTCCCATTATGTCTGAGAACTTTGCCTTTAAAATCCATTCCTGGCCCCTGCCTACCGCTTCCTGGTCTGGGGAATAGAGTTGAGGGGGCCACCCTCCACCACCTTATTTGACTCTCCCCACAGAAACAACAGAAGAAACAAGTGGAACATCAGCTGGAAGAAGTAACGTGATTTCGTTTCCTCGCAACATGACTGCTGGGTTTGGGGGGCACTCAGACATACAGGCCCCAGTCTCGTCTCACCCACTCCCAGCCTGGGGATGAAGGCTCACCCTTCAGATTCCACCCCATCCCCACAGGGCCCCTGATAACCTGGTCCCATGGGTGGGCCTGTCCTGGGGCATTGGTGGCATTCTGGGGGCATGTCTCTTGCTGTGCCATCTCTGCCTCCCCCTGGTAAGAGCTCTGTCTTCCTCTTCCTACAGGAAAAGAAAGCAAACAACAAGAAACAGAAAGCCAAAAGGGTGCTAGAGGTGAGTGGAGGGTGTGCAGTTTCCTCCTGTCCTCCGGAGAAGGTTTCTTTCCTTCTCTTTCAGCACTTGCTTGGCTTTTCTCCCAAAGGTTCAAATCCAGACATTGAACATACAGAAAGAGGAACTAAATACGGACCTGTACCACATGAAACGTTCTCTCAGATACTTTGAAGGTGGGAATCTGGGCACCCTGTCATCCTTCAACCTGGCACTTTGACAGGTCTTCAGGGGGAGTCCTTTGGGCCCCATCTCAACTCTCTCATTACAGAAAAGTCCAAGGATCTGGCTGTCCGCCTGCAACATTCATTGCAGCGTAAAGGAGAGTTAGAGAGTGTTCTCTCTAATGTCATGGCCACACAGAAGAAGAAGGCAAACCAGGTGAGTCCAACCACCTGCCCCATCCCCTGGGAGCCTGGCTTTGCAGATGGAGGAGTGAGCCTAAAGGTCCCTTCTGCAGGATGGAGTGTCCTGCCCAGAAGGCAGCATGGCCATTTCTTGCTACTTTTTTGTATGGTTTTTAGTGGCAGCCTGGGGCTGAGTCAGCTGCTGTGGGTGAGTTGGGGGTCACTGTGTGGAGTGAGCACTGGACGCAGAGCTTGGAGGCCAAGTGCCTGCCCCGCCCTTACCTGGCTGTGGTCTTGGGCAAGTCCTAGTCCTAGGTGGGGTATTGGGTACTTGTACTGTGAAGGTACAGAAGAGTACCTTTAGTATGTTACCATTTCTGTAGAAAGAGGAAACGTGTGTGCGTGTGTGTGTGTGTGTGTGTGTGTGTGTGTGTGTGTGTGCATACTGTGATAATATACATAAAACATGTCTGCAAGGGTTCATAAAAAAGTCAGGAGAGAGCAACAAGATGGCCGGGAGATACTTCCCTTCTGTACCTTCTGAGTTTTGGACTATGCAAATGTATCATCCTTTCAAAAAGTGAACAAAAGATTAATTTTCCCCTTCCTATCTGTGCCCCCATCCCCAGCAAGAAAAACGGGCTTAGAGAATTGGATAGACCTGGGTGTTTATATCCCAGCTCTGCCTAAGTGAACTTAGGCAAGCACTTAACCTCAAATACTCCATGTTTTTTCATCTCCACAATAGAGGGAATCATAGTAACTGTCTCCTATGGTGGTTGCGAGGATTAAATGGGATTGTTAGCACGGTACCTGGTGAAGCATTCCACAAAGGTTCAAACAGTGGTAATAATAACAGTAATAACAATAGCAATATTATCTGATCTCTCTGGGCCTCTGTTAGCCAGCTATAAATTCAATCTCATTCCCTGTCCGTTCCAACTTTACTGAGTTCTTTTAAAAACCAGACCACGGGCTTGGAAATGCCTTGATCTTTACTGACCGAGTTGTATATTGGGCCTAGCCCTAGCCCTTTTAAGGGGCACTGTGTGGAAATGCCCAGGCTCTCCAGATTGAAACTTCTCACTCTTCACCATCCAGTTGTCCAGCCGCAGCAAAGCACGTACGGAGTGGAAGTTAGAGCAGTCCATGCGGGAGGAGACACTACTGAAAGTGCAGCTGACACAGGTGAGGTTTTCTGAGGGAGTTATGTGGAAGGAAGATGACCCCAGGTGGCCAGGAGCAGGTGAGGACCAGTGACAGCCCTTCCTAAGTTCTGTGCCCATTCTTGCAGTTGAAGGAGTCATTTCAACAAGTCCAATTAGAAAGAGATGAGTATTCTGAACATCTAAAAGGAGAGAGGGCCCGGTGGCAGCAGAGGATGAGAAAAATGTCGCAGGAGGTGAGATCTGACCCTTCAGCCCCCCCACATTAGATAGGTCACTGGATCTTTCTGGTCATCTGTAAAATGGGAATAGTAGAGCCAGAGGTGGTCATGGGTCTGGGCTTTGTGGAGGTGGGGGCAGAGAGGGAGAGGGCAGCCTGTCCAGCCACCAGCCCCTCTCTCCAAGGCCCTTTCCCCTTGTGCTTTGGGCAGATTTGCACATTAAAGAAAGAGAAGCAGCAAGATATGCGTCGGGTAGAGGAGCTGGAGAGGAGCTTGTCCAAACTCAAAAACCAGATGGGTAAGATGGGGCTGGCATGACCTAGGAGCAGGACTGGCATCAGAGGGCTGTGAGGGTGGCTTAGAGTGCCCCAGGGAGGTGGGTGGATGGAAGGGCTTTGAGGCAGAGGGAAAGAGATCTGTGCCAGGAGACGGCGAGTCTTGTCATCTCAATGAGTCTCAGTGTCTCAGTGTCCCCATCAGGAAAGAGGGCCCGTTGTCAGCCACCCGCAGTGCTCTTTCTCTGAAAGTGCTTTGGAAGACTGGCTACCATCTGGGTGCGAGGAATCATTAGCAGTGAGGCCAAGTTTGAGGAGCCTGAGAGGAGCTGTGCGCCAAGAGGAGGGTTTTTCTTTTCCGAGAATCCAGAGGCCCTTATTATCTGCTTCCTTTGTCAGCTGAACCCTTGCCCCCGGAGCCCCCAGCAGTGCCCTCTGAGGTGGAGCTGCAGCACCTGAGGAAGGAACTAGAGAGAGTGGCAGGAGAGCTCCAGGCCCAGGTCAAAAAGAATCAGCGCATAAGTCTCCTGAACCAGCGACAAGAAGAGAGGATTCAGGAGCAGGAAGAGAGGCTTCGGAAGCAGGAGGAGAGGATTCAGGAGCAGCACAAGAGCCTTCAGCAGCTGGCCAAGCCACAGAGCGTCTTCGAGGAGCCGGTGCGTTGCCCAAACTGGGGAGCTTGCCCTCCTCCCTAGCCCTCCGGGCCTTTGTTTCCCCACCTCTAAAATGGGGCAGTGTAGCCCTCACATGAAATGTTACTTCTAAAGGCACCTGTGAGCCAGGTGGCTGTGGGAGAGAGGGAGTGATTTTTCTAACCTGCCTCCAGCCTTCCCAGTGCCATGGGAGGCAGACACCAAGTTCTGGGGTCTCCAGCTGCAGTGGGTGGCTGCTGATTGCTTCTCTCTGTCCAGAACAATGAGAACAAGAACGCACTGCAGTTGGAGCAGCAAGTAAAGGAGCTACAGGAGAAGCTTGGCGAGGTGAAGGAGACGGAAACCTCCACCCCATCCAAGAAGGGCTGGGAGGCGGGCAGCAGACTCTGGGGAGGGGAGGTACGAGGCCAGAGGCAGCTTCCAGCCTGGGGGCTGGTGACCACAGCACCCCCCAGGGCAGTCCTGTTTCTTGCTTCCTGCCTCTGACTTTTAAAGGTGGGTAGCCCTGGGATCCTCTCAGGTCTGGACATCATCATCCTAGCTAGAGGCATGGAGCCCCCAATCACAGGGGAAGAGACAGTGGTATAACAGGCTCCTTATGCCAGGTGCAGTGGCTCATGCCTATAATCCCAGCACTTTGGGAGGCTGAGGCAGGAGAATCACTTGAGGTCGGGAGTTTGGGATCAGCCTGGCCAATGTGGTAAAACCTCATCTCTACTAAAATTACAAAAAAAAAAAAAAAAAATTAGCAGGACATTGTGGCGCATGCCTGTAATTCCACCTACTCGGGAGGCTGAGGCACGAGAATTGCTTCAACCCAGGAGGTGGAGGTTGCAGTGAGCTGAGATTGCACCACTGCACTCCAGCCTGGGCCACAGAGTGACACTCTTGTCTGAAAACAAAACAAAAAGACTCCTTAGATTAAAACTGGATTCCAGCCTCGGTTGCACTGGTCACCATTCAAGTACTTTGCATCTCTAAGTCTCTGTTTCTTTAACTTCAAAGGGAAGTTAGCATTTTCCTTACAGAGGTGCTGAGGATTAAATGAGAAGAGGGTATGAGATTTGAGGCTGGGGAAGGAGGCATGGGGTTCTAGGAAAGGGAGGCAGTCACTTAGGCCTGGAGTAAGGGGACAGGGGCCTGGGCAGCTGACAGAGCCCCACAGTGCCCTCGCTACCCTATTAATGGGCCCAGAATCTGGAAACCAGCCACCACGTGCCCTCACACCCAGGGTCTTCCTGCAGGTGGAGCTGAAGAGCCAAGAGGCTCAGAGTCTGCAGCAGCAGCCAGACCATTACCTGGGTCACCTGCAGCAGTACGTGGCCACCTATCAGCAGCTGACCTGTTAGAAGGAGGCGCTGTACAGGCAGTGACTGCAACAGACCCAGCTAATGAACCAGCTGCAGCAGCAGGAAGCTTGGGGCAAAGCGGTGGCTGAGATGGCCTGCCAAAAGTTGCAGGAGACCCAGGGGAGGGAGCTGCCGAGGATGGGGCTGTGAGGGGGATGACCTGGCAAACTCCACCCCTTCTCACTCTGTCCTGGCCCCTCAGGAGCACCTGGAAGCTGCCAGCCAGCAGAACCAGCAGCTAACGGCCCAGCTGAGCCTCATGGCTCTCCCTGGGGAAGGTACGGGAGACTGCTCAGAGGAAGAGGAGAGAGCCCCAGGAGGAAGGGGGGACTGCTAGCAGCATAGGATTGAGGAGTTGGAAGAGACCTTTAGAACAGCTGGTCATTATGCCGACCGGGTGCCTGCACTAAGTTCGGCATCAGTGTGGTGACCTCCTGTGAGCGGGGGGTCACCAAGTTGCCTAAGGATGGCTGAACTGGCCAAGGTCAGAAAGGGAGCAGGTCAGAACTCCCACATCGACCAGTAGTGGGAGTGTGCCTGGGCGGAATAGCAAGATCTTGATTCTTAAAAGTAAAAATAAAGAACAACAGCTCATTCCTCTCTGGGGAGGGGCTGGCTCAGGGTTACACAGTGAGGGTGGAGGTAGAGGTGGGCCCACAGTACCTCCCTTGTTGGGTTGTCTGAAGACCCCTCTGGCCACCCCCCACAGGACACGGAGGAGAACATCTGGACAGTGAGGGGGAGGAGGCACCTCAGCCCATGCCGAGTGTCCCAGAGGACCTGGAGAGCAGGGAGGCCATGGTGAGCCTGACTCCCCCTGCACCCATTTTGCCACCTTTCTCTGTGGTCCCTCCAAGACCCCTTTATGCTCTTCGTTTCCCTGCCTTCTGATTTCTCTGGACCCTCACCCCTTCCGAGAGCCAGTGGTCAGACACCATTTCACCTGTGGCCAACAGGTGCACTCTCTGAGGCCCCAAGGGAAGGGGCTGCGCTCCACCTCTCTGCCCCATTTCTTCTGTGTATGCCCCTAGAAGAATGCTCACATCTTGCCCTCAGGTGGCATTTTTCAAGTCCGCTGGAGCTAGTGCCCAGGAGAAGCAGGCACAGTTACAAGAGCAGGTGAAAGAGCAGAGGGTGTGCTGCCAGCGCCTGGCTCACCCGGTGGCCTCAGCCCAGAAGGAGCCAGAGGCAGCCAGAGGCCCTGGAGCCCCAGGGCCTGGGGGCGAGTCTGTGAGTAGGGAGACCCACTGGGCCCTGCAGGAAGTCACGGAGAAGCTGGCCCATGCCAGGACTCACCTCCACCTTCTCCATGACTTGAAAATGCCACCTGAGGGCAGGTCGCTGCCGAGATGTGACTGCAATATTTTGGCTCCAGAGCAGCTTTATGGACCACCTGAAGGAGAAGGCAGACCTGAGTGAGCTGGTGAAAAAAGAACTCTGCTTCATCCACCACTGGCGAGACAGACGCCATCAGTGAGTGGGAGGCCAGGGCACGGCAGGGGGAGCTACAGGGCCGTCGGAGGGGCCCCAGCGTCTGAGCCCTGTCCTCCCGCAGGAAAACCCATCACCTTTTATCAGAACCAGGGGGCTGTGCCAAAGATGCGGCACTGGGAGGAGGACACCATCAGGCTGGAGCTCAGGGAGGAGATGAAGGTAGGGTGTGCAACATCTCTGTGGGGGTGGGGGTGGGGGTGGGTGTGAGGGTGGGCGCAAGCAGCGGCATGGCAGCTGAGCACCCCTCCCTCCAGGTGAAGCTGCTGGAGCTGCAGCAGATGGTATTGCGGCTTACAGCAACTACAACAATGGGCACAGAAAATTCCTGGCCGCTGCCCACAACCCTGCTGATGAGCCCGGTCCAGGAGCCCCAGCTCCCCAGGAGCTTGGGGCTGCAGACAAGCATGGTGGTGAGTAGAGCCCTCAGGTGGGGTGGGCAGGCAGGAAGAGGGGGCTCCCACTGTGCTCAGATCCCTGCCTCCCTCTCTCCAAAGATCTTCGTGAGGTGAGCCTCACCTCCTCTGCCCAAGGAGAGGCCAGGGAGGATCCTCTCCTTGACAAGCCTACTGCACAGCCGATCGTGCAGGACCACCAGGAGCACCCAGGCTTGGGCAGCAACTGCTGTGTGCCATTCTTGTGCTGGGCTTGGCTGCCAAGAAGAAGGAGATAAACATCACCATCCTCAAAGAGCTGCTCAAGAAATTTTTAAATAAGAAACCAAGTTATGGGGTTAATCTCCTACACAATTCATTTACTTCCTTTGAATGTTAGACTCACTCATGATTATTTGTGTTTCTAATTTATAGTTTAAGTTTATTTGTAAAAAGTTAAAAGAGAGTGGGTGTCTGTGGCTCTCACTGATGTTCACTCTGGCATCCTTTAGCATTTTTCTTTTTTAATTTCATAATTGTAGGTCATTAGCGTGCATATCGAGTTTGCCCTTACGTGGTGGGAGTTCAAACACACAAAGACCCACTCTTTGCCCAAAACTGTTCTCTTTGGTTTGGAATAGGCTGCCATGCTTTTTTAATGTTATTGCAGCATGTATATTCACTACAGCATTCAGACAAAATTTGCCTATGTTCTGCTGTTGTTTGATCTAATCTTAATCACAGTGAGCTCTTCCTTAGCTCAATATGTAGTTTGCCCCCAAGTGTGCACTGTTTATTACTTTGTAATACGCCACTATGAGTACTGACATTTAGAGTTGTTTAAAGGCCAAGAACTGGAAACAGCCTTTCCTCCATTTTCTGTGTATTGGTGATGGGAGTGATAACCTTTTGGGGGAGCTTTTTAAATCTCACAGAAGAGGAAAGTGGCCTCCTCTGGCAGGTATGTGCAGGATAGAGTGTGTTTCATCTGTTCCGGTGCCAGGAATTAGCGGTGTATTATGGTGGTTCCCTTAGGATTTGTATGTGCTCTGGGCTCATGAAGATATTGCATCATGAGCTGCAGCAGTTGTACTCTTTTTCGATGACCTAAAAAGGGCTTATTTCTGAGGAATGAAAGGTTCCCATCGTTGACTGTGGATGTGGAAAACCTTTCCTAGCTTAGAGCATTTGTATCTACAATACATTTTAAAGTCAGAGTTCATGTTACCTGTTTTAATCACATGACTACATGTCCCAGTACACAAAAGGGCACTGGTTGGCATTCTTCTTAATGTATTTAGTGAAGATCATAAGAAATCCTTTATGAGTTCAAACGTCCCTGGAACAGGCATACAGGCTCTAGTCAAGAATGAATTAGAGTGAAGGAAAGCTGTGTGACACCTGGCATTCCTCTCTGTTCACGGAGATTCTTTGAGGCTTGAAGATTGATTTTACCATCTAGACCTCTTTGGCTAATACCTATTCTTCAACCACCTTGGTTACTCTGACATAGGAATTTACTTCTTTTTCCTTGAATGGAAAACACTTTAAAAAATAATAGAAACATTATTATAAACTAATATATGTGAGATACTTAGTTGAAACAAAAAGGAGTTTTAGTAGATGGTATTGTACTCTCTTTGAAAATCAAGGAGAAGTTTATGAAACTTAAAATGTGTACAAACTGCAGTGCAATCTACTGTTCGTGAATGTCAATGTATTATCAGGAAACGTGTCTATACAATCACAGAGTTATATTTTCTCACAGACTTCTTTACAAAGTGAAATATGTTTTTGTACCTCTGGGTTTCTGTTCGGGACATATTTTGTGCGATATTTATGTGATTGTGCCTATGCATGATGAATGAATACATTTCAGTTATATATTGCCTAAATCGTAACTTGATGATGCTTGGGAAAGACTCAACAGTTAAAACTTCATGAAGTTCTAATGTCTGTGTTCCAAAACACATCACATTGTTAGGATGCAGGGAGATAGGTGTGTGTGCTCCCTGCGGTGGGGATTTCTAGTTACTAGATCATCTCCATTTTTAGCATTTGGCATCCTCATGATACTTCTATAAATATGACATTAACAGGAGAGCAACAATACGATTTTACCGATGGAATAACAGATTTGCTGGCATTCACTGAAAGAGTGCAAATATTCGGTCCTTGTGACTTCCACTGACTCTTCCAAATTTTATGAATGTATCAATGTATTAGATAAACCCAGTTTCAGAATGATAAAGAAAAAATCTTAGACCAAATAATGCGGCTAATTAACAGTGGTACGATTTGTAGCCCGTGGGTTTAAAATGCACTTAAAGTCCTGTTCTCGCCTTTTATTTTCTGAACTTGCCGCTTTTGCATTCTTTGAGTTCAGTTTAAAGACAGTTACTTTAAGAGCATTTTAAACCCTCGGGCTAGAAATCGGACCACTGTTAATCAGCCACATTATTTGGTCTAACGTTTTTTCTTTTATCATTCTGAAACTGGGTTTATCTAATACATTGATAAATTATTGCAAAGGTACTTTTATCGTTGAAATCACTTCACTTTTACCCTGATAAATATCAGTGACTAGGAATGACCTTCGGATAGCGTTTAGCATCTGTAACCAATCTGACAATAATGTGTTCATGAGGTGCCTATGGATTAAATCACACACTGGCATATTTAAGCTGAAGGTCAGTCTGGAAAATAAATTTACTATATTGACTGAAATACCACTCTTTGTGTAGGCATTTGTCATATACTTAAGAAAACGCTAAAAAGAATGGAAATTGTATGACAATAACTTAAGTCTTTCTCCAAAGTGCATGCAGTCTTTTGCGATACCTCATTCAGCCGAGTATTTGTGCTCTTCCTCATTCAGTATAAGGCAGCTTTCAGTTTGCTTAGAAGGCAACATTGGAATGTTAGAGTTCATCAGAAACATAGAATTTTAAACTGTGAGTTCCACTGAATACATTTTAATGTCTGTAGGAAGAATCAAAACACCTATTTAAAGATGGCAATATATAATAATCATTTTAAAAGTATTTGATTCAACCTGATAATTTTCCAGAAATGAAAAAAAAAATCAGCTCTAAAACCAAAGCGATTTTAGAAAATTTGAAAATGTAAATCAGCCCTATCCATAATATAGTTTCTCTAAAACTTTATCTTAGTCATTTTAAAATAATATAACTATTAAAAAATGTAACTGCTATCTTAATGTTCTGAAATAATTTAAAACATTTTAAAATATGAATACTGTAGTATAAAAGAAAGAAATGGTGGGAACGAAAAGCAGAGAAAGAAATGCCAATTCCAGTCCAAAGTTTTATTTGCCAAGTTTTCTTAGAATGAATTTTACCAGTTTATGAATTATTGTAAACAGAATGTGTCATGGAAATACTGAAAGATTTTTCCCTAGAGTGGCCTTATTGACTGCTGGTGTGATGCCACTGTAATGTAATAAATTATTAAATTGTTTCAATGTGTTGTTTTTGCCTTAAAATTTTATTTTGTGTTTCTTGAAAACTATAGTATTAAAGGTATTGATACTGTGCAAATGCTGGGCATGCTTGGCACGAGATAATGTGTTTCATTTTTACAAAGTTGTGATATAACTATGCAAGTGTTTCTTAAAAGAACACAAGATTTAAAAATTATGGGATTAAAAAAAGTTATGGGGTGAAAAAGTTATGGGATAAAAAATGTAAAAACGTTGTGGCAAAAAAACTTGTGGGAACAAAGTAGAAAACAGTATTATGAAAAGTTACCAAAAAAGTTATGAAAAAGAAGTTACGGGATTCTTTTTTAAAAAGTCATGGAATAAAAATAAAAATTAAAAGCAGGCCCCTGTCAGCAAAGCCTGGAGAAGTGGGGCCGGAGTCTCCACCGCCACCATGTCCCTACCACCCCTTCCCAGGCACCCCTTTACAATTAGGGTAGCAGGACAAGACCTCTGTCTAATGGGGAAAGACAAACAGACCCTTTGCCACCTTGACCAGGGCTGAGTCCCTAAATTTCTGGATGATGATGATTGTTATTTAAGAGCCAGAGGCTGGTGGAGTTGGTTTGTTTGGAGGAGGCCTGATGTCCCCCTTACTCTCACCATAGCAACTTTTCCCTCAGGGGGGCTCCCTTCTTATTCAGAGAGGTAGGACAGTGGGGCTAACTGTGGACCAGGCGAGGGCACGGGCTGCTGGGGTGGCCCCCGTTCCCCGGTGTACACATTGTGTCTGTGTAAGGTTTTGTATATTCCAGAGGGTAGGGCCACCCCTGTGTCATACCTAGCTGAGGTTGGAGCCGGCACATGGGGAGGAGGTTGTAATAATTATTTGTGGCTGGGAAACTTATTTATTGCTAGCATAGGACAGAGGAAGGAGGCGGGGATGGGGTCGTGGCTCCCTGGTGATGCGACTCCTGTTTATTTTGCTTTTTATTTTGGAATAAATGGATTTAGCCATACTGCTCGGCCTGGTGTGTTCCCGTTTCCCTCACTGGGTCCTGGAGTTTGTGCCACCAAACGAGGAGCCCCAGAGTGTCTTGAGTATGTCCAGCTAGGCTGTTAGGGACCTTCCAGGCGTGTTACCTGTATGCTGCCTAGTGGCGCCTGGGGGATTCCACGGGGACTGCCATGGTGCCTATGGGGCGCAGTCCAGCCCTGACAGCCAACAGGCTCAGAAGCCTGTTGTAGCGGTGGCCAGGAAGACAGGTACCAGCACCTAAGGGCACTGACTTCCACCCACCCCAGGCGTCTTCCCTTCCGTCACCTTGCCTCCCTCCCCTGTCTGCACCTGGTGGCCTGTTCTCTCTGTCCCTCCAGAGTGCCGGCTGCCCGGCAGGCTCCCTTCAGGCTGAGTTCGTGGCCCTGCCCCCTGGTGGCCAGAGCCGGCTTCACAGGACAAGAGCCAGCTAAGTTCCAGGGGCTTTCCAGGAAAAGTGTCCCTTGGAAAGGGTATGGCCTTTTCACCCCTCCAAACAGCACCCTAGAAATGGCTTGGCCTTTCCCCTCCCCTGAGCTCCACAGAGAACACAGCCAGCAGAGGACACACTTCCCCGTCATCCAGAAATGGGTTTGATTCTCAGCCAAGGGACAGCAGGACTGGTAGAGACTGTCAGGCCACACAGCTGCCTGCACAGCACTCCCATGCTTGGTGGGGGGGCGGGAGGGATGGCGGGGGCTGACTCTCCATAGGCCAGGCGTGACAGGGAGACTCACCGGAGGTCTTGCACTTTGGAGGGGCAATGTCGGGACAGCTTTCTCTTGTTGGGCCACAAGACTCCAAGAGGACAGCACGGTGACTGATTCCCAGCACTAGAGGCGAGGCCGTTGGCCACATGTAGGTGTAGGGGTGTGTGTGTGTGTGTGTGTGTGTGTGTGTGTGTATGGGTATTTATAGATATTTATAGAACAATGCGAGGGCATACCACAGAGGGGGGCACAAGTTTCACAACAGTCACACCTGGATGTGTCAGCTCACCACTACAACAGACTAAGTCACAGATGAAGGGGGCTGGCTTTGGGGCTGGGGGAGCCACTGCCAAGTCACAGAACAGCCGCCCAGGCAGGCTTGGAAAGGGAGGCCTCCGAGAAGAGAAGGGATCTGTTTAGAGGTCGAAGGGGGGCGTGGGGCTCTCAGGATGGGATGGACTTGCGTGACCTGATCGGCTGGCAGTTGGAGAGAAAGCAGAGAGAAAAGAGGAGAGAGAAAAGGGAGCAGAGAGCTGGTGAGGCCAGTGCAGAGCACAGGTGTGCCACAGCAGCTGTGGGAGGGCCAGGGAGGGGAGGGCGCAGGTGCGGGTGTGGCAAGGTTCCTGGAAAAGAGGGGCTGGAAGGGAAAGGGGAGGAAGATGGAGGGAGGAGCCGGAGCTTCACAGGTAGTGCCTGGGGACTGTGGCGGCCCTCCCCACCCCACACATGCTGGCCTCTTCCATTGCACCCAGGCAGTGTACCCACAGGTCAGACCAACGCTCGGCCCCTTTGGGCTTCCCTCTTCTCTGGTCACCAACCAACTTGTCTTCCAAGTCGTCTTCCAACCTGTCTTCCAACCAACTGGTCTAGGGCCACCTCTCACCTTGGGGAGCCCAACATAACAGCCACCAGGCCTGACAGAAGGAAAATTGCTCGAACAAGGATGATGAAGCTAAATGGGATGGATGGTTGGAGTGATCGCCGGAGCCCCCTCTGGGTGGTCAGGAAGCTCAGGACCCTCTGAAGGGACCCTGGGGGAGGCAGGGTGGGCAGGCAGCCGGATGCCACTGGCTATAAACTTATAAGTCTAAGAGGGGAGCCTCAGCTTGTTGGAGATTGCAGGTCCCATAGGTGAGGCTGGGTCCTTCCTCCCAGGGAAAGGAGACGGAGACCATGGCAAGGGAGGTGGGTGGGCTTGCTGGGCAGAGCTCAGCTGGGCCAGCAGGCACTGGGCTCCCCTCGGCTGAATAGGAGGGCCAATCTCTAGGAGCAACAAGCCAAGGTGCGTGAGCCCGCTGGCTGGTGGTAGTGCTTCAGCGGGGCCCAGGGACCCTGCCTTCAGTCACATGCTAGCAGCTGTGATGGTACCTGGGAGGGAGGGAAGGGGGCTGTGTGCCCCTACCTGACCTGTGAGGTGTGTTTTGGGTTGACCATGTGTATGGGACTCTCGAGGTTTTATCCTAGATCACCACTGTTTTGCCAACAGATAGAGGAGGTGGGACCCTATCACCCCTGCTCTGCAGTGGATTTGGCCCTCAGCACTCCAAGGCATCCAGGCTGGGAGCTGGATGCCCCACCCTGGCAGCATGGCTCAGACAGCACAAAAGGCATGGCGTGCCCAGGATGACATTCCTGGGCCTCTGGCCACCTCAGAGTACAGCCCCACACACAACCCCCTCCAAGCTCTCAGCCCTTACACCACGAGCTCCCTGATGGCTCCAGAGACCACCCACATCTGCCAGCTTGGGCACGGAGCCTGTTCCAAGAGCCCCCAGGCTCAGCCATGGGGGCTGGGGAGACTTGGGGCCATAGGGGCCAGCCCTGGTACCTGCGTCTGGCAAGGACGCTCTGCACCTGCAGCCAGGAGTTGTCCACGGGCCCCCATGTGCGTGCTGATGGTGGTTGTGTTGATGTCACCGATGATGCTGAGCACCTCCTTCAGCACGTGGTACATGCGCAGCATCTCATCTCGCCACTGTGCCTGCTCTGCCAACTCCTCCATCAGCGTGTTCTGGTTCCCATGCAAGTACAGGTTGGACAGCAACTCTGATAATATGAGCTCCTTGGTCTGAGAGGGGGCAAAGAGGGAAGGAGGTTGGGACCTGATGCATGTGCTGGCCTGATGCCTGTGCTGGGACAGTGTGCTGGACTTGGAGCCCTGAGTATGGCTTTGCACACGCGGCTTCTACACCGCTTAGACTCAAAGATCTGCCACCCCACCGCCCTTTTCTCACTCAGATAGGGACGCTGAGGTCCAGAGGAAAAGTCACCTGTCCAAGGTCACACATCTGGGAGGGGACCCAGGACCTATCATGCCACCAGGACACCTGTCTACTCAGTTTCTTAAAAATGTTTTTTGGAGATAGGATCTCGCTCTGTTGCTGGGCTGGAGTACAGTGAGCAAGATCACCACTCACTGTAGCCTGAACCTCTTGGGCTCAAAGTGATCCTCCAATGTCAGCCTGTCGAATAGCTAAGACTATAGGCATGTGCCATCACTAAGCCTAGCTATTTTTAAAATTTTTGTGTAGAGACCAGGTCTCACTATGTTGCCCAAGCTGGTCTCGAACTCCTGGGCTCAAGCTATCCTCCTACCTTGGCCTCCCAAAGTGCTGGGATTACAGGCATGGACCACTGTCCCTAGTCCCACATTATAGTTCTATGAGACAGCTCTGGTCTGGACTGTGCCTCCCTCCCTGAACCTGGTCCCATAGGGCTGGTCGGCATCTCCCCCAGGCCAACATGGCCACCTGCATCCCCAGTGCCACAGGAGCCCCCTGCCCCTATGAGGTGGTGCATGCACGTTGTTGATCATGACGTGCATGACGGTCTTGGGCATGAAACCAACTATGAGGTCCCACACAGTCTTGTTGACAATGGCCTTGTAGGAGTCCACAAGGTTCTGGGTGGTTTCCATTTGCCGCTTCAGCTGTGGGTCCATGGAGTGGACTTAAGATTGAGTCTAGACCTAGACTGCTGCCGGGCTTTGCAAAACCCAACTGGAGTTGGGTCCTGGGCTGCTCTCTGTGGTTCTGAAGCACCATCTCCCACCAGTGTGGCTGGTTCCCCTTAATCTGCATCTCTGGTGTCTCCTATACAGCCTCTGCCAGAAATTCAAAAGCAGAGAGGGCTTTTATTTTCTATCTTCCAAAATAAATTTCAAAGTATTATTGGCAAACTTGAATAGTGACTTCTGTTTCATAATTTTTCATCGCCTTTTGGTTTCATCTTTAGAAAGTTTTTTAAGTTATGAGAATTTTTCTTTCCCTTAGAAGTTGATGCACATAAATCCCCTTGTTTGCCACATTAATGGCAGACCTTACTTTCCCCTCCCCGATTCCTGCAGGGGATCTCCAAAAATCTAAGCGTTAGGAAAGAGCCCAGCCAATCGCATCCCAGTGGTATCCCCACCCTTCTTCACCTCTCCCAGACTGTAGCCTTGCCCCACCCTCTCAGCCACCAGGGACACTCACAGGGAATCTTGTTAATCTCATTGAAGAACTTCTCCTTCAGTTTGGCAAACATGTCCTCCTGGCTCTCCCCAGCACTCCCACTCTCGGTGGAGTTGTCCACGGGTCCAATGGGCATCGTGACGGTGGTGGTGGCAGGAGCCACAATAGGCTCTTGGTTCCTCTTGAAAATGTTCCTCATGGTGGCAGAGGGGACAGATGGGGATGAGAGGGGAAGAGGGCAGGGTGAGCATCCCAGAGGTTGTCTTCCCCTCAGAAAGCCATGCCCAAAGGACCAGGAGAAGCTCTTTATCGATCAAAGATATTTTGCATAATAGTAACAACTGTAGTAAACCAATAATAATAGACATCATCCAATTAGTACACAGTCAGCCTGGGTAGCATAGCAAGACCCTATCTTTAGAAATTTTTTTTTTTTTTTAATTAGGCATGGTGGAGGCTGAAGTGACAGAGGATCACTTGAGTCCAGGAGTTTGAGGTTACATGAACTATGGGTGACTAAGTAAGGTTCTATCTCTTAAAAAAAATAGTAGTACATATATGTGCCAAGCACTATGCAAAGCACTTTCCATGCATTATTCATCTAATCCAAAAAATAACCTAATGGTTTTTATTGTTTCCATTTAACAGATGGGGAAACAGGTTCAGAGAGGTTAGAAAGTTTTTCCAAGGTCACTTAGCTGTAAGTTCTGAAACTGAGGTTTGAACTGGTCTACCCAACTCCAGAGCTTGTATAGCTAATCACTCTCCTATATCTCATTTAAATCTAACCTCACCACTCTAGGAAGGAGACAAGGTTTTACACTGAGGGCTCCTCTTTCAACCTCTCTCCTTGACTTCCAAGGATTTCTAGATATTACTCTGCCTAGAATCTCTGCCCAGCTCCATGACACTTGAACTCTCCACATCCCTGACTCCAATTCCTCCTCCTGCCCTCCAAGACTCCTCAGCCCTCTGTAGTTTCTTCATGGGCTCCCTCAGTGCCCACTCAGGGTTTGTTTTGACCTCTCCTGTAGGAAGACGGCACCCACATCTCCATCTCTAGCCCTTCCTCCCGGGTCCACTCTGTAGCCCCTACTCCAAGTTCATCTCTAGCCCTGCCCCCACATGCAGCTGCACATTAGCCTTCCTGCATCAAAGATGTGATGTTTATTAATAACATAACCCAGACTTACTGTAGAAAATTTGGGGAGAGAGAGAAATCCCCCCATAATTCTACCCTCCAAAGTCAACTAGCATTTGGGGCATTCTATGCTGGTATTTTTTCTGAGTATGTTTTACATGTTGAGGCCATGCTATGCATAGTTTTTTTGAAGATTTTTTACATAAAATTTCATCATAAGCCTTTTCCTTTATTGTTTTGTATTATTAAATAGCTACAGAATATCGTACTACATGGTAACACCATAATTTGTTTAGCCATTCCACTATTAGACATTTAGGCAGTTTTCAACTTTTTGCTAGTAAAACACTGAGCATATATGTTGGTCTTCATTTAAGGCAATGTTCTTACGAGCTTCCAAACTCTGCCCCCCCATAATTCTGTCCTCTCCACCGAGCTCTTTTTGCTCCTCGGGGCTATGCACTCATTTCTCAACTGAAAGTCCTATGAGGGAAGATCCTGTGTTGGCAACAGCACCCCTCCTGCCAAGCACACAGTGGGCACTCAGGGTATTTGTTGATTGAGGTCCTCTGAGGCAACATAGCAGCATACACCCACAGGTATTCCAGGATGCAGGAATAAACAGCACAACTCCCTGAAGCATCCGTTTTACTGAATGGCAATTTACAGTATTTTTAAATTAAAACAAGCTGGAAATATAGAGTAGGATGCATACAGCACAAGAATTTAAAGAAAAAATGTGAGACTTTTCTTACTGCATGTTAGGGATGTGTTAACTCTCCTCTGGACTCAGGGTTCTTCTGAAGGAACATTTTAGAAGCTCTTAGGTTCTGTCCCTTCCTTTCAAAACCTGCTGAGATCCCCTCCCCAGCCCTGGAGACTGCTCCAGCCTTAAGTACTTTTGGTGACCTGTACATTGATGCAATGTAGGTTCATTCACCAAGCATTTATTAAACTCTTACTACCTGCCATGTTGAAATAGCCTTGACCCCAAAACTGGTCTTGAAGTGAAAAACCAAGGTCCACTGGACTTCACCTCTGGGGACAAAGAGATGGGTGCAGTTTGGCGGGAACTGCAAGTAGCCACACAAGGGGATAAATATGTGTCCAGGGCCTTCCGCCATGTCCATCTCCCCTCACTTCTACAAAACTGTTAAGGGCTCTGTGACCTTTTTTTCAAAAAACAGCTTTATTGAGATGTAATTCATATATAAGTCACCCATTAAAGTATACAGTTCAGTGCATTTTATTGTATTCACAGAATTGTGGAACAATTTGCATAACCTAAGTAGAACATTTTTGCCACCTCAAAAAGAAACCCAGTCCCATTATCAGTCACTTTTCGTTCCCATCCTCTTCCCAGCTCCAGCAACCACTAATCTACTTTCTGACTCTATAGATTTGTCTATCCTAAACATTTCCTATCAATGGAATTATAAAATATGTGGTCTTTGTGACTGGCTTCTTTCATTTAGTATGATGTTTTCAAGGTTCATCCATGTTGTAGCATGTATCAGTATCTCATTCCCTTTTTATTGCCACATAATATTCCATGGTGTAGGTAGAACACTTTTTTTTTTTTTTGAGACAGGGTCTCACTCTGTCGCACAGCTGGAGTGCAGTGGTGCAACCATGGCTTACTACAGCCTCCACCTCCAGGGCTCAAGTGATCATCCCACCGCAGCTTCCTGAGTAGCTGGGACTACAGGTGCATGCCATCACACCAGGCTAATTTTTTAATTTTTTGTAGATATGGGGTCTCCCTATATTGCCCAGGCTGGTCTCAAGCTCCTGGCCTCAAGCAATCCTCCCACTTCAGCCTCCGAAATTTTGGCATTACAGGCATGAGCCACCGCACCTTGCCTAGAACACATTTTATATTTATCCGTTCATCAATTTATAAACATTTGGGTTATTTCCACTTTGGGCTATTTTATAACTAAATATGGCTAATAATATCCCACTTGTGGGATATTATGAATAATGCTGCTGTGAACATCCATGTATGTTTTTGCATGGACATATGTTTTCATTTCTCTTGGGTATATACGTAGGTATGGAATTGCTGGGTCATAACTATGTTTGACATTTTAAGGTGCCAGCACCAATTTATGTTCCCACCAGCCATGTATGAGGGTTCCAAGTTTTCCACATCCCAGACAACACTTCTTTTTTTTTTTAATTATACTTTAAGTTTTAGGGTACATGTGCACAACGTGCAGGTTAGTTACATATGTATACATGTGCCATGTTGGTGTGCTGCACCCATTAACTCATCATTTAACAGTAAGTATATCTCCTAATGCTATCCTTCCCCCCTCCCCCCACCCCACAACAGGCCCCAGTGTGTGATGTTCCCCTTCCTGTGTCCATGTGTTCTCATTGTTCAATTCCCACCTATGAGTGAGAACATGTGGTGCTTGGTTTTTTGTCCTTGCAATAGTTTGCTGAGAATGATGGTTTCCAGCTTCATCCATGTCCCTACAAAGAATATGAACTCATCATTTTTTATGGCTGCATAGTATTCCATGGTGTATATGTGCCACATTTTCTTAATCCAGTCTTATCATTGCTGGACATTTGGCTTGGTTCCAAGTCTTTGCTATTGTGAATAGTGCTGCAATAAATATACGTGTGCATGTGTCTTTATAGCAGCATGACTTATAATCCTTTGGGTATATACCCAGTAATGGGATGGCTGGGTCAAATGGTATTTCTAGTTCTAGATCCCTGAGGAATCGCCACACTGACTTCCACAATGGTTGAACTAGTTTACAGTCCCATCAACAGTACAAAAGTGTTCCTATTTCTCCACATCCTCTCCAGCACCTGTTGTTTCCTGACTTTTTAATGATTGCCATTCTAACTGGTGTGAGATGGTATCTCATTGTGGTTTTGATTTGCATTTCTCTGATGGCCAGTGATGATGGCATTTTTTCATGTGTCTTTTGGCTGCATAAATGTTTTCTTTTGAGAAGTGTCTGTTCATATCCTTTGCCCACTTTTTGATGGGGTTGTTTGTTTTTCTCTTGTAAATTTGTTTGAGTTCATTGTAGATTCTGTATATGAGCCCTTTGTCAGATGAGTAGGTTGCAAAAATTTTCTCCCATCCTGTAGTTTGTTTTGCTGTGCAGAAGCTCTTTAGTTTAATTAGATCCCATTTGTCAATTTTGGCTTTTGTTGCCATTGCTTTTGGTGTTTTAGATATGAAGCCCTTGTCCATGCCTATGTCCCGAATGGTATTGCCTAGGCTTTCTTCTAGGGTTTTTATGGTTTTAGGTCTAACATTTAAGTCTTTAATCCATCTTGAATTAATTTTTGTATAAGGTGTAAGGAAGGGATCCAGTTTCAGCTTTCTACATATGGCTAGCCAGTTTTCCCAGCACCATTTATTAAATAGGGAATCGTTTCCCCATTTCTTGTTTTTGTCAGGTTTGTCAAAGATCAGATGGTTGTAGACATGTGGCATTATTTCTGAGGGCTCTGTTCTGTTCCAGTGGTCTATATGTCTGTTTTGGTACCAGTACCATGCTGTTTTGGTTACTGTAGCCTTGTAGTATTGTTTGAAGTCAGGTAGCATGATGCCTCCAGCTTTGCTATCTATGACAAACCCACAGCCAATATCATACTGAATGGGCAAAAACTGGAAGCATTCCCTTTGAAAACTGGCACAAGACAGGGATGCCCTCTCTCACCACTCCTATTCAACATAGGGTTGGAAGTTCTGGCCAGGGCAATCAGGCAGGAGAAGGAAATAAAGGGTATTCAATTCAGAAAAGAGGAAGTCAAATTGTCCCTGTTTGCAGATGACATGATTGTATATCCAGAAAACCCCATTGTCTTAGCCCAAAATCTCCTTAAGCTGATAGGCAACTTCAGCAAAGTCTCAGTATACAAAATCAATGTGCAAAAATCACAAGCATTCTTATACGCTAATAACAGACAGACAGAGAACCAAATCATGAGTGAACTCCCATTCACAATTGCTTCAAAGAGAATAAAATACCTAGGAATCCAACTTACATGGGACATGAAGGACCTCTTCAAGGAGAACTGCAAACCACTGCTCAATGAAATAAAAGAGGATACAAACAAATGGAAGAACATTCCACGCTCATGGGTAGGAAAAATCAATATCATGAAAATGGCCACACTGCCCAAGGTAATTTATAGATTCAATGCCATCCCCATCAAGCTACCAATGACTTTCTTCACAGAATTGGAAAAAACTACTTTAAAGTTCATATGGAACCAAAAAAGAGCCCACATTGCCAAGTCAATCCTAAGCCAAAAGGACATTTGCTATTATGTCTTTTTGTTTACAGTGATCCTGGTGGAGGTGAAGTGGCATTTCATTGTAGTTTTGATTTGCATTTCCCTGATGTCTAATGATGTTGCATATCTTTTCATGTGCTTAAGGGCCATTTGTGTGTCTTCCATAGAGAAATACCTATTCAAATCCTTTGGTCATCTTAAAATATTTTGTCTTTTTATTATTGAGTTGTAAGAATTTGTATATATTCTGCATACCAGTTCCTTGTTGAACATATAATTTGCAAATATTTTCTCCCATTCTAGGGTTATATTTTCATTTTGTGTGTGTGGTGTTTTTTTGTTATTTGTTTTTGAGATGGAGTTTCACTCTTGTTGCCCATGCTGGAGTGCAATGGCACAATCTCAGTTCACTGCAACCTCTGCTTCCCAGGTTCAAGTGATTTTCCTGCCTCAGCCTCCCAAGTAGCTGGGATTATTATAGGCGCTCACCAACATGCCTGGCTAATTTTTGTATTTTTAGTAGAGACGGGGTTTCACCATGTTGGCCAGCCTGGTCCCAAACTCCTGACCTCAGTTGATCTGGCCTCCTTGGCCTCCCAGAGTGCTGGGATTACAGGCATGAGCCACTGTGCCCGGTCATATTTTCAGCTTTTAATGGTGTCCTTTGAAGCAAAAAAGTTTTCAATTTTGATGATGTCCAATTTAGCTATTTCTTTTGTTGCCATATTTTTGGTGCTATATCCAAGAAACCATCACTAAACCTAAGGGCACTAAGATTTACTCCTTTGTTTTCTTATGGGAGTTGTATAGTTTTCAGTCTCACATTCAAGTCTACAATCCACTTATTTTTTAAGACACGGTCTCACTCTGTCACCCAGGCTGAAGTGCGATGGCACAATCATGGCTCACTGCAGCCATGGCCTCCTGAGCTCAAGTGATCCTCCAGCCTCAGCCTCCCGAGTAGCTAGACTACAGCTATGTGCCATTACACCTGGCTAATTTTTAATTTTCTTCTAGAAATTAGGTTTCACTATGTTTCTACAATCCACTTTGAGTATGGCATAAGGAAGGCGTTCACATTCATTCGTTTGTATGTGGATATCCATTTGGTGTATAACATTTGTTGAAAAGACTATTCTGTCCTCCATCCAATTGTCTTATTCCCTTGTAAAATAGCAACTGACCACAAATATGAGGGTTTATTTCTGGACTCTCAATTCTATCTGTATGTCTAACCTCATGGCAATACCACACTGGTTTTATTTTTTATTATTTTTTTAATAGCACCTGCCTACTATTGACCATACTGTCTTGATTACTGTAGCTTTGTAGTAAGTTTTGAAATCAGGCAGAATGGGTCTTCCAACTTTGTTTTTTGTTTGTCTGTTTTTGAGCCAAGGTCTCACTCTGTCACCCAGGCTGGAGTACATGGCGTGAACATGGCTCACTGCAGCCTTGACCTCCCGGGCTCAATTGATCCTCCAACCTCAGCCTTCTGAGTAGCTAGGACTACAGCCCCATGCCACCACAACTGGCTAATTTTTGTATTTTTGTAGAGAAGGGGTTTCACCATGCTGCCCAGGCTGGTCTTGAACTCCTGGGCTCATGCAATCCACCTGCCTTGGCCTCCCAAAATGCTGGTACTACAGGCATGAACCACTGCACCAGGCCTTTTCTTCTTTAATCAGGATGTTTTGGCTATTCTGGGTTCCTTGCATTTCCATATGAATTTTAGGACCAGCTTGTTAATTTCTACAAAATAGCTGGAATTTTGATAGGCATTGTGTTGAATCTGTAGATCAGCTCAGGGATCATATCAACAATGTTGAGTTTTCCACTATTTTCCCACTTATTTAGACCTTTAATTTCCTTCAAGATTGTTTTGTAGTTTTCAACTACAAATCTTGCACTTCTTTTGTTCCTAGGTATCTTACTCTTTTTGATGTCATTATAAGTGGAACTGTTTTCTTAATTTCACTTTCAGATTGTTCATTGCTAGTGTATAGAAATATAATAGATTTTTGTATCTCAGTCTTGTACCCTGCCACATTGCTGAACTCATTGGTTCTTTTTTTTTTTTTTTTTTTTTTTTTTTCAGACAGAGTCTCACTCTATCGCCCAGGCTGGAGAACAGTGGTGCAATCTCAGCTCACTGCAACCTCTGCCTCCTGGGCTCTAGCAATTCTCATGCCTCAGCCTCTCTAGTAGCTGGGATTATAGGCATGTGCCACCATGCAGGGCTAATTTTTGTATTTTTAGTAGAGATGGGGTTCCACCATATTGGCCAGGCTGGTCTTGAACTCCTGACCTCAGGTGATCCGCCTGCCTCCACCTCCCGAAGTGCTGGGATTATAGGTATGAGCCACTGCGTTCAGCCTGAAATCATTTGTTCTAATAATTTGTGTGTGTGTGCGTGTGTGTGTGTTGGTGGATTCCTTAGGATTTTCTAGATATAGAATCATGCAAATGAAGACAGTTTTCCATTTTCTTTTTCTTCCCTAATTGCCGTGACTAGAACTTCCAGTCCACTGTTGAACAGAAGTGGTGACATTGGGAATTCTTGTCTTTTTCCTGATCTTTGGGGGAAAATCTTTCAATCTTTCTTCACTTAACATAATGTTAGCTGTTAGCTGTGGGCTTTTTGTAGATGCCATTTATCAGGTTGAGCCTAGCTCCTCCATTCTACCCTTGCCCCTGGATTGGCAGTCCTCCTCCCCTTTCTGCAGACAGCTGCCCACAGCCGGTCCACGGTCCCTACAGCACCCCACCCTCTCACTCTCCACTGCAGGGTGGGCAGGAGGCAGCACGGGCTGCGGGAAGAGGCTGAATGTAGTCCCAAGAATGCCAACCACTTGTCATTTGACTCCAAACAAATCCCTTTGTGAAACTTGATTTCTTCAATATACAATTGTGGAAAATAATACCTACTTTTCAGAACTGCTGTGAAAAATTTAAAAATAAATTTGGTTGTGTCTGGCACATAGAGGGCATTCAATAAATGTGGGTTGGATGTGAATCTGAGAAGTGTTCATTGAACCTTATCTGAGGCACCTGGAAGTGGCCCTGGCACTGTAGAGGGACCCAAGGTTCATGGTGGATGCGGGCTTTCTCTCCAAGACTGACCATCCAGAAATGGTCCTGTAGCAAAGTAAAGCTGCTTGGAGTGAAATAAACCAGCCAGGAATGAAGATGTTTAATGCTCCAGAGGTTCAGGGAACCTGCAGGCCAGGAATGAAGGGGGAGAACTGCATTTCAGGAGTGTTGGAGTCCAAGAAAAGGAGATTAGACTTCCCTCTATACCCAGCAGGAACCACTGAAGGGTGCTGAGCAGTTATAAGTGGGGTTTGTGAAGTTAGCTCCATGGGGAGTGGAGCAGGGAGGCTGGTTCCACAGACCAGAAATGGTAAAGACCTGCACTAGGATGGGAAGGTAAGGAATGGAGTAGAGAGAACAGATGTGAGAGACACATTCATTCATTCATTCATTCATTCATTCATTCATTCACTCACTCAAGTATTTACTGAGCTCATATCCTGCTTCCCTCATGGAATTTACCATGCACTTCACATAAGTGCATATGAAATTGTAATTATGAGAAGTGCAAGAAAGGAGAGCCATCTGGTGGTGGTGAGCATTTATAAAGGGGCATACCTGAACTAATCTGGGAAAGCAAAAGTGCTTTCTTGAAAAATTGATGATTGAACTGAGACCCGAAGGGTGGGTATTTATCCAGGTAAAGAGGAGATGAAAGGGCAGCCTAGGCAGAGAGCACAGCCTATGCAAAGGCCCAGAGGTGGGATGCAGTGTGGTGAGTCCAAAGCCTGAGGGAAGGCCAGGGCAGCTGGAGTGGATGGAGCATGGTTCAGGGTGAGGCTGGCAGGCCGGGCAGGGCAGAATCAGGGGCACCATAGGCTGCGTCAAGGAGTTTTGTCCTTCCCAAAGAGGAATGAGAAGCTGTGGGAGGCCTTTTAGGGTGGGGGCAGGGGTAACATGTACAAATGCATATTTTGAAAGTTTCACTTTGGCTGTCATAAGTAAAAAGACTAGGATGGAGCATAACTCCAGAGGAAAGGGGGGAAAGAGTTGAAAACAGCCAATAACAAATGTCATCCCCGAGCTCTTATGAAAGACAGACAGTGTTCCCGGGGAACCTGCCAGAGGAAGATGACTTAGAGCTGCAGAGAGGGAATGTGGGGAGTCCATGAAGCAGCAGCAGCAGATTCGAGGCTTTTCCAGACTCCAAAAAAACCAGGAGGCTATAGCTGCCCAGACAGCAAGGGAATAAAAGATGCCTGAGAAGGAGGCTCTCGGTCAAAGGCAGGCATGGGCAGTGGGCCCAGAGAGTGGATGGGGTGGATTCAGGGCCCACCTCTCATTATGCACCCAGTACATGGCACCAGGTGCTGAGACCAGAAGCCTTGGGGTCATCCTTCCCATCCATGTGGGGTCACCCCCCACATCCCAGGTGTCTGCAAACTCATCAACAACCCACAGTGCCTTCCAAATCTGGCCGCTTTCCACCCTCCACCTGGAGTACCACAGTAGCCTCCAATCTGGAAGCTTCCACTCCCCTCCACTCAGCCTGATCTCCACACTGCAGCCAGACTGATCTATTTAAAACCCTCCTGTGGCATCTTGTCACATTTAGAATAAGATCCCTGCCTGGCCTGGCCCCTGGCTGGCTCCCACAGGCATCTCCTGTCCCTGCTCTCAGTCACTCAGTTCCTGCCATGCTGGCCTCTTGCTACCAGCCACAAACCCACCAAACAGACCCCCAGCCCACAGCCTCGGCACTTACTCTCCCTCAGCCTAGAATGCTGTTCCTGGAGAAATCTCCCTGACCTTCCCGGGCCACCATCAGCCCCTCTAGTCTTCTTTTCCCACCATGGTCTGTGGTGCCTACAACTTGTTCACAATTCCCTGCACTCCCTTGGCATTTTTGTGGTATTCACCTGGCAAAGCGCCAGCCCTGGAGAAATCCCACTGACAGCTTTCTCCTTCTCCATGGCTACCCCTGACTGCTGAGCCCCCTGGTGAGAGTCTCCCCACAGTACGAGGGCAGCCCGTGCCCCATCAGTCCCCAGGATCATCCAGGCCCTCTGCACTGCACAGAAACTGCAGGAAACGCCTCCCCACCAGCTTTGCCTCCTCCTCCAGTCTCCGCAGGCCTGTGGCTCCCTCACACCCCTCCTGTCTCTTTCCTGTTGTTTTAAAGAAAAATAAAAGTGAGAAATCTCTCAAAATGTCCCAGCCTCGGGTCAAACCACAGACCTTTCCTCCTGACCCCTTCTCAGTTGAGGGCTTTTCCTCTGGTTAAGCCAGTTCCCGCTCCTGCACAGGATCCCTCCTGACTTCTCAGGAAGTCTTTGCCATCCCTGCCCTTTCTTGTGCCTAACATTTCCCCCTTCCCTCGGCTGAGGCTGGACCAGTCCAGTTTATCACATCACCCACCAAAAATGAGCTCCACCTGCTGCCTTGTTCTCCCTTTCCCTTTGTGACCACACACACACACACACACACTTGCGCACACACATACACACATGCACACACATACACACACGTGCACACACACACACATACACGCAACACATGGTCCCCATTTCATCACGTCCGCCTCACTCATCAGCCCCTCCGTTGTGGCTTCTGCCCCATCCCTCTGCTGAAGTAGTTCTTTGTAAAGTCATGGATGATGAACACAAGGTCACTAAACCCAGGCCACATTTTCATTTTCCTTGAGCTGGACCCCTGAGCTGTGGTCACCAGCTGGCCGCTGCCTGCTTTCATCATAACTGTGACTACTCCTCCTTCGGTTGCCTCAGGCTTGCCCTTGGGGTCCTTCCCTTCTCAGCCATGGTGTCTCCCTGAGTGGTTCCTTCCACACCCTGGCATCAGTGCCATCCTCTTCGGTCAGATTCAAGCCACTTCTGAGCTCCAGGCCCACAGGTCAACTGGCCCCCGACATAGCCGCCTGATCTGGGTCTCCTCTTGCTCACCTCCAGTCAGTTCCGTATTTGCCACCAAGGCAATCTTCATAAAATGCAAAGCCGGTCATGTCGCCGTAATGAAAAGCCATCCCAGGGAGACAGGCCAAAAGCCCTAGCGTCGCCTACAGCCCCTCATGCTCTCCATCCAGCAGCACCTCGGCTTTCCCTCCCTGGGTTGCTAACACCAGCCCATACTCCTTCTTTTGTTTCCCCTAATACACTGTATTACCCTCCTCGGGGCCTTTGCACATGCTGTGCCCCCTTCATGGAGCTAAAGCCTATGATACAGTTTGCATCTGTGTCCCTGCCCAAATCTCGTGTCAAATGGTAATCCCTGATGTTGGAGGTGAGGCCTCGTGGGAGGTGATTGGATCACAGGGTCAGATCTAGTGATAGTGAGTTCTCATGAGACTGGTCATTTAAAAGTGTGTAGCACCCTCCAACCCCCACTCCCCTGCCTCTTCCTCCTGCTCTGGCCATGTGAAGTGCTGGCTCCCTCTTCACCTTCCGCCATGATTGTAAGTTTCCTGAGGCCTCTCCAGAAGCCGAGCAGATGCCAGCATCATGCTTCCTGTACAGCCTGTGGAACTTCGAACCAACCAAACCTCCTTTCTTCATAAATTACCCAGTCTTAGGTGTTTCTTTATAGCAGTGCAAGATCAGACTAATACAGTCTACACATCTTTCTCAGCTCAAACAGCACTTCCAAGTGCGCCTTCCTCCACACACCCATGGCTCCCTCCTCCCCTACCCTGCATCAAGGCCCCAACCACCTACTTTCCCGGCTCTCCATTCTCATCCCCATGGTACTCATGCAGCTTGTGACTGTATAAGCAGCCACCTCATTTGTCTTGCTCACTGCTGCTGCTCTAGTGCAGGTGTTGGCCAACAGCAGTCCAGGGGCTAAATCCAGTCCCCCACCTAATTTTTGTAAGTAAAATTTTGTTGGGACGCTCACTTGTTTACACATTTGTTGTTGTTGTTGTTGAGACGGAGTCTCGCTGTCTGCCAGGCTGGAGTACAGTGGCATGATCTTGGCTCACTGCAACCTCTGTCTCCCGGGTTCAAGCGATTCTCCTGCCTCGGTCTCCCAAGTAGCTGGGATTACAGTTGCCCACCACCACGCCCAGCTAATTTGCTGTAGTTTTGTACAGAAGGGGTTTCACCATGTTGGCCAGGCTGGTCTCGAACTCCTGACCTCAGGTAATCTGCCCACATTCAATAAATATGTGGGTCTGTAAATGATCAAGCAGGAAAGACTTGAGATTGGGTCACATTATGTCATTTCACAGAAGACACTGAATTCTGTGGGGAAGTGGCCTTCCTAGGGTTCCCCCGTGCAGTACAGGCTGGCTCTGGGCCCGGGGCTCTTTCCACAAACCATGTTAAGACTCAGTCGTCATCAGGCTGTATCCAGGGGCACCCACTCAAGCATAGATTGGGAAGGAACCAAGGCCTGGTGTGAGAGTGTGTGTGTGTGTGTGTGTGTGTGTGTGTGTGTGTGTACAGTGAGACCCCAAAGCTGGCATGGGAGGTAGGGGCATTGCGCACAGCTTTGGGAACTGCCCACCCTTCCTCTCCTCTTGCAGCAGGCCTAGGACTATAGAGAGTCAGACATACCCCCTTATGAACCATTTCACCTCATGTGGTTTCTTTCACCTCTCTGAGTGTCAGACTTCTAAACTATTGGAATGCAGCTTTTATTCCTAAACCCTCGAGTTGAGGCTGGGATTAAATGAGACGTTGCATGGGTGGAGACCACATGTCCTTCCCACAGCCCACGTCTACCCAGCATGTAGAGAACCACTGCTTATTTTTCCCAGGCTGCCCTTGGGTTGCATTTCCATTTTCCCTGGGAGACATGCCAGTAGCTGAGAGACCAAGATTCCCTCGGCTGTCTCTCCTTCTGATGTGACCCCCTATCACCTGGCTCTGCTGTCCCTTCTAGAGTCAGAGAAAAAAAAATGTAGAAAGAAGGAAAACAGCAGGAGCCCTTTCATACCCCACATGCCACCCCCAAGACTCCTGGAGGCCCGGAGAAGTGAAGCCAGTTGTCCAGGGTCGCACAGGCATTTGGTGGAGGAAGAATCTAAATCCCTGGACCCCCAGTCCAGTGCTTCCTTCCACAGCCCAGCAGCCTCCTCCGCCTCCAGGACTATTTCCCCCACTCTAGGAGGCAGGGCTCCCATGGCTGTGGAGGAATGGCGGTGAGAACGGTGTGAGGGAGAGCCAAATTATCGGGAACTCACAGCTGCCTCGCCTCCCGCATGGCTGGGAGCTGCAGTCCCTGGGAGAGCAGCCAGCTGGAAGACTCAAGGACGATAAATGGATCTGGGTGCCAGGGCTCCCAGGACAGAGTGAACTCCTCTGTCTGGTCAGAATCACCCGAGCAGGAAAGCATGAAATGGCACCATTAGGTGAAGGCTGCAGCTGTCCGGGGAGGGAGGCTGGGGGTGTGGAGAGATGCCTGCTCCCAGCCTGCTGGGCCACAGGTCAAGGTCTGAAGAGGAAGGGGCCTGGGAGGCCCCAACAAGGGAGAAGACACACAAGGGAAGGGACTGAGGAAGGGTCTCTCAGGCTTGGCCTGCATCAAGCCCCCCTGGGGAGTTTGTTAAAATGTAGACCCTCTGCCATCGCACCTGTCTCCCAGAGCCTAACTCAGAAAACTCAGTGGACTGGAATGTGCCCAGGGATCTGCATGGTAACAAGCACCCCCATTTCCTCTCATGCAGGTGATCTGGGCACCACACTTTGAAAAAATGAGGTTCTAAGTAATTCAGAAATTCTTGCCAGAGAGGTCAAAGTCCAAGCCCAGTTGCTGGAAGTAAAATAAGCCTCAGAGGCACTGCGGACCTGGAGGGCATCAAGGCAGGGCAGGCAGGAGGACATTGGTGGCAACAACAGGTTCAATCACCATAACTCTGTTTGGTGAGCACACAGATGTTCTCATCTAACCCACCTGGGAGGAGGGCACAATTACCAGCATCATTTCAAAGACAAGGCAAATTCTGCTCAGACAGGTCGTAAGTGACCTGCCCAAGGTCACACAGTTGATCAGAATAAAGAACCGGGTCTAAATTTGACTGAGGCCAGGTCTCCTGCTCAGGAGCAAGGTAGGGGGCCCAGTCCTCAGGGAAAGCTCAGGAAGGGGGAGTCTCCAATAGTGGGAAATGATGCTGGAGAAGCAGGGGTGGACCAGAAGCAAGGTCACTAAACAGAATCCACGCAGGAATTCCCTTCTCTCCCTGGTCCACTGGCCACTGTCCTTCTGTCTGCCCAGGATGGCCACTTGGCCCCTGTGACAGTGTCAGTCCCAAGCACTCAGGCCTCTGCAAGTGGCCCCAAGGCTGGGAGCAATGGGTCCAGGAGGAACCATGCTTGGCATGCATATCCCAGCACAGACCCTAGAACATGCCTGGGTCTCGGAGTGCTAGTTAACTGCCTCTGGCCCCCTTTGCTGGGGAGAACAGCCACATTTGGCCTGGGTTGGGTGAGGAGTTGGGGAGCAGGTGACAACCTGGTTGGCTTATCCTTTATCTTATCCTTTTCTTTCTATCATGTAGAGAGCTGTCAGGGCAGAAAGCAGGACTTCAGGTGAGTATCAAAAAGAATGCTCTCAACAGAGAGCCTAGGGATACACCAGGATGGGGAGTGCAGGGGGAAGGGGCCACCATCTCTCCCCCTATTATGAGCCCTCTTATAACAAGCAGAAACAGCATGTCTAGAGGCTCTCTCTTTCCTTAACTCCAAATGCCCAGATGTGCTCAGAGCTCAGCCACAGTTCTTGTACCTAAACTAAAGAGAGACTTGATTGACAATCAAGTTGAGTAGGAGGGAAGGGGAGCTAGGCTGGAGGAGGAAGGTGGGGTGAGACGACCTCACACACTCACCCTCACACTCTCAGTAGTTCTGGGATGTTCTGCTTTGAGGGTCTTTACTCTGCCCATGGTCAGCCCACGTGGGAGAATCACAGAAGACCCAGATGCCCTGGAGCTTTGCTCTGTGTGGGTGAACAGGGAATGATCTCCAAGGGAGATAGTGGAAGAATCAGTGTGCAGGGGAGTGAGCATGATACCTGTGTAAAAGGGTGGGGGAGAAGCATATGTATGCTTGTATGCTTCTATATTCACAGCACGGCTCTGGAAAAGTGCATAAGGAATCGATGACATTAGCTGTAGTTGCTTCTGGGGAGCAGAGTTGGGAAAGCAGGAGCTGGAAAATATTTCACTGGGTATCTTTCTGTATCTTTAAAATTTTGAAGCCCATGAAAATCTGCCTGTCTCTTCCACCCTCTGGTACTTCAGAACCCTGGAGCTGGATCCTCAGCCTTGAGAAGGAGAAAACAAATGAGGGGGGTTTGTGTGTTTTTAAATTTATTTAATTTTATTTTATTTTTTACAGACAGCGTCTCACTCCCTTGCTGAGGCTGGAATACAGAGGCGTGATCATAGCTCACTGCAGCCTTCAAACTCCTGGGCCCAAGCAATCCTCCCACCTCAGCCTCCCAAGGAGCTAGGACCACACACATGCATCACCATGCCTGGCTAGTTTTAAAATTTTTTGTAGAGACAGGGTACCACTATGTTGCTCAGGCTGGTCTTGAACTCCTGGCCTCATGCGATCTTGCCGCCTTGACCTCCCAAAGTGCTGGGATTATAGGCATGAGCCACTGCACCCGGCCAAAAGAGAGAACAAATGAGTGGGTTTGTGTAGCTCACCCGGAAATCGCCTGACCTGCTCCAGGTGGGAGGCATGCTGCAGGGAGAATGCCACCAGGACCTGCCCCCCTCACCCTCAGAGGACACCTGGACTCTCACTTTGCCTCTTCTTCCCTACAAAAAGTCGGGAGACTAGAAGCCCTGTTGTCTCCTCTAGCAGGCTTCTGGGATTCCCTTGGTGTGCCCCCAAATGAGACTGCCTCCAAAATGGGATCCTGATGCCACATCAAAGATGAGTAAGTTCGATCCTCACCCTCACCAAAAGCATATGTGTGTGTGTGTGCGCACATGTACACACACTCACCATCAATTGCCACCCCAAATCAATTAAATATGATCTGGGGACTAGGCACTTCTGTGGATTATCCCACTCAGTACTGGCCTCGATTAATGCAGATAATGGAGAGCTGACTGGATACAGCTTACAGTATTTAATCTTTCCCGGCATTGTATTTGCAGAAGCCAAAGTAATGAGATGGAAATAGGTTAACCAGCAAGACACCTGTCGCCGAAGCTCGTAGGCTAAAAAGATCAATACTTAAGGAGAAATGTTTGTCTTTATGTTTTGCACCAGTGCTTCAGTCCAACATTTGGTCCTGGGAGGCTGAGGATAAAGTGTTAATGAATTAATTTTCTAGCTCATTCTGAAAATAAATTACCCATTTCTTTGAGTTCCTTGTGTACCGAGGTCTGATGAGCCTTCTTGGTCAGTCCACGCACACCTCCACTTTGGAGCAAGGTTGTCATTCTGCACACATAGAAGCAGAGTCTGTTCTTGACTGGCCCTGGGGAAGCTAACAACTCCCAGGTTCCTGAGAGTTGGAACGTCCTTCTAGTGTCTAACTTCAATCTCTCCTGCTGCGGCAACACTCATTTTCCTTCTCTTGCATCTATGCTGAGATCAGCAATCCCAGGCCACCTGATGGGCACCTCAGAATCCAATGGCTGAGGATTGAGCCCTTCCTGCATCAATCTTGGGCTGGCCTGTTAGCCTCCCTGCGCTTGTGCAGCTGTGTGTGAGGGTTAAGCATCCCTGCCCTCCCTGCCTTAAGGACTGCTTCCATGATCAAAGGTGAAGTTTCCTGAGTAAGGCTCTGCAAATCTGCAGCACCTCACGCCTGCCTCGGATTATTTCTCTCTGAACCTAGACCCCAGGCATGGATACCCTTAAATCACAGACAAATATTAATAAAACCCAGCCTGTGAGGGCTGAAGGACTCTTACAGACAATGCAGTCCACAGCCTCTTTTCGAAAACAAAGAAATCGAGGCCCCAAAGGGAGGTGGCTTACCTCCATCACACAAACAACACCACTAAATGGTGGCAGAACTGCCTGAGTTGTCAATTCCTGGATTCCAGGCCTTTGTAGCTCCTCAGGCCACCCCACCAAGCCCTGGCTCCATTTGATCCTTGGCTAACGCTTGTAGGGTGTAGGGGTAGCGGTGGTGAGGGGGCAGAGGGATGCCCTGGCCAGGCAGGCCCCTCAGCACACCCTCCGCTCTGCCACCCCAGCCAGGATCAACTTGAAACAGCACAGAGGAGCCCGCCATCCCCGTGGGAGAGAAGCTGGAGTCCAGGCTCCCTGGAGAGGGAGTTAATACTGCAGCACGGCGCACTCTAGCCAAGGCGGAGAAGCTGCTGAGTCACAGTCCAGCTGCCTGGCCAGCCCTGAGCTGCCTGCTGGGGCCCCCAGCTGCTCTCAGCCCAGGGGGCTGCCTCTGGCCCCCAGACAGGCTGCCTTCCCACCTCCTTCTCCAGAGACTCAGCATCTTGGGCCTCCAGGGTTCCCCACTCCCCAGCACCCCACAACATCTCCCAAACCCACAGGCAGCTGTCCTGGGGCGGAGGAGAGGGTCTTCCATTGGTTGAGTGTCAAGATGCTTGGGAGCACGCCAGGAAGGGTGGGGGACCCCGAATGAGTGATTGAGTGGGGACAGATGGAGGCTTGGGGACCAGTGGGCCCTGGGCTGCCTGGTGTAGGATACGGAAAGTGTGTGTGTGTGGGGGTGCACCCGTGGGCCCCAGGAGGTCTGTTGTGCGCATGCTCTGAGTGTGAGGGAGGACGGGTAGGACCGTGGGGGTCTGCCCTGGTCGTGCTCCCAAGAGAGGCACTGCTTTCTGCAGAGCGCGTGGGCAACTGTCAGCTGGGGAAGCGCTCACCAGGGGAAAGGGGAGCTCTCTGTGGCTTAGCAGTGATTAACCCACATAATCAATGGATCCTCCAGCCACAGTGTGAGCAGCTCTGCCTCATGTGAGGCACACAGCACCTTCCAGCACAGTCCCGATATCTTTCATGCCAGATGCACATCTTCAATTTCAGCTACAAACCATTACAAATTGATGCATTTTCTTTCTGACTAAATGTTACAAGGTTTGAACATACTATCTCTGCCGATCACCGCCCCTCTAAGGGATGGGTTTAGAGGTTTGGCATGAAAGCAAAAGCCTTTTAATAGGAGTGCGTGAGTGTGGTGGTGTGTGTGTGATGTGAGTGTGCATATGTGGTGTGTGTACGTGTGTGGTGGGTAGGGGTATACGTGGTGGTGTGTGTGTGTAGGATGTGTGTGCTGTATGTGTAGTGTGTAATGTGGGCTCTAGGGTGTGGGGGACAGTGGGGTGTGTGTATATGGTGTGTGTGTGTGATGTAGGGGGTGGTGTGGGTTTAGGGGTGGAGGCTCTAGTGGGGTGTCAGGGGGTATGTGGGTAGTGGTGGGTAGTGGCATATGTGTGGTGTGTACATATGTGTGGTATGGGGGTATAGTGAGTTTGTGTGGGATGTGTGTGTCAGTGCATCTGTGGTGTGTGTAATATGTGTATGTGTTGTGTGTTGTGTGTAGTGAGGTATGTGTGCAGTGTGTAGTAGGGTGTGTGTGGTGTGTGTGTGGTGTGTGTTGTGTGGTGCATGTAGTGTGTAGTAGGGTGTGTATGTGTGGTGTGTGCATGTGGTGTGTGTGGTGTGTAGTAAGGTGTGTACGGTGTGTCTGTGTGGTGTGTAGTAGAGTGTGGATGTGTGTGTGGTGTGTGTGGTGTTTAGTAGTATGTGGGGTGTGTAGTGGGGTGTGTGTGTGATGTGTGTGTGGTATCTGTGTGGTGTGTGTGGTGTCACAGGGTGTGTGTGTGGTGTGTATGACATGTAGCACAGTGTGTGTGGTGTGTAGTAGGATGTGTGTGGTGTGTGTGTGTGTGCATGTGGTGTGTAGGGTGTGTGTGTGGTGTGTGTGCTGTGTGTGGTGTGTAGTAGGGTGTGTGTGTGGTGTGTAGTAGGGTATGTGTGGTGTGTAGTAGTGTGTGTGGTGTGTGGTGTGTGTGGCATGTAGTAGGGTGTGTGGTGTGTGTCTGTGTGGTGTGTGGTGTGTGTCTTTGTGGTATGTGTGGTTTGTAGTAGGCTGTGTGTGGTGTGTGTGGTGTGTAGTAGGGTGTGTGGTTTGTGCGTGGTGTGTAGTGGGGTGTGTGTGGTGTGTAGTAGGGTGTGTGTGTGGTTTGTGTGTGGTACGTGTGTGTGGTGTATGTGGCGTGTAGTAGGGTGTGTGGTTTGTCTGTGTGGTGTGTGTGTGGTGTGTATGGCATGTAGCATGGTGTGTGTGTGTGGAGTCTGGTGTGTAGTAGGGTGTGTGTGTGGTGTGTGTGTGATGTGTGCCTGTGTGGTATGTGGCATGTAGTAGGGTGTGTGGTGTGTGTCTGTGTGGTGTGTGTCTGTGTGGTGTGTGTGGTGTCTGTGTGTGCCATGTGTGGTATGTGTAGTGTGGTGTGTGTCTTTGTGGTGTGGCATGTAGTAGGTTGTGTGTGTGGTGTCTAGTAGGGTGTGTGGTGTGTAGTAGGGTGTGTGTGTGGTTTGTGTGTGGTGTGTGTGTGTGGCGTCTAACAGGGTGTGTGGTGTGTGTCTGTGTGGCGTGTGTGGCGTGTAGTAGGGTGTGTGTGATGTTTGTGGTGTGTGGTGTGTGTGGTGTGTGTGGCGTGTAGTAGGGTGTGTGATGTTTGTGGTGTGTGGTGTGTGTGGTGTGTGTGGCGTTTAGTAGGGTGTGTGTGGTGTGTGTGTGGTGTCTAGTAGGGTGTGTGGTGTGTAGTAGGGTGTGTGTGTGGTTTGTGTGTGGTATGTGTGTGTGTTGTGTGTGGCCTGTAATAGGGTGTGTGGTGTGTGTCTGTGTGGTGTGTGTGGCGTGTAGTAGGGTGTGTGTGTGATGTGTGTGGTGTGTGTGTGGCGTGTAGTAGGGTGTGTGTGTGGTGTGTGTGGCGTGTAGTAGGGTGTTTGTGTGATGTGTGTGGTGTGTGTGGCGTGTAGTAGGGTGTGTGTGTGGTGTGTGTGGTGTGTGTGGCATGTAGTAGGGTGTGTGTGTGATGTGTGTGGTGTGTGTGTGGCGTGTAGTAGGGTGTGTGTGTGGTGTGTGTGGTGTGTGTGGCGTGTAGTAGGGTGTGTGTGTGATGTGTGTGGTGTGTGTGTGGCATGTAGTAGGGTGTGTGTGTGGTGTGTGTCTGTGTGGTGTGTGTGGCATGTAGTAGGGTGTGTGATGTTTGTGGTGTGTGGTATGTGTGTGGTGTGTGTCTGTGTGGTGTGTGTGGTGTGTAGTAGGGTGTGTGTGTGGCGTGGACTGGGGGTGTAAGGGGAGGGGGTGTTGCCAGTGTGCGGGGAGGGGGAAGGGAGCAGGGGCAGGAGCCCGGGCTGGGTGGCAGGTGCCCCCGCTCAAGCTGCGGGAGAGTAGCTGGAGAGACCGCAGCCTCCTCCCCAGCCTGGAGGCCCGGCTCCTCCCTTCCTGTGGCCCGGCGAGGAGACCTAGTGGTGCCCCCTGCTGTCCGTCCAGGAGCCTGCCGCCTGCCTCCAGCCCCATCTCCACCCAAGCCAGGCCCATGCCCTCCGCACACAGCCGCACCCCCGCCAGGCTCACTGCCTCCCAGGCCCCCAGTCAACGCTCACACCCTGGAAAGGAGGAGGTGGGCAACCGGTGGGAGGCCGGAGGCAGAAGGAGGCTCCATCAACCCAGTAATGGAGCAGAACATCAGCACTGTGGCATCTGCTAGCCGGCAGCACCGGGGTGGGGGTCCTGTCTCCATCTCTCAGGCCCAGCTGAAATGGGTGACAGCAGCCAGTGCAGGGACGTGGCAGAGAATGCCAGAAAGGCTGTGTATGTGTATGTGGGTGCACGTGAGCGCCATGTGTATGAACACCACGTATGAATGTATAAACATGCATGAACCGGCACTGTGAACATGCATACAAACATTGCGTGCAGGTGCATTACACTGCCACATGTAGAAATGTGAGAAGCCCCAGGGAAGGGAGGGCTGGGGGTCTGGGGCCACAGGACTTGTCCCGGAAGCTGGGGTGATAGCTACAGGCCCTGTACTTGGGTAATGGGAGGGGGTGGACTACGGTGCAGGTCACCTTACAGCCTCGGGGTTGGAAGAGACCACAGGGTCACCAGCCCCCACCCTCCCTCTGCAGCGGCAACTCTTGCCAGACCCTCTGTCTCCAAAGGTGGCAAGAGGTCTGGGACCTGAAAGAGGCATCAGGAGACCTGGTTTCTCTCCACTTCTTTCCATCCTTTGGAAAGTGGCTTTGCATCTCCCAAGATAGCCTCTCAGCTTTCATTTTTTTTTTTTTTTTTGAGACAGGGTCTCACTCTGTCACCCAGGCTGGAGAGCAGTGGCGCAATCACAGCTCACTGCAGCCTCGACCCCCACGAGTAGCTGGGACTACAGGCGCACCACCATGCCCGGCTCTTTTTTGTAGAGAAGGTGTCTCGCTATGTTGCCCAGGATGGTCTCAAACTCCTGGGCTCAAGCAATTCACCTGCCTCAGCCTCCCAAAGGGCTGAGATTACAGGCCTGAGCCACCGCATGCGGCCTAGATAGCCTCTCAGCTTTTAGAACCGAGCCTTCCGAGATGCTTGGAGAGTTCTACCTCTGAAGGCGAGCGGGCACAAAGAGTAGTGGGGTCATGAGAGAACTTGGGCTTTAGAACAGCCAGGGCTGCTTTCCAACCTGACACTTAGCAGCTCTGCAGCCCTGGGAGATGAGTTCATTTCCCTGGGATCATTTCTTAGCTACAAACCGAGGATCAGGTGCCTGTCTCACAGGGATGTTATGAGGATTGAAGAGGCCACATGTGCTGGCACAAAGTGGTCCCTAAATAAATACTCATTTCCTTTCCTCAGTTCTCCTCTCAGCGGGGCTAGGCCGAGTCCATGCTGACCATGGACTCAAGGACGGACCTTGTGTTACCCACAACGAGGGGTGCAGTGCTCGCCAAGTCAGGGACTCTGAGCCAGCCCAGGCTCTGTCCAGGAGGGCAAGGGTTGCTGCAGAGGTTGTGCGGCTGGGGAGCCTGAGGCCCAGAATTCTCTTCCCTGGCTCTGTGTGTTCCTCTTGCAGAGACTGCGTCACTTCTTCCTGGTGTCAAAGGTACTTGTATAAGCAGCTCAGCTCCTGGAGGATCACTAAGGCTGTGAGGTGGGAACGTGTCTTGTTCACGACTGCATTTCCTGCCAGCTCCCAGAGGAGCAGCCTGATTGCTGAGCCTGGTAGCAGGCAATGGAGGAGGTGGGGGATCTCAGCAGGCACTGCCCCCCCAACTCTGGCAACCTCTGTCCCATCAAGCTCCCTGCTAAAGGAGAGAAGAGAAACCCCAAAGCCGAAAGAGGCACCCTGTCTAGTTCAGACCCTGACACCCAGGGCCTGAGTGGTCATGGGTGGGGTGTGGACGGGCAGGCGCACTGCCTTGCGGTGCTCCACTATAGGTAGGCAGGCCCGTGGCTCCCCATGGGGAAAGAAGGTCCAGTGCAGCTCAGGTTCTCTGGAGAGTCATGCGCGAAGGAAGGGCATGAAGACCACTTCCCCAGTTAATGAGGGTTTGGCCAGGAGTTGTCTGCCTTACCCAACCTTGAAAATAACCCCTAGCATGTTTAATTGCTTAAAAATCCACTCTTTCCTCTGATCTTCACTTTCGTTTTCTCCAAATCCTATGTCAGGCTCCGTGCTAAGTGCTGGGAATACAAGAAGAATAAAACCCAACCCCATCCTGAAGCAGCTCACGGGGAGACAACAGAGCTCAGGCCTTTGGGAGGTGCAGCAGATGTGGTTCTGCCCCTTGACAGAGGAGACAGCTAAGGCTCAGAGATCAGCTTGCCCAAGGCCTCCCGGTGCACTTGAACCCTGACTTCCTAGCACTCAGCCCAGGGCTCTTTCCTTCCCAACAAACAGCCCCAGGGAGCTCCTGAAGCACACTGGGAAGGTGGGTCTAACGGGAAGACCACAAAGGCACCGGGCTCAGAGGTGGGTGCCGGGGGCAGGGAGGGAGACCTCCACTGTGCCCACTCCGTTCCAGCGGTGTATTTCATTTCATCCGGGCCCTGTGAGGTGGGGACTGTGATTCCCATTTTGTAATTGAGGAAACTGGGCCTCAGGCGGAGCGAAACAGGTCGCTCGCTCACAGCACCCTTTCCCAGAGGACGGAAACAGCTGTACTCCCAGGCAGCAGAGTAGCTCGCTTTGGGCCACACCGGGACCTGGGAGAGGTCATGAGACGTCTGGAGAGCCCAGCCTGCTCTCAGTGGGAGCTGGGAGCCAGCCAAGGAAGGTGCAGTCTGGTCCTCCCGTTTCCAAGAGCGCCTCCGTCCTTCCAGATGCTGGCCAGGCGCCAGGGACAGAGATGTACCCATCACTCTTCAGACAGAGATGCCCATTATCACCAACACCTATGACAGCTCGTGGTCTCCAGAAACTAAAGTGGAGCATGCAAGTCCCGGGGGCACAATTAGGTGCTCCAAAGAAGCCAGCTCTCTCCTGCCTGACCGGGAGCCGGGACAGACATGGGAGGTAGGGGCCAGGAGGGATGAACCATGGCCTCAAAACACCCATGGGCTGGAGGAGGGGAGCAATGAGGGGGAGAATTCCAAATTGGAAAGCCTCAACTTGGAATTCTATGTGGATCCAAACCTAGAAGACAGCTCTGCTGAGGAAGAGGAGCCAAGTGAAACACCAGGTGCAGCCAAGTGGGGTGAATTAGCACCTGGGCTCTGGACAGACTGACCTGGACTGGAGTCTCAGCTCTGTCACTTTTAGCCATGGGAACTTGAGCAGGTTGCTTAACCTCTCTTGGCCTCAGCACTCCATCTGCATAATGGGAATGATAATGGAAGCTGCTGCGCAGTGCTGCGAGGCTTAGGAGCACTGTATGTAAAGCATGGCATTATGTCCATGGCTGGTTCCTGAGCCAGGCTGGGCACAGGCCTGTCAGAAGCACACGGGGATGGCTCCAGTGGAGAGGTGGGGCAGCCTCTCTGCTAACCCCCTATTAAGGGCCAGATTAAGCCACCCCTTTTTAAAATTTCCTGGGATAATTCAGGCCTCTCTTAATCAATGGTCCTCCTTCTACCCATGCCTTTAGCTCCAGCCCAGACGGCCTTCTTGATGCCCACCTCTGGGCCAAGTCCTCTCTTCTGAGCCACTGCACTATCCCTGGCTTCTTTCCTGCCCCTGTGTCCAGATCCTGCCAAGCCTTTCCCCGTCCTCCAGCCCACCTTCCCCAATACTCAGGCCTCTCAGCAGCCATGGCTTCTCCAACCGTGGCTGCTAAGTCTCTATTTTGGTTGCTCTAATTTTCAAGTTCTCATTTGTGGGTATCTGACCACATCCTCCTCTCAGAAGTCAGCAGAGTCTAGCTGTTCTTCCTCTAGCTGCCACTCCCATCCTATAGATGACAACACTGGGATGTGAAGAGGTGAGGTTGCCCAGACTCCCAAAGGATGTCCCAGGCAAAACCTATCCCTAGTGTGGTGGCTCATGCCTGTAATCCCAGCACTTTGGGAGGTTGAGGCCAGCCTGGACAGCACAGTGAAACCCCATCTCTACAAAAAATTTTAAAATTAGCCAGGCATGGTAGTGCATGCCTGTCGTCCCAGCTACTCAGGAGGCTAAGGTGGGAGAATCACTGGAGCCCAGGAGTTTGACATTAGGTGAGACCTAGCCATGCCAGCAGACCAGCCAAGCGGCCATACCCAGCAGGCAGCTTGGAGGGGAGGGGCAGGTGTGTTGCTCAGAAGTGACTCTGGAAGTCACTAGCACAAAAGAATAATCCGCTGGGGAGAGTGTGGGCATAAGAAGAAATCCAGAGATGGGCTTCTAGAAATATCAGCATTTGGAGGATTTGTAGAGAAAGAGGAAAGCCAGGGAGATTGAGGAATGACCAGGAATCGGAGGAAAGCTCTGAAGAACAGAAAATGACTCCATGGCAATAGAGCGGTTACACCGGAGGGGCAGGCAGGGGCTGGGAGGGGACAGGGATCCTTCTGGGGAATTTCTTTGGTGATTATACTGGTGCATATATCCATAAGTTGTGCACTTTGCTGAATCTAAGTTATAACTTCATCAAAAAGAAAAACGAATGTGCAGAGCAGAAAGAGCTAGGGGTGGACCCCTGGCTCCCACACACTCTGGCTTGACCAGGTGCTGGAGGACACCATGGGTAGAGAGAGCATAGACCCTAATAGAGCGCCGTGCATCCCATCGCCAACCGGCTTTCCCATGATGCACAGGCGCTTCTGCTGAGAACCACAGGGCAAAGGCACCTAGAACCAGGGAGCCACTGAGGAAAGGCTTCCTGGAAAAGCAGCAGGGAGCCAAGGTTTAGGAGGAGATGGGGTGGGCTTGGAAGAGGCTGGCCAGTTTCCAGACAAGAGACGTCCACCTGGGTGGGTGTCTGGCAACCACAGACCATGATGGGACCCCTCACAGCCACCACCCTGGAAAGCGCAGCGATGACAGCTGACTTGGGAAGGTGATGACACGGCAGAACACACCCCGGCTCCAGAGACGCCATCATCTGGGACCCTCTCCACAGAGCCTGACTTAGGGCAGGAGAGCCTCCCTGGTCCAGGACACCAGAGGCCTCAAGGTTTTCCCTCACAGGAGCCTCTTTCCACACCCCCGGCCCCAGCAAACATTTGAGAATGGGCCGTTGCCCTGCCTAGCAGTACACAGGGCTCTGGCCTCCCTGCTCTGGGCCAGAGGAGAGGGGAAATGGAAGTGGGCAGAGGACTGTCCCTTCATATGACCACTGGTGACAAACACTGTGTCCTGCAGAGCACGGCCCAGGATGAAGCACCTCCACCCACACACATGGCATTCGGCAGCTGCAGGGCCCAGCCCTGCACCATTTCTGAAGGTCCACACATAGCACATATCACAGCTGAGGAAACTGACAGCCAGAGAGAGGAAGGGACTTGTCCGAAGTGACAGAGTAAGAAGCCTGCCTTACTGTGCTCTTCCAAGCTGGCTTGGAATCCAGTGCTCTTCCAAGTGCTCTTCCAAGCTTGGAATCCAGTGCTCTTCCAAATCATCCAGTGCTCTTCCAAACTGGCAAAATCCTGAGCCTCCGAGAGGCTTACTGAGCTCCCTGCCTACCAAAGCCAGCATGGGTGAGCATCTGTGGCTCTCTGGAACCGCAGGGAGTTCCAGTCACCCTGCTGATGACCCCTGCTTGGAGCTATAACTATAAGTGGAATACCTGGGGTGGCTCCTATTAGACCCTGACTCCCTGGAGCTGGCAACAGAGAACCAGCATGTAACGGTCCCCACAGACGGAGCTAGCCTGCATCAGGGTTTCTAATGTTCTGCTGCAGGTTCACTTCGCACTTGAGAAGGAGGAACGACTTCAGTTTTTTTCTAGCAGCTTCTTGGCTCTTCCCAGTGGCCCCTCCCCCAAGCAAAGTCCCCTGAGAGGAAAAAATCACACCACATCTTTGTGGATCAGTGGTGCCTCTGCCCCCACCCAAGACACCGGGCATGTTTCCTCATGAAGAGTGACTTGCGGCTCCTTCGCAGCACTGAGGGCTGGAGCCAGAAGAAGGATGAACCCACTGCGGGGGTCTTCTCTCTTCATGTTGGAAAACAGATTTAGGCTCAAAATGAAGGAGGGTTTTTGCACAGTCAGCACCACCCATTGATGAGTTCGTGGTCCCAGGAGGTAATGAGTGCTCCATCATCGGGAGCATTCAAGCTGAGGTTAGCCCACTATTGGGAGGGATATTATAGACAGGACTCAGGTAAGGGGACACAGCATTGACCTAGATGAAATTTGAGGTCCCCCTTCCAACCCTGAGAGCCTCTAAATCTCTGACATCTCCATCCCAGCCCTTGCTGCCAATTGGCCTCATTTGCCTGGCCCTGCTGGTTTGCCAGGCAGTTTGTCCTCAGAGAGAAGTAGCTGCCAATTATGTGGGGACCACAAGAGTTTCCTTTATGACATCACCACTCTGCAGGAAGGGGCTGAGGTGGGGTAAGAGAGGAGAAACAAGACAGAAGGTGGTACCAGAGAAGGAGTCAGCTCCCCAGGGCCTGGAATCTGCAGTGTTGCCACCACTAGGTAATTTGTGGGGCACACTGCTGTGGGGGTCTCAGGAAGCCAAGTCTGGGCCCAGAAGGGAAATAGCCCAGTTCTGGCCTCCTGACTGGGGTGGGGGACTGTCAAGGGAAAAATAAGCCCAGGCTAGCTCTCTGAGGCTCATTAGAGAAAAAGGTAAATGTCGAAGACATGTCATGGCAGGCAGCTCATTAAGCCCACGGAGCTTAAAAATAGTGAGACACACAGATATTGGGGGATGGGGAGCTGGGGATGAGACGCCGGCTCATCACACTGCAGGGAAGAACAGCAAACCTGGGAGAAAGTGACTCTATAACCAGTGGAAGAAAGGCTGTGTAGCCATCACCGGATCTCTGGGTAAGCTTGGCGCACAGGGCTGCTGGAAATGTCAGACCCTGTTCTGTCGATGAGAAGACTAAGCCCAGAGGAGGGTGTTCCCAGGCATTACCCAACAGGCTCGACTGTTCTCCATGCAGGGGAAGAGAGAAGACACAGAGACACAGACCTGCCCCGGAGGAATCCAGAGCCCACCTGCCCAGAGAGGCTCCACCTGATTTCCCTGGCTCTGGGCACCCCCTTAAAAGCCCTTTATGCCATCTTTCCTTTCAGTCGAGTGATGCAGGATTTGGGACCAGACAGCCTTTGCTCAAATCCTTCCACAGTTATCTACCAGCTTGGTGGCCTTGGAGAAGTTATTTCCCTGTTCTGGATGTGCTTCCTCTTCTATAAACTAGAGACACTACAAATTCCCACCACAGAGGGGTAAATGCAGCATCCTGTACGTTATGTGTTTGGCACAGGACCTGGGATGCAGGAGGCACTCTGACCGGTGGCATCCAGGAAGTAAGGAATATGGACTAAAGGGAGGGCCAAGGAAAAGTTTACAGGCTGTGGCTGTGCAGTTGGAAGATGCAGAAGCGCCTCGCTTGGTGCTGCCAGGTTAGGTTTGCAGAATGCAGTGAATGCTCTTGCTGACAAAGGATGGGGATAAGTGAACTGGGGAATCATGACCTAGGGGAAGCCACTAGCTCAAATACTGATCCCTATTTAAGTCACCAAAATATGCTGGGCACCCACTGGGTGCCCAGCGCTTTCCCATAAGTGATCCCAAACCAGGAGCTAGTCCAAGCCTCCAAAAGTGGCTGGGTAGTTCATTGGAATGAGGGCTGCAGTGACTCCAGAGGGAGCAGGACTCCAGAGGAGCAGGACTCAAGAGAAGGGGAGCCAGGGAAGACTGAGGGGATGTGTAGGTGAGGTGGCTCTTTTCTGGCTGAGAGAAGAGAAGGTCCCCAGCCCACACCAAGGGCTCCATAATGGAAGGGAGGCCTAGGGTGGGTCCTCCCCCTCCCCATCTTCATCCCACTCAGCCCCTACCTGGCCTTTAACACACTGGGTGGGAGAAGTGTTGCTGAGCACAGCAGTGACCTGAGGCCCTGGGCACCCATCCCAGTTTAGCTCCACAGGGGACTCCAGTTGCTGAGGAAGAATATAGAACTTATATAGGATGGGGGAGCTGGAAGGAAACTTAGGATCAATTGTTCCAGCCTCTAATTGAATGGTGGGGAAACCCAGAGACAGAGAAAGGAAATTACTACCCCTTCCAAGCCAGTGAGAGAGCCAGATCTAGAATCCAGGGCTCTTTCCATGATATTGCACCTCCCATCTCAGTCCTGTCTTTATGAAATGCCATATTGAAGCTTTATGTATTGGGGAAATTTAACTGAGGCTCAAACGGACACAAATTCCCTAAAGCCACATGGTGAGTCAGACAGCGAAATGCAAGGTGTCTGGTCCTTTCCCAGCATCCAACGAACGTTTCTTGGGCACCTACTACAGTCAGGCTGGGAGCACTTTCAGACGTTCTCTCACTTAAATCTCACATGTGGGAGCAAGTTGGTGGAAGAGCGAAGGGCCAGAGGCCAGGGTCCAAATCCTGGCTCTCTTAGCTGAGTCTCCTTGGACAAATCCCTTGATGTCCCTCAAATGATGCCTCCATTTCTTCACTTTATAAGAAGTGGATTCATAATAGTACCTACCTTGTAGAGTATTATGATAATTAAAGGAGACTATCCATATGAAATACTTAGAACAGAGCCTAGTAATATAAATATACCATTTAAAAATAAGTATACTGGCTGAGTGTGGTGGGTCACACCTGTAATTCCAGCACTTTGGGAGGCCCAGGCGGATGGATCACCTGATGTCAGGAGTTCGAGACCAGACTGACCAACACGGAGAAACCCCGTCTCTACTAAAAATACAAAATTAGCTGGGTGTGGTGGTGCATGCCTGTAACCCCAGCTACTTGGGAGGCTGAGGCAGGAGAATCACTTGAACCCAGGAGGCGGAGGTTGCAGTGAGCCGAGATTGTGCCATTGCACTCCAGCCTGGGCAACAAGAGTGAAACTCCATCTCAAAAAAAAAAAAAAAAAAAAAAGTATACCATTTGACAATCCTAGGCATATACCCAAGAGAAATGAAAACACGTATCCTTACGAAAACCCTTCCACAAATGTTGATAGCGGCATTATTCAGAGTAGCTGAAAAGTGGAATCAACGAAATGTCCATCAACTGATGAATGGAGAAATAAAACGCAGTATATCCACACAATGGAATGTTATTTGGCAATAAAAAGAAATAAAGTACCGATACATGCTTCAATGTGGCTAAACCTTGAAAGCATTATGTGAGTGAAGGAAGCCAGGCACCAAAGACCATGTGTTATATAATTCCATCTAAATAAAATATCCAGAAGGTGCAATTTCATAGAGACAGAAAGTAGATGATTAGTTGGCTAAGGCTGGGAGGAATGGAAGAATCGAGGGTGACTGTTAATATGTATGGAGTTCCTTTTTAGGGGTGAAAAAATGTTCTGAAATTAGATCGTGGTGATGGTTGTGCAATTCTGTGAATATATTAAAAGCTATTGAATCGTGCCCTTAAATGGGTGAATTGTATAGTATGTGAATTATAGCTCAATAAAGCTGTTTTCAAAAAGTAAATATATATTTATAAACTTCTATAAGTTAGTAAATCATATCCATTCCAGTTTAATGATAAGGCTCAGAGCCAGTCAGCAACTTGCCCAAAGTCCCATGCCTAGGAGGCCGCAGGACCTGATTTTGGACTTTGTGTTGTCGAACTCCTGAAGCTCCTAAGACCTGATCCAGTTCAGACTCATGGAGAGCAGGTCTGCCCTTATGTATCTTGGGGAAAGCCTCCATTCCCTGTCCCAATGAGGCCACTCAGGAAGTTCTCCCCGCTCTCTAATCCAAACCCATACAACTTACAAGGGATGATATTCAGGGGGATTTGAGGTCAGGAGCAGGGTCACAGGAGACAGGCACCAGAAGGGAAAGCTACATTTCTAGGCAATGCTGGATATCTTCTTTAGGGAAGCCTGGGGAATGGGGCAGATGAAGTATAGTGGACTTCAAGACATGAGCTCACGGTTGATTTTGGGGGTGACCTTGGCCAAGAAACCTCATCTCTGGGGCTCTTGGTAAAATGATATTCAGGAAGAAGCTCTGAGGACAGCTCCAGAAGCAGACATTTCTAAGGCTATTTATAAAGTGGCCTTCCCTCTCCTTACACACAACTCACCCCAGATGATCAGGTGGGAAGTCTGTAGGGCAGTGGGCATCACTTGGTTGCTTGCTTGGGTATATACAACCTGGTCACCCCCATGGTTCTTGGCAGAAGATATTGGGGCCAAACCAAGAGGCCCTAACCTAACCATCACTCCAATACTGTGAGCAGGTCAGGTTGGCTCTCCCTCCCAGCCAGGAAGGAGGAAAGAGAAGGAAGCGACAAGGGCACTAACAACCAGGGTCCTTGTCTTACCTGGCAGGAAAGATGCTGAATGTGATATTGACTCAATGTGCTGCTTCTGATCAGCCCCCTGCCTGCCTCCCTGCACAGTGGATAGTCTGGCTGCAAGTGGTAGGGGGAAGGAGCTCCCACTTTTGACAACCCAGGAAAGGCATCACCTCAGTTTGTCTGGAGCTCATGGCCAGGGTGTCCCAGCTTGAAGGAGAGGTTCTCCTGCCCCCTTCTCTGCTTGTACAACTATACACTGCATTCAGAAACACTCCTTCTCCCTTGCTAAGGAGCATTAGGAGATACAAAACCACCATCCTTTTTCCAGGTGAAATAAGGAAGAACAGAAAATGAGGAGGGCCAGATTCAGCCCAGAGCCACCCAGAGTCCAAGTGGCCTCACTGGGAGAGCAGTACACTGGGTTTGGTGCCCTTGGTAGAAAGCCCAACATGCCAGGACCTCAGCCAGCAAGCCAGCATGTGCTCCAGAGCAGGGACAGGGAGAGGCCAACCTGTGCATCCGCTAGGCTCACTGGCTATTTCAGACCATCATCTGCCTCATTCGATCCCAGGACATCTTGGGAGAAGTGAGGAAGGCAGGCATCCCTCTCCACATTTTTTAATGGGGACCACTGAGGTCCAAGAGATAGGGAAAAACCGCTTGCCTGGGGCCATGTGCAGTAACTTAATAGTGGGTTCACTGGATTCTAGATTCTTCTCATCAAAGCCAATCATACCCCTGCCTCGCCCCACTCCCAGCTCTGCTGCTATGTTTCTTTACCTACAAAACATCAGTCAGTTTTCAGAAACACCATAATAACACTCTTTATAGCACTTTATGGCAAAATCTTTATAGCACCGTGTGTCAGGCACTGCCTATTCTTAGAGCTATATGTAAATAGTCATACATCAAATCCTCATGCCAACCTGATGGCAAGCTATTTCATTTCCATTTTACAGATGAGGAAACTGAGGTAACAAGTGTTTAAGTAACTTAGCCAAAGTCCCACAGATAAAAAACTGGAGGAGCTGGCATTTGAATACAGGCAACCTAGCCCTAGCATCTGAGGTTTAACCACTGCACCACAGTGCCAAGCACATACAAGTACAAGGCTTCGCATATTCCAAGTCTCACTAAAACATGGACTAGGGGCTGGGCATGGTGGTTCACGCCTGTAATCCCAGCACTTTTTGAAGGCTGAGGTAGGAGGATTGCTTGAGCCCAGGAGTTCGAGCCCAGCCTGGGCAACATGGTGAAACCCTGTCTCTACCAAAACAACAACAACAACAAAACAAAAACAAAAACAAAGAAAAACCTTGCAAAACAAAAATTATCCAGGCACGGTGGTGCATACCTGTAGTCCCCGCTATGTGGGATGCTGAGGTGGGAGGATCACCTGAGCCTCGGGAGGTTGAGGCTGCAGTGAGCCGTGATCACACCACTGCACTTCAGCCTGGGTGACAGAGTGAGACCCTGTCTTAAAAAACCTGAAAACCAAAACCAAAACCATGGACTAGGGGCACACGACTAGGCTCAGGACGAAGTGTGTGTGCAGGAAGTCCACATAAGTCCAGAAGCTGGGCTGTGCTCTCACCCAGGTGCCATGTGCTGGGGGCGGGGATGGGGGACAGGCTGCAATTTGTCTCTGAGCAGCCAGCTGCCCTCAAGTCCCAGCCCAGCCGAGCAGTGGGGAGCAGGTTGAAGGCAGGCTTGGAGCTGGCAGGCTCCGTCTGCCCCACTGTGAGCAGCAGCTTTGAGACACTCTCCTGCCGGCTGCTGGTAGGTGCTGCAGTATCTCTCCTGGCTGCAGGGCTGGCTGGGCTGAGGCCAGGCCAAGGGCCTTCCTTCCCCCTTTCACCCTCTGCCCCTCCCTCAGTGCCCGGGGCCAAACGAAGGGCTTAGGAAGCTACTCTGGCTTTCTGGTCTCCAAGGACTGCCGGCCCTGATGATTAATTTGGTGGCTGTGGGACTAGGTTTAGTCTTGGGTGGCAGCACTGACCTCCAGGAATGTCACTGTGGCCCCTTCAGGGGCAGGTAACAAACCTGGCTCATTCCCAAGAGAGTAAGTGAGTCCGGTGGATCAACTCCCACGGTTTTCCACCTAGCATATTTGCCAACAGCGGGCAATTCCCAGGTAGGAAGTCCTTCCTTGTACCTCACATGAGCCCTTCCTGCTGCAGTATAGCCACATTACCTTCTACTAGAAACCCTTCTGCTTCCAAATGCACCCTTTGTTAAATTGCTAAGATGTGATTCCATGAGCAACACAGCAATCACAAAAGCCATTGAAGCAGACGGCAGCTGCTACAGGGTTCAAGCATTCCATTCCAGCTGGGGAAAGGCTGTGGGCTTTGCCCCTCCTTCCCCCCCAGCCCCTCCCCAATCTCAGGACACAGAGAAAAGAGGAGCAACATGCGGAGAAGAAAAATGGAAAGGTAACAAAGCAAAGGCAGAAAAAAAATTCACAGCCTCCCTTGACCTGCCAAGGACTTCTTCCACATCTTTCCCTAGGCTTGGGGGCCCAGATAAGGAACTGAGACTTTCTTTTTTTTTTTTTTAATTTTATTATTATACTTTAAGTTTTAGGGTACATGTGCACAATGTGCAGGTTTGTTACATATGTATACATGTGCCATGTTGGTGTGCTGCACCCATTAACTCATCATTTAGCATTAGGTATATCTCCTAATGCTATCCCTCCCCCTCCCCCCACCCCACAACAGTCCCCGGTGTGTGATGTTCCCCTTCCTGTGTCCATGTGTTCTCATTGTTCAATTCCCACCTATGAGTGAGAACATGCAGTGTTTGTTTTTTTGTCCTTGAGATAGTTTGCTGAGAATGATGGTTTCCAATTTCATCCATGTCCCTACAAAGGACATGAACTAATCACTTTTTATGGCTGCATAGTATTCCATGGTGTATATGTGCCACATTTTCTTCATCCAGTCTATCGTTGTTGGACATTTGGGTTGGTTCCAAGTCTTTGCTATTGTGAATATTGCCGCTATAAACATACGTGTGCATGTGTCTTTATAGCAGCATGATTTATAATCCTTTGGGTATATACACAGCCTTTCTTGCAGCTTCTGCAGCCTCTGCCTGAGAGATCCGCTCAATGGGCCATCTGCTCGGAGGCCTTTCTGCAAAAGCTTTAAGAGTTCCATTTCTCCAGGGAGCTGGAAGCTGGGGAGGTGTCAGCTCCAAACAATAAGGGAAGTTTATTAGGGATCAGGGTTTCCAGGAGGATGGTGCCTGCTAATGGGGCTGGATGCACTCTGAGGTACAAAGGGTTATTTAATGCGGAAAATCCAAAAGCTCCTTTAGAAGTCAAGTGCTCACACCCGAGGCCCTACACACTGCAGCCTTCCTTTTCACTCAAAAAACCTGAAAACCAAAACCAAAAACCATGGACTAGGGGCACACGAGTCAGCTCAGGACTGCCAACAGCGGGCAATTCCCTGGTAGGAAGTCCTTCCTTGCACCTCACATGAGCCCTTCCTGCTGCAGTATAGCCACATTACCATCTACTAGAAACCCTTCTGCTTCCAAATGCACCCTTTGTTAAATTGCTAAGTTGTGATTCCATGAGCAACACGGCAATCACAAAAGCCCCATCACCCTACCCTGTTTGCCCCTACCCCGCCCCATCCCAAGTCACACTTATTCCCTGTCCTTTGCTACTGGGCAAATATTGACTTTCTTTCACTCAGCCTTGTCAATGGAAGTGAGACCAATGGGGCTGGCTATTGTCTCCCTCCTCTCTCCTGTCAGAGGGCAAAGCAAGCTGTCAGCCTCAACAGCGGGAGCAGGGGCCAACTGAGACAAGCTGAGAAAGAAAAGTGTGGTCTTGGAAGTAATATTTCTGTCTTTTGGTCTTTTGTCTTTCTGTCCTCCCTCCCTTCCCCAAGCCCATCTGGGTTTATTTTTTTCACATTTGGCTATCCTGCTGCCCTGTCTGGCTCAAGAGCAGCAGCGTGGCATAGCTGGCATAACTGAGAGAGCTCAGGCCTGGGAATTCAAGTGTCTGATACTGGGTCACCTTATGCTAGTTCTTTAATTTTCTTGGGCTTCCATGTTCTAGTCTGCAAAATGGGAAGGTTGGACCCCATGATCTCAGTATCTAGATCAGGAAGTTCCTTCCTATCAGGACCCATGTCCTTTCTGCTGCAGTCAAGGCATTTTACCTTGTGCTCTGATTTCAGAAAAAATGGAAAATAACTGCTTGGTGCTTAACAGGGAGGAAGGAAAGAGCGTTGCATTGAGGTTCTACAAGGGCTGGCAAGCTCCATCGCTGGTACTAACATGCTGTGTGATCCTGGGCAAGGAGCTCCCCCTCTCTAAGCCTCAGTTTCCCCATAATCAAAACAGAGGGCTGGATGAGATGATCCCACAGCCCCTTTCAGTGCCTCGTCCTGCCGTGGCACTCATCTAACACATCCCTGCGGAAGGCGATGTCCCCCGCTCCTTCAGCTTTTCTCCAAGGCAGCATCTCACAGCCTTTCCTCATGACTAACCTTGAATGGAGGGATGCCATGCCGCTGGCTCGTGTTCCTTCATCATCAGGAGCCTTTTGTCAGCCACACTCCTCTCAGACTCATGCTTGCTTGGCCTTTGGCCTTTGTGGCTGAGCTCTTCCTTTCTCCAGGTCCCATGATGAAGACCAGAACATGCAAACTCCTGGAGCCTGCGGCCAGTGCACAGCAGGAGGACGACACAGGACATTGGGGCATTTTGGGGGATTGTGTGCATGGTGACAACTGCAGGACTGTGAACTGTATCCCTGCTCTTCCTCTAACTTGAGCCCTCTCTGTGATAACACAGAACCTCAAAAACCCATTCCTTGTGCATTAGTCAGTATCACACTATGGACTTCCTATTCCAGGTTGGCAATATTCCCTTTTCACAGATGAGACAATTGAGGCTCAGAGAGGTTGGTAATTTGCCTGAATTCACACAGATATTAAGGAGCGAGCCAAGATGGGAACCTAGATGTATCTATCTGCAAAGACTTTGCTCTTAACCATCAGCGCTCTTACTGAGAAGGGGAGGTCATCGCCTCTCCCCAAGCTGACTTACAGGACTGGAATCACAGGGCAGTGAACACCCAAAGCCTGAATGACTCCAACAAACCTCCCACCCCCTCCACCCCCACCCAGCCTCGGCAAAAGCAGAGCCAGCAGGGTCGTGGATCAACAAAGCCAGAAGGACTTTGGGTCATCTAAACCAAGCTTTCACTTCACATACAAGAAAACTGAGGTCCACAGTGGCGTGCGACTTGCCTAAGGTCACACAGCAAGTCTAGGGTAAACCTCGGTCCCGGCCATGGGGTCCTGGGAGTCCCCCTCCAGGTTGAGCCAGTCCCTTTGCCACTCCTTCCACCTGGGTGTAGACATGCCTTCAGCCACTCACTCCAGGGACATCTGGCCTTACCCCTCTCTGCTTCTCAGTTGGTCCCTTCCTAGAAGGTTCGGGGAATGGAGTAAAAGGCCCATTTTATCATAACCAGAGGTGTGGCAGAGAGTGGGGAAGGGAGAACCAAAGGAAAACAGGTGTGAGATTATTGGAAAGTCAAGCAGTCTCTCTGTTTCCCATGAAGTTTCTAATGCAGAATGGTCCTAATGATCAGAGAGAGAGAGAGAGAGAGACAGAGAGATAGTGCTGATGTTCCCATTTTGTAGGGAAGCTTTGAAGATGGTAGGGGAAGATCACACTGCAAATCTACAATCTTTCCCTGCTCCCCATGGCCACTGCTCACAGCTGCCCTGCCACCTGCTTGCTACACAGCTTGTATTATTATTAACAATAGCTACCACTCACTAAGGACTTAGCTCAGTACTGGACCAAGTATTTACATATGCTTCTTGTTTAATCCTCATAAAAACCCTAAAATACCACCACTATTCTCATTTTGTTTTGACTACTTAGTAACTGAAGCTCTAAGATATAAAGTAATTTGCTCAAGGTCACACAGCTAATAACCAGTAGAGCCAAGGTCTCCTGGGGACTCCCTCCAGGGGTGTGCCGGGCTTTGAAATTCATATACTGTATTTGTCTCAAGTTGTCTTGACTCTGGTGACAGAAGTGGGAGGGCAATGCATTGGGAATTCCTGGAGACCACCTGCTCCCATCACCCAGCCAAGCCCACTTCCTGCTACTCAGACACCAGCCCAGAACTGCAGCCACAGAATTGTGGGGTTGCAAGGGCCTGAGAAGTTAACTAGTTCTACCTTCTCAATGTACAGGGGAGGAAAGCAAGAAAGGGCCTTGCCCAAGGTCACACAAGGTCACAAAATTGGAGGCAGAGCCTGTAAATTAAACTCAGCTCTCTTGTCTCAAACTCGGACTCGTCCGCAACACCCTAATGCCCAGTATGAAGTTATTGTCTCATCTCAACTGAAGACAGAACCAGAGTTCATCCCAAAAAGGAGTTAGATTAGACTTTCCTATGGCAAGGACTGTCACATTGCACAGTGGGGTGCTCTAGGCTATTGTAGTGGAGATCTTTCTAAAACGAGACAATTCCTTCAGATCTTCCTTATCTGAGATGAATGCAGCCCTGTCTGGAGGTAGAGAGCAGACAGCATGACCTTGTGAGGTCCTTGACATCACCCTTTAACCTATGGTCATCTGTCTGTCACAGCGAACCTTTCCCTAGGAAAGAATCTGCCCTCTGCAAAGAGGATGTGTAATGCTGGAAAGCCCGCCTTTCTCCCCATCAGCTGGATTCTGAGAGTTGGGAGAGATGACCAATGAACAGGCTGAGGGTGTCACAGCCCTGCTACTTTGGGATGGGGGGTGCAGTAGGGGAGCTACAGTCTTCCCAGAGGCCAGGTCATTCTACCCAGCTGCACCCCATCCCCAACCTTTCAGTGGGCGACACCTGCAGGGTGTTGGGACTGGGAGAAACCTCAGATACCTTAAATTCCAAACCCCATTTTCCAGATGAAGATACTGAGGCCCAGAGTGGGTCAGTGAGTTGCCCAAGGTCATAGGACAGGTCAGAATGGAAGCTTTCCGACTCTCCCCGGGGCGCTGGGTTCACAGCTCCACCTTGCCACCCCCTGCCCCGGAAGTGAGCACTGAAGTCACTTAAGAGAGGCCAGTGACCAAAGGCAGCGATTCCCAGGTGCAGAGGCTGGGGCAGACGTGCCCATGAGCTTGTTCCCCCGCGCACCCTCCCCCACCTCGTCCCCATTCCTGTCTTGGTTACCATGTGCCTCCATCATCCTGAGATTCAGAGAGGTGCAGCGGCTTGTCGAAGGTCACACAGCACACTGAGTAGGGCCCTCGTTTCCACTGCCCAGCTGCCCCCTCCCATTGCCCACCCGGGCCTCTGCAAGCTTGCCAGGATCCCCGGGAGCCTGCTTCCTCCAATGCACAGAGCCGTGGCGCGTGTCAAAGTGTGGGAAAGTTCCTGGGAGAGGGAAGGGGTAGAAAATACAGCCGCTCATCTCAACCTTGGACGGCTGCGGCAAGGCAGGGGCGCTCAGAAAGGCAGCCAGTCCTGCGCACCGCCGGTGCCTCCGGCACACCCCACTCTGCGCCAGGGGCTCCCCAGGGTCGCGCGAGCATGTTCTTCCAGCTCCTCCTCAGCGAAGCAGGCGCGGCGGGGTCCCACGCGCCCAGCACCCACTTCTCTCCGCACGCCCACTTCATGCACCTCCCCGCGCCCTTCCCACGGCTTCTCTGCGGCGAGTCGCCTTTGCTTCCCCGCAGGTCCCCGGTCCCAGCGCTAAGGCACCGCGGCTTCTCTCGCCTTCTCTCCGCGTTGAACCCGGGCTCTCCGCGGGGAGAAATAGGTTGGGGGCGAGGGGTTCCCGAGATAATTCAGGACACCTCCCCGGGGTCTAGCCAGGTAATTCCGACGCCCATGGATTTCCGGATTACAGTTCCCACCGCGGGCTCAGTCCTACTCTTAGTTTATCCCGCGGTGAGCGCCAAGCCCCAAAAGTCGGAGTGTCACCGTTTGGTGACCCCGCGTCCGCCCGCGCCTCAGGCCCTGGAGGTGGCCACTGTCGGTCCAGGCACGGCTTCGCTCGGGACTACTGGCTGCCCTCGTGGGGTGCCCCGCCTGGGGTTCCCTCTTACCCTGGGACGTTCCAGGCGCGTTCAGCCTGAGCTGGTGGAGAGGGCGGGGGCGGGGGCGGCTGGGGTCCCGAAGTCCAGGTCCCTCTTCCCACTTCCCCGCCGGCCCTGCCGCTGCGGCCCTCGCTCCCGCGCTCGCTCGCTCTCGAGTCTCTCCCTCTCTCTCTTCTCTTCCTCTCTCTCTCTCTGCAGTAGTAACAACCTGATCCCGCTTCCCCCACCCGCCTCTTGAGATGCTCCTCACATCCGCCTGCACACAGCGCGTGCGGCCCCTCCGAAGGCGATCCCCGCAAACCGCGACGCAGGTCCTCCGCCCCAGGCAATCCCCGCTGCGGGAGAGGCCGCCTCCTGGCGCCCACGCCCCCCTTCTGCAGTCCGTACTGCCGGCCGAGGGGGAAATGGGCGACAGGGGAAGGGGAGGTGTGTGCGGGACGGACTAGGCTGGGGCAGAGGGGTTTAAACTGGCGCGGTCCTACAGAAGTTTGAGGAGGGCGGGGCCGGCTCCGAGCCCCCGGAGCCCTACGGGACTCCCCCGATTCTACTGAGGAGTCCCCGCCAGCTCCGTGCACTCCTGCAACACTCCCCACCCCACCCGCCAGCTCCGAGTTTACAGCCTCTCGGGTCCGGGGATTGGCTGGGGGAGGGGACGGGGGGGAGGGGACCCCCTGGCTGTAGGGAACGGCGTGCGGGCGGGGGTGGGAGGGAAACGATTTGCTTCAGGAGATAGGGATGAAGGTTTTCCTGAGTCAAGGGAGGGAGAAGAGAGGTGGAACAAAAGGCAGATGCTGGAGGGGAAGGGGAGCTGGGGAGCTCGCCCCGAGGGCTCCGGCAGCCCGCGGTCCCCTGCCTCAGTCTGTCCCAGAGGGTGAGGTCAAGGCTGGTGCCAGGGCTCTTCACCGGCCACCTGGAGAGGGGAGAAAGAGGGATGCAGGGGTACGGGGTTGGGGCAGAGGAGGAAGAGCGTCTGCTGGCACAGGACCCTCTGCCTGCTCTCAGATAGGAACCCAGCAGAAGGGCTCTGCCATGGACCCAACACCTCCCACCTCCGCAGATCTGCTTTCTCCCACTTGGGAAAAGCGAGGCTGACACCCACTGTGAGCACCAGGAGGGGCAGGAAGAACCGAGAGCCTGGGCAGCACTCCTGTGCCTCAGTCTCATCCTTGGGCCTCACCCTCAACCCCCAACCTCACCCGATAAGACCTCGGGGCCCCAGCTCGCCAGGTGGAATTTCTGCTGCTGTCTGGCCATTAACTGCCCCTGACCTTCCCAGCTCCACCTCACCCTCGCCCTCTCCCCTCAGCCTCTCCTTCACCCTCCATGCAGCTGCTTTCTGTTTGCCTTCTGCTCTGCACACTCAGGACCAGGACTCGAGTTTGGTGTTTGACCCAGGAAGTGACATTCCTCACCCACCAACCCACACACACAAAAATCCTGTGTGCATGTGTGTTGGGGGGGAGGGGCAGTCATTCAGGGCTTTCCAGGGCTTCTCATCCCCACAGAGTCTGGGGAACTGGGAAATTCCCAATACCCGCAGTGAATCCCCCTTCCTCCCCTCCTCCAGGCATCCCCCGCCCCAAGACAGAGACCTTACTCCAGAAGCCGGGGACTGCAGTGCTGCAGCAGCCGCGGCTCCTGGCCGGCATGGAGCCTCTCTTCAGAAGGGCAGCAGCTCGCTTGTCACAGACCCTGGACGGCAGAAAAGCTGATTCAGGGATTTCCGGGCGGCTCCTCCTGTGGGGGAGTGTGCATCTGCATACCTGGGTGTTGGGAAGGGTGTGTGCGTGTGTTCATGTGTGGGCTGGGGGAGAGGACCCATGCCTGAGACCCTCTAGTCAGGTCTGCTGATCCCTCACTGTTCTTCAGATGGAAAGGGGGAGCTGGGGTAAAGGGCTCAAGGTCAGATGCTCAGCAGGAGGGCACCAGGGGTTTCCCCCCACTCTGCTACACTCCGGTAACCTACCCCCACCACGTCGCCCCACACTGAGGAGGGGACCTGTCACCTGAGATGGGTGTGTGGGCTGAAGAGCAGTACCTGCTGCTCCTCTTCGGTTTCTCCCTGGGGAGAGAAGTGCTTCTGTTTTGAAATCTCCCCCAAACCTTCTTTTGCTAGAAGGAGGGAGGATGGGACTGAAATTTCATTCAGCAGGCTGGATTCAGGTTTGACTTTGGGGTTTCCTGATGCTAAGGGTCTGGGGCAGCATCCTGCTTGACAGGGAAAGCTTATGCCTTCACGATTGGAATGTAGTGCTGCTTAGATGAAAAGGGATGGATGAAATGACCCCCATGGTTCCTTCTGATAAAATGGACCAAGAGACGCCTGAACCTTATACAAAGCTGCCTCCAGTAAAACAAAATCTAGTTACAGAAAATAAAGCACTTCTGTAAGGTTATGTCTGCTCCTTCTGAAAATACCGTGTTTAATGTCTGTGCTGCCTCCAATGTGTCCTTTCCCCTCTTGGGTGGAAGTGGAATTCTGATGGCCTGTGGAAGGATTGGGTGACACTTGCACAGGCAGTGGCTGGGCCACAATGGGGGAGGATGGGAACACGGTGGGTCCCTGGAGAAAACACAGCTGTGCTTTACCCAAAGCCCCTTCAGGCCCCAGAGGACCCTTCCCCTGATAGGGATGACAATGACAGCCTGACAGTCTTAATTTCACTTGATTCTTATCAACTTTCCCAGGAGGCAGCAAGGCGAGGAAGGGATAATTCTTCACTCCACTGAGGCACAGGGAGCCCCCAAAGGGTGGATGACTCACCCAAGGTTCTCAGGTAGGTTCCTACCTTACCCTGGGGTTTTATGTTTCTATTCTCAACACTAACGTTTCTCATTCCTCCACAAGTTAAATTGCTCACTCCAGCCAACTGAAGCATGCTTTTCTTGACACAGTTAGCTCGAGGCACACGGTTGGTGTTAAAAAAAAAAAAAAAAAAAAAAAAAAAAAAAAAAAAAAGAGCGTTATGTCAATTTCATTGATCAACAAAAGTGATGGCTCCACTGCAAATTCAAGTTGATAGTGCCTGGGCCTCTTGAGTTCAAGAGCCTTCTAGACAAAGGGCTCTGAGCTGAAACATGAGCATGCACACATATGCCTGTCGCTGGGTCTGATGAGATAATTTGCATACTTGGTTGTTATCCCTGAGCATTTTCCTGCCTCAATGCACGTGTAGCCAACACAATAATAATCATAGCTGATAAAGGCTAAAGCTGAGGACTTTCCTGAGCCAGGCAGTGGCTTTAAAACCTTTAAAGTGGCTTTTAAAACTTTAACAGCTAAAGCTGAGGACTTTCCTGAGCCAGGCAGTGGCTTTAAAAACTTTAAAGTTTTCACATAGACTCTCACTAAATAATTTCTGTTTTTCAGATCAACAAACTGAGACTATCACATTTGGGATTAAGTTAAAAAAAGAAAGAAAGAAAGAAACTGAGGCTTAAATACTTGCTTAAAGCAAGTATTTCACAGCCAGCAAGTGGCTAAGTTGGAACTTGAGCCCAGGCAGTCTAGCCCCGGGATCCTGTGCCCGGCAGAAAGGTGCTGGGTCAAGGGAGGAGGGGGCAGTCGGGAGCGCGCGCACGCTCTGGACTTGTGCACCCGCGGAAAAGGGTGCGCCGAGGGGGTAGGGGCGACGGGGACGGGGGCGGGGTAGGGGCGACGGGGACGGGGGCGGGGTAGGGGCAGCCCTTTCCCAGGCGGTAGCGGGGGCGGTGGTTCTGTTGTCCTGTTGCCCTTTTAAGCTGCGGCTTGACAGGGGCCGCGCCTCCTGTCGGTGGAGTCGGCTACAAAGGGAGCAGCCCCCCAGGCCGCCACACAGCTCCCGCCAAGACCTGGTGCCCCTTGCCATTTTCCAGCCGCGCTCCCAGGAGAGTGGAGGCTGCAGGAAGAGGCGGGTCTTTAGGCTCACAAGAGCTCGGCCAGGCGGCCCCGCGGGGTGGTCGTGGCCATGACAGCGGCTCCAGACGGCTCCCCTTCCACGCCCTTCCCGCCGGAGATGAGGGGAAGATGTCTGTGTCAAGATTCAAGGCCAAACTGAAGTTGCTGGCGTCTATCTTCCACGAGAACCAGGAGGCTCAGCTGCGGCTCACGCTCCACTGCAACATGAGGTGAGGCGCCCGGCGGCGGCCTCGCGGGGCAGGAAGAGGGCGGAGAGGGGGTGCCCGGAGTCCCGGGACAAAGGGGAACCTGCCCCGGCGAGGCTCCCCGCCCCTTTCTCCCGCAACTGGCCCGGCCCGCCCCGGGACTGCGCGAGGCTTGGGTGGGAGGAGGCGGCGGGCGCGTCTGTCTCTCCGGCTCCTCGCATGGGGCTGTCTTGGGGGCCACTGGCCCCTCTCAGCCCCCGTCGCCGCCCCCCGAGGTGGGAGCCCGCGGTGGCGGGAGCCCTCTCGGGACCCATGGTCGCCCTCAGTCAGCCGGCCTGCTCCGGGGACCGCGACAGGGCGGGGAATGGCGGCTTTTGAGCCCAGGCGGGGAAAGGCAAAGGCCTTTAAGATTTTCGGTGTTCGAAACCAGCCTGGCTAACATGGTGAAACCCTATCTCTACTAAAAAATACAAAAATTAGCCCGGCGTGGTGGCAGGCTACTTAATCCCAGCTACTTGGGAGGCAGAGGCAGGAGAATCGTTAGAACCCGGGAGGCGGAGGTTGCAGTGAGCCGAGATCGAGCCATTGCACTCAAACCTGGGGGATAAGAGCGAGACTTCTCTCAAAAAACAAAAACAAAACAAAACAAAAAAAAACAACTTTTTTTTTTTTTTTTTTTTTAGACAAAGCCTCACTCTGTCGCCCAGGCTGGAATGCAGTGGCGCAATCTCGGCTCACTGCAGCCTACGTCTCTTGACAGTCCACGGATTAAAGCTATTCTCCTGCCTCAGCCTCCGGAGTAGCTGGGATTACAGGCGCCCGCCACCACGCCTGGCTAACTTCTGTGTCTTTAGTAAAGACGGGGTTTCACCATGTTGGCCAGGCTGGTCTCAAACTCCTGACCTCAAATGACCCACCTCTGCCTCCCGAAGTGCTGGGATTCCTTCAATCCAATCAAGTTGACTCTGAGTATTAACCATCACAAGTGTCTTCAGAATTGTCATTCTTTTCTGCTGTGGCCTCCCTCTCCTGGTTTGCAGACCCATGCTCCGCCTGTGACACTAGGATGGGGAGGTGCTGGCAGGAGAGCTTTCTAGCTCCTGAGTTAAAAGGCAGAGATGGAGTCTGTTTTAAGATTTTGCTGCTGTGTTGAGTTATATTAAAAAACATTTTGTCTTTTCCCTCTGGTTTTCACACTCATAGTAAGAGGCCATCAAGATAGGCTTCTTATATGGGAGGGTGATTCTTACCAACTGTAGTTGGGACAAGAACGGTAAAGAATGTTAGATTCTTCTGGAAAAAAGTGGTCCCTCCATTATTTGGATTGGGTTTGTGGCCTTCTCAAGCCCAGCAGTCTAATTCCATCTGCTTTGTGTCTTCCGGCATGTCCCTGTAGTTTTGGTTCACTAAGGGTATTCTCCTTGTATCTGTTATTTTTCTGCTGCTGTGTCAGACTTATTCTGTTTAGTAAAATACTGTCATTTTGGTGGGATTTTGGAAAGAGGACCAGGCCACATCTTGAAATTCATCTTAGGATTTTACAACCCTAACTCACTTTTTGTTTTGATTAAATTACCCTTTTTGAGGGGTGGGGGCTCAGCTTTATCATTTGCAAAATGAAGGATAGTAACTGGGCTGATGGTTACAGATGTGGATGCGTGTCAGAATCACCTCAGAGAGCTTTTTAAAAACACATTCTCCCCAGCACTTTGGGAGGCCGAGGTGGGCGGATCATGAGGTCAAGAGATCGAGACCATCCTGGTCAACATGGTGAAACCCCGTCTCTACTAAAACTACAAAAATTAGCTGGGCATCGTGGCACGCGCCTGTAGTCCCAGCTACTTGGGAGGCTGAGGCAGGAGAATCGCTTGCACCCAGGAGGCGGAGGTGGCAGTGAGCCGAGATGGTGCCACTGCACTCCAGCCTGGCAACAGAGCAAGACGCCGTCTCAAAAAAAAACAAAACCAAAAACAGATTCTCTGGGTATGCTTTGAAATGAGCATTTCAAAAATGCTCTTTCAATCACTGATGCAACCAAAGTCTTTGGGACTTTTAGGCTAAGAATATATTCTTTAGATACCCAGAATAGTTTAATGTGGAGTATAACAATTTAGGGAAATGAAGAAGGGTTGAATTACATTTTGGAAGCTGCTGCTTGCTTCCTTTTTCCATTTAGTTTTTAGAAGACAAAGAATGTCTAAAGAGATACAGATTTAAAGCAAATATAAGTTAATTCTTCATGGGTATGTTTATCTACATGGCTTTCTCCAGCTGACTGATCCAGAAGAGTTCTAATACCCTCTGTGATCATGGGTTTGTTTTTCTTAAGAATTACTCCATCAGAGTATCTAAGAACAGATGCTTAGATACTGCTGAGACCTTTGTTGGTCTTACTTGATCTCTGAATCCTAGTTTTTTGATCTTCTACATATTCTGGGTTTTAACCTGTACTGGCCTTCATGGTTAAAGAAGCATTTATATACTGTGCCCAGGCCAGGAAGCTTATCTTTTGAACTTTGCCCAAACTGTGTATGAAGGCCCTTCTTAAAACCCCATTAAATTCATTTCTAAACTTGATCATTGTAAATTGTGTCAGTTGGTAAATTCTGTCTTGTAGGGAGGTATTTTGTAGTAAATAACATGTTTTTAAAACTAAAATTTGCCTTTTAGTAAGGTGGTAATCATTTCATAATTCTTAGTTTTGTCAAGTGTCTATAAATAACACATCTGATCTTTTAAAATGTAAGGCAATTGAATTTATGTAATGATTCAGGCTTTTCAAAGTTAAAAAGGTAGTTATTTTAAGGAATGGATAGTTTGTGATATTTATTTTAAACAAAATAAGCCATTGATCTTATACACATAGCCATGTAAGTAAAATGTTTTCTTATTTTAAATTAGATTACATTTTAACATTTTTTTCGGTTTTGCTTTGTATTTGACTGATTGCTTTTCTTTATTCCTAATTCTTTTATTCTTTGTTCCGTTTTTAAAAGCTGATAACTGTTGTTTGTCAAATCAAAGTTGGATTTAAAAATAAACATTTAATTTTAATAAGCTCTCTGCTAGTGGCACTGCAGTGACAGATGGTTGAGAGTTTGTCCCTAAAGCTATGGCACCGGTCTTCTAATTGACTCACCCTGTATTCAGCCTGTGTAGCCCTGGCAGATTCTTTCTCTGTTTCAGAATGGGACAACAGAAGAAGTGACTTCAGAGGAAGAGGAAGAAGAGGAGATGGCTGAAGTAGGTATTTTATATAAGAATGACATTTCATAAATGTCGTCATTTTTGATTTGAGGAATTCTCTAAATCTCCTTTGTAAACTACTATTAATGTGGAATAATTGAAAGCACATTGTATTTGGAATGGAATATAATTTCTCACCTCTGGCTTTACCTCTAACTGATGATACATCTTTGAGAAAATTGCTTTATCTGAATTCTTTGGATTTGATTTTCTGGAAAACAAAAGCTCTTAACTTTTAGCACCAAAGTTGTACTTATATTTAATACTAATCAGTCCTTAACCTGTATTTGGTTATTTTTAGGAAAAGGAACTACTAAGTTTAAAAAATGTTATGTTTGCATAAAAGGAGAATTTGAGAACATGTTAGGGACTACTCACCAGAAGTAGTGACACTGTCTCTTGTTGAAAAATCATCAAGGAATTTTCTCTTAGTCTGTTTTATGCTGCTATAACAGAATACCAGAGACTGGGTAATTTATAAAGAACAGACATTTATTTTCTGACAGTTCTGGAGACTGGGAAGTCCAAGATGAAAATACCAACATTTGGTGTCTGAGGGCCTTCTTGTTGCCACCTCACATGGTAGAAGGCAGAAGGCAGAAGGGCAGGAGAGCAAGCTAGTCCAATGTGTGAAGCCTCATTCATCAGGGCCTTAATCCCATTAAGGAGGAAGGAGCCCTCTTGGCCTAATCACCTCCTAAAGGTCCTACCTCTTAATATCATCACATTGGCAACACCTGAATTTTGGAGGGAACACATTCAAATGGTAGCAAATTTAGTAGAGCACATTCCAAAGACATTGAGCCTAGGCCAGTTGTCAGTCATGGGTCTAATTTTAGACATTTTCAGGCTCTGAAGCTTTGCATTTAAATTCAAACTCCGGAACAAAGATCTGTGTCTCTGCATTGACCAAATAGAAGGTATGTGAATTTTATGGTCTTGATCGTTTTACAAGATTTTTTCTGTTTGGGGTCTTATAATTAATATAGGCTTTCATTTTCTTGGTTTGGAAATTATTAATCTAAAATATACTTTACAGTGCTTCAGAACTAAAGAAGTAGTGTTGTGGGCTTGTTTTTGTTTGTTTTTTTTAAGATAGGGTCTCCTGTCACCCAGGCTGGAGTGGAGTAGCATGGTCACGGCTCACTGCAACCTTGAACTCCCAGGTTCAAGCAATCCTCCTGAGTAGCTGGAACTACAGGCGGGTGCCCCACGTCCAGCTAATTTTTTAAATTTTCTGTAGAGTTTGAGTCTCGCTCTGTTGCCCAGGCTGGTCTTGAACTCCTGGCCTCAAGTGATCCACCACCTCGGCCTCCCAAAGTGCTGGGATTACATGCGTGCACCACTGTGCCTGGCTGTAGGCTTGTTTTATAAGTCTGGGAGTAAAATACTTCTTAAAATTGTCCAATTAGAATGAGAGTTTAGGCTGGGCATGGTGGCTCATGCCTGTAATCCCAGCACTTTGGGAGGCCGAGGCAGGTGGATCATGAGGTCAGGAGATCGAGACCATCCTGGCTAACAAGGTGAAACCCTGTCTCTACTGAAAATACAAAAAATTAGTCAGGTGTGGTGGTGGGCGCCTGTAGTCCCAGCTACTTGGGAGGCTGAGGCAGGAGAATGGCCTGAACCCAGGAGGCAGAGCTTGCAGTGAGCTGAGATCACGCCACTGCACTACAGCCTGGATGACAGAGCAAGACTCTGTCTCAAAAAAAAAAAAAAAAAAAAAAAAAAAAAAGAATGAGAGTTTAATGTTTTTATGCAGTTTAGCTCAGGTAGAATAAAGTGCAAGAAAACATTGAACCTTTTCTGTGGGTCAGGAAGCCATTGTAGTAAAGATCATGAACCCTTTCATCTTCCCCTCACAAAATAATAAACAAGGGACTGCAACTTTGAGGGAAATCTAGAAAGGTAGGAGACTGGACTTTGGAGATGTCAGATTAGGACTGGTGAAAAGCAGATATTCTAGGCTCCTAAAATAACGTGGGAACAAGCCCAGAACAACCTTGGACATGGTGTGTTTGTGCATGGGATGCTTTTCTTTTGAGACGGAAGGTTGATGTGTTGAAGTCATGGAAAGTGTTCAAAATATTGTGAGAATTACCGAAATGTGACACAGAAACATGAAGTGAGCACATGCTGTTGGAAAAAAATGGTGCTGATCTACTTGCTTAATGCAGAGGTGCCAAAAACCTTCAGTTGTAAAACAAAAAACAAAACAAAAAAAACAAAAAACAATAATAAAAAAAAGGAAAACTGCAATATCTACAGAGTACAATAAAGTGAAGCAGAATAAAATGCAGTATGCCCGTATGAAAGATTATGATGTCGGTGAACAAACAGTTGTATGCCTTCCTTTCCAATGTGTATGCCTTTTATTGATCCTTGTTGCTTAATCACTTTGGCTAGGACTTCTAGTACTATGTGGGAAAAAAGGGACGAGTATGAGCATCCTTGCCTTGTTCTTCATATGAGGGGGAAAGCTTTTTACCATTAAATATGTTGGTGTCGGGTTGTCATAAATGGCCATTGTTAAGTTGAAATATGTTCTTATTTGTTTGTTTATTTTAACTAGAGATAGGGTTTCACTATGTTGCCCAGGCTGGTCTTGAACTCCTGGGCTCAAGCGATCTTCCTGCTTCAGCCTCTCAAAGTGCTGGGATTACAGGCGTGAGCCTTTCTGAGCGTTTTTTCATCATGGAAAGGATGTCAAATTTTGTCAAATGCTTTTTGTGCATTTATTGAGATGATGATATGTTGTTTATCTTTTATGCTGTTAATGTGACATATCACAATTACTGATTTTTGTATGTTGAATCATTCTTGCATCCCAGGGATAAATCTCCTTAATCATGGTGGTATGATATGGATTTGGTTTATTTGGCCCCACTAAATTTTATGTTGAAATTTGATTCCCAATTTGGTAGTATTGGGAAGTAGGGCCTCATGGCAGGTGTTTGGGGTCTCATGAATGGCTTGGTGCCATCTTGCAATAGTGAGTTCTCATCTTGCAAGACTGGATTGGTTTTTGGGGTAATAAATTAGTTCCCCTTGGAGTAGGTTGTTACAAATCCAGGATACCTCTTGGGTTTGTTCTCATTTCACATATGCCCGCCTCACCTTTTACCTTCTTCACCATGTTTTGACACAGCACAAAAGCCCTCAGGAGAAGCAGATGCTGGCATCATGCTTCTTGTACAGCCTGTAGAACTGTGGCCATTTTAATGCGGTATTGAATTTGGTTTTCTAGTCTTTTATGGAAGATATTTGGATCTGTTTTCATCAGGGTTACTGGTCTGTGATTTTCTCTTTTTTGTAGTGTTCTGGTTTGGCTTTGATATCAGGGTAATGCTGGCATAGTAAAATGAGTTTGGAAGTGGTCCATCATCTTCAGTTTTTTTGAAGCAATTGGGATATACTGACATTAATTCTTCTTTAAATGCTTGATAGAATTCAGTAGTGAAGCCATATGATTCTTGTGCCTCAGCCTCCTGAGTAGCTGGGATTACAGGTGTGCACCACCGCACCTGGCTAATTTTTGTATTTTTAGTAGAGTCGGGGTTTCACCATGTTGGCCAGGCTGGTCTTGAACTCCTGACCTCAAGTGATCCACTCTCTTCGGCCTCCCAAAGTGCTGGGATTACAGGCATGAACCACTGTTCCTGGCCCATAGACTTCTTTTTGATGGAGATTTTAAACAACCAAATTGATATCCTTAATCATTACTGGTATGTTTAGTTTCTCCATTTCTTCATGCTTTGGACTTGGTAAGATATGGTTTCTAGGAATTTACCTACTTTTTTAGGTTATCTTTTTTATGGCATATAATTGTTCATCATAGACCCTTATGGTCCTTCTTATTTCTGTGGTATTAGTTTTCAAGTCTCCACTTTGATTTATGATTTTGTTTATTTGAGTCCTGTCACATTTTATCTTAGTCCAGCAAAAGGTGAATTTTGTATGTCTTTTAAGAAACAACTCAGTTTACTTTTCTGTTGTTTTTCTAGTCCCTACTTCATGTTTTTCAGCTCTGATCTTTAAGATTTCCTTCTTCTTTCTAACATTGGAGTTTGTTCTTCTTTTTCTAGTGTTTGAGGTATAAGGTTATCTTACTTATTTAATATCTTTCTTTTTTCTTCACGTAAGATTTTATCACTAAAAGTTTCTCTCTTAGAATTGCTTTTGCTGTAGCCCATAATTTATTATTTATTTATTTATTTATTTATTTATTTTTGGGATGGTGTCTCACTCTGTTGCTCAGGCTGGAGTGCAGTGGCATGATCTCTGCTCACTGCAACCTTCGCCTCCTGGGTTCAAGTGATTCTCCTGTCTCAGCCTCCCAAGTAAATGGGATTACAGGCACATGCCACCATGCCCAGCTAATTTTTGTATTTTTAGTAGAGACAAGATTTCACCATGTTGGCCAGGCTGGTCTCGAACTCTTGACCTCAGGTGATTTGCCCACCTTGGCCTCCCACAGTACTGGGATTAAAGGCATGAGTCACTACACCCGGCCTAGCCCATAAGTTTTTGTATGCTGTGTTTCCATTTTGATTTGTATCAAGATCTTTTTAAATTTCCCTCTTGGAAAATTTACCACTTACCCTTTGGTTGCTCAGAAGAATGTTGTTTAATTTGCATATATTTGTGAGTTTTCCAGTTTTTCTTTTTATTGATTTCTAGTTTCATACCATTGTAATCAGAAGATATTCTTCATGCAGTTTCAATCGTCTTAAATTTGTTAAAACGTGTTTTGTGGCCTAATACTTAAAGTAATTTGGAAATAATTTTATATGTACAAGAAAAAAAGTCTTCTGTTGCCTTTTGACAGAATGCATTGTATATGTCTGTTAGGCCCTCTTTTTGTCTAAAATGCAGTTCAATTACAATATTTTCTCATTGACTTTCTATCTGAACAATTTGTCCATTGTTGAAAGTGAGGTATTAAAGTTTTCTACTATTATTGTATCCAGTCTGTCTCTTCCTTCAGATTTATTAATATTTGCTTTATATAATTTAAGTGCTGTAATGTTAGGTGCATATATATTTGAAATTGTTATATCCCCTGATGAATTGACCTGTTTATCATTATATGATGATCTTCTTTGTATCTTACGAGAGTTTTTGACTTAAAGTTTATTTTGTATAAATTTAGCTATTCCTACTCTCTTTTGGTTTCCATTTGCATAGAATATAACCTTCCTTATTTACATTGACTCTAAGTGTGTTCTTAAAGCTTAAGTGAATCCGTTGTAGGTACCATATTGTGTGTGTGTGTGTGTGTGTGTGTGTGTGTGTTCAATCCATTGAGCAGTCTATCTTTAGAGTATTTAAGCAATTTATATTTAAAGTAATTATTGATAGGTAAGCAATTACTATTGCCATTTTGTTAATTGGTTTCTAGTTGCCTTGTAGATTCTTTGTTTGTTTCATCCTCTCTTGCTATCTTCCTTTGTGAACTGATGATTTTTTTGTAATGAGTGGTATGCTTTGATTCCTTTCTCTTTTTCTTCTATATATCAACTAGAGGTTTTTGGTTTATGGTTACAGTGAGGCTTACAGGAAATACCTTTTAGTTATAAAAGTCTATTTTAAGCTTATAACAAATTTTCTTTGATCACATACAAAATCTCTATACTTTTACACCCCTTATTTTTTGTTTATGATGTCAAAATTTATATCTTTTTAATATTATGTATCCACAGACTATTGTATTTACAGTTTTGTTAATACTTTTGTTTTTAAACTTTAAGTGATTTACACACCATTACAGTATTAGAATATTCTGAATTTATTAGAGTATTAGAATATTATTAGAGTATTCTGATAAACTTCCATTTGTCAGTTTTATACTTTCATATGTTTTCATGTCATTAATTAGCCTTGTTTCATTTTATCTTGAAGAACTCTCTAGCATTTCTTATAAAGCAGGTCTAAAGTGGTGAACTCCTCAGCTTTTGTTTGTTTAGAAGGCTTTAGATCTCCATTTTTGAAGAACAACTTTTTTAGGTAAAATATTCTTGGTTAGCAGTATCTTTCTTTCTTTTACCAGTTTGAATATATCTATATAATTCTACTATCTTCTGGCTGTAAGGCTTCTGCTGAGAAATCTGCTAATAGTCTTATCAGAGTTTGCTTGTATGTGCCAAGCCTCTTTTCTTGTTGCTTTCAAATTTCTGTGTCTTCAATTTTTGACAATTCGTTATGCAGGTGAAGGATCCCTTATCTGTAGTGCATAGAATCGAAGTGTTTCAGATTTCAGATTGTTTTAGATTTTGAAATATTTGCATTATACTTACCAGTTGAGCATCCCTAATTTGAAAATCTGAAATCTGAAATGTTCCAATGAGCATTTCCTTTAAGCGTCATTTTAGTTCTCAAAAAGTTTCAGATTTTGAAGCATTTCAGATTTCAGGTTTTTAGATTAGCGATGCTCAACCTGTAATGTGACTTGTGAGGCCTTCTTTGGATTGAACCTTATTACAGATTGCAAGCTTTGTATACCTGAATGTCCAGGTTTCTCCCCAGACTTTGGAAGTTTTCAGCCATAATTTTTTTAAATAAGCTTTCTCCGCTTTCTGTCTTTGTTCTTCTTCTAGAACATCCATAATGCAAATGTTAGCTGTCTTGATGGTGTTCCACTAATCTCATCGGTTTTCTTCATTCCTTTTCATTCTTTTTAAAAAAAATTTTCCTTTTCTAACTGGATATTTTCAAATGACTTTTCTTCAAGTTCACAGATTCTTTTTTCTGCTTGATCAAGTCTGTTGGTGTTTTTATTGCATTTTTTGAATTCCATTCACTGTGTTCTTCAGCTCTAGGATTTCTGTTCAGTTTCCTTTTCATGATTTCTATCTATTCATTGGAATTCTTTTGTTGATTCCTATTTTCTGTTTTATTTAGTTGTCTACCTATGTTTTCTTGTAGCTCACTGAGCTTCATTAAAATAGTTATTTTGAATTCTTTGTCAGGCAATTTGTAGATCTCAATTTCTTTGGGAAAAATCAAGTTTTCTTGATTTTTCATGTTTCTTGAAGTCTTCTGCTGCTGTCTTTCCATTTGAAGAAGGAGTAACTTCCTTCAGTTTTTACTTACTATAAATACCTTCACCAACCAGATTGGTTAGTGATTATGAGGCTCTCTCAGACTTTTTCTGTGGATTCACCCACTCCACACTTCTTATCCATTTTGGGGGAGGGAAATGCTTAAGATTATACACTTTCTTTCAATCTTGCAAAGCTAGGCCAGGGCTGAGAGCTTCCTGTTTTGATTTTCTAGAGTGGTGCACTGAAATGCTCAAGTTTGTGTGTCTTCCTCCAACCCTGCATAGTTGATACAGATACCTGCATGAAGTGCTTGCATTTGCTGTTCACGCAGGTGCATTTAGGGAACCAATCTTGGGAGCGAGTTGTGCCAAACATTTTGAGTGCCCATGCACCAGTTCAGGGGGTCCAAACACAATGTGTTCCAAGTGCCTTATAGATGCACTTCCTGATGGAATCACAGAGCAGTAAATTAGATCCCCACCTCTCTTCCCTGTCACTGTTCTCTTCCAACCACTAAACCATACCAATCACCATTGTAGTTTGGATAAGATGAGAAAGTGGGTGTCTTGTTCAGTATCCTACAAAGCTGGGGGAGCTGGGCACTCATGAACCATGCTTGCACTCTCCCCACCCACCAGGAGAAATCATGGACTGCAATGATCTCTCTTGGCATTGAGCTATGATGCCTTGGAGGAAAGGTAATGCAGGTAAAGTGAAACTGTTTTTCTTATCTTTTTCAGTGCATCTATTCTCAGATTTTTGTTCTGATGGCGTGCTAAAACTTTATCTGCTGGATTCTTGGACCCCACAAAAGTGCTCTTATAGATAATTGTCAAGTTTGATGCTTCTGCTAGGCGATAATGGTAGAACGCTCTTATTCCACCACCGCGTGAACATCACTCTGCTTTCTCTCTTAATTCTGCCTTATTCTGCACATTAGCCTCATTTTCCTCCTTGGAGCTTGTGAAGGAATTGAAGATGCCAGAGGCATCAGTCTTATTTTATGTAAGGATGCTCCTAAACCACTAATGATAGGACCTAAAATCTATTGTTGAAGATTCTGAGATATACTCTCCGTCTTTTAGCTGATGACCTCATTCAGGGCCATCACAGCTTACAGGCCAAACTGTCTACTAAAAACATTAGGAAGTGTTAATCACATAGACCTCTTCTAGAGCTGTGCAGTGTGTGACCGGCACAGCCATATGCATTAGCCATGATACCCCCTACTTCATCAAGATACAGCAGTAATGATATTTAGTGTCTCTTATCTTTTCTACAATACCCTTGAATACCTGCCATCCTACATATATTTTATGAAATGGGAGACTGAAAGAATGTATTTTCAAAGTAATACACTTTATGTAATATGTGGTTTTTACATAAACTTATTTATGGAAAATTAATGAATTCAGTAGTAGGTTTTGACATTTTATTATTTTATCTGGTAGGAAAAAGTCCTTCTTTCTTAAATAAGGACTTAATTAGTCCTTATTTCTTAAGGCCTGGATTTGCAAGATTGCTTTCAAAATTGCTTCATGCATATTTTTATATTTTCAATTCCATATGAATTTTAAAATCACCTTTCAATTTTATTGTGCTTGTATGAAAGTTTTGGGTTAACTTCAAGACAGCTGACTTTTAACAGTTAAAACTTTCCAACTAAAAATGTGGCTTTTCTCTCAAATGACAAGCTTTGTATAATTTCTTATAGCTTCCCTTCTTGTTTTCTCTTCAAAAGATTTTTAGAATATTTTTGTTATGATATTATCTTTAGATGAAGGTCAATTTGTATCTTCTTCTTTTATATTTTTAGCTTGGTGGGCCTTTTCTTGAAGACACTTGTCTTTCTTTAACATTGAAATACATTTATCCATTGTTTTAGGCAATTTGTACCTCTCCATTTTCTTTGTTCTCTCTTTTGGGAACTCGTTTTAGTCAAACTTTGGGCTTCCTGCTTTGATCTTCATTAATCCTTTAGTCTTTGTTCTAGTGTTTTTAGTGTCTGAAGTACTTTTTAAGGTTATCCATCTGGGTATGCTAGAGAATGCTGGTCTGGGTATATGTTTTACATGGGCATATGACAGAATCAGCATTACCTCAAATGGTCAAGCTGCCTTTCCTGTGTTGAGGACACAGAGTTTTTACCTGGAAAAAGTATGGAGACAGAGGAGCAAGAGGAGCCTGTGCTGAGCACTTTCTGTTTGCCCCTCCAGACTTACAGTTGACCTTTCTCAATTCACATCTGCCCTTTGGGAGGCTGACCATATCTGTGGGCTACTTCATCTTTGGGCTTTCTGTGGTGCCCTGGAAGAAGGTAAGAGTGTGGGGCCGTAACATTGGTTCCTCCCACTCTCTCTCCACGTGGACAGCCCAACTGCCTCCTCTCAGGCCTCCCTCTCTGCCAGACCTCTGGCGCTGGCTTTCTGCAGTTGCTCCTTCCCTTGCCCTTTTGGACCCAGAGGTTGTAATTATAACCCCAGCGTCACCTCTCAGGATACTGTATTATCCATCCCTGTGATTTTCCCACCCTGGCCCATACTTGCGTAAAAGTCCTTTTATTATTCTCAAATAATTTAAATTGCATGTTCCATGTATTTCCTACAGGTACTCTGAAAAATATAAATGCCCGTAATCCCAGCACTTTGAGAGGCCAAGGCGGGCGGATCACAAGGTCAAGAGATTGAGACCATCCTGGCCTACATGGTGAAACCCTGTCTCTACTAAAAATACAAAAATTAGCTGGGCACTGGGCTGGATGTGGTGGCTCGCGCCTGTAGTCCCAGCACTTTGGGAAGCCGAGGCGGGTGGATCATGAGGTCAGGAGTTCCAAGACCAGCCTGGCCAAGATGGTGAAACCCCATTTCTACTAAAAATACAAAAAATTAGCTGGGTGTGGTGGTAGGCACCTGTAATCCCAGCAACTCAGGAGGCTGAGGCAGAGAATTGCTTGAACCTGGGAGGCAGAGGTTGCAGTGAGCTGAGATGGCGCCACTACACTCCAGCCTGGGTGACAGAGTGAGACTCCATCTCAGAAAAAAAAAAAAAAAAAAAAAAGGGTGGCATCTGCTTGTAGTCCCAACTACTCAGGAGGCTGAGGCAGGAGAATCACTTGAACCCAGGAGGCAGAGGTTGCATTGAGCTGAGATTGCCCACCACACTCCAGCCTGGCAACAGAGCGAGACTGTGTCTCAAAAATTAATTAATTAATTAATTAATTAATTAACATAAACAACATGTAATAGAGAGGTTCAATAAGGCCAAAAGTGGTTCCTTTCAAAATTTGAATGTAACATACCAACACTGACCTAAGACATATTAGACATTAATAATCCAATGGCTAATAAGAAAATACATTTTTTTTTTTTAGATGGAGTCTCGCTTTGTGGCCCAGGCTGGAGTGTGCAGTGGCGCGATCTCGGCTCACTGCAACCTCCACCTTCCAGGTTCAGCCAGTCCTCCCCTCTCAGCCTCCCAAGTAGCTAGGATTACAGGCATGCACCACCATCCCTGACAAATTTGTTTTTGTATTTTTAGTAGAGACGGGGTTTCATCATGTTGGCCAGGCTGGTCTTGAACCCCTGACCTCAGGTGATCCACCCTCCTTGGCCTCCGAAAGTGCTCGGATTACAGGTGTGAGCCACCATGCCAGGCCTAGAAAATACATTTTTAAATTAAAAATATTACTTCTGCAATATCTCCAGACCTAGAGGCTTCACCAGTAAATTTTGCTAAATATATAAGAAAGAATAATACCAATCTTATTACTCATGAAATTGATAAATACCAGTGAGCTTGACTGAGGAAAAAGGGGCAAGGACACAACCAATGACAGAAATAATACATGGAATTCAGTATAGTCTTCTAAAACATTACATAATGGTAAGACGATGTTATATACAATTTTGTATCTTGCATTTGAAAATGTATATGAAAAAGACATGTTCCTAGAAAAATAAAGCTCATTAGAACTCACACTTTATCTTCCTCTTCTCTCTCTGTTTCTTTGTTTTGTTTTCTTTTGTTTTGTCTTCTTTCACTCAGACATATAGGAGGTCCAGGCAGCATGAACAGCTCCCTGGTCAGAGACACATGGATTTGCTCACTGGTTACTCAAAGCTGATTCAAAGCCGATTAAAGCTGCTGCTTCATCTGGGGTCCCAACCTCCAGTGGGAAAAACATTCTTCTTTTCCTGCTGGTGTCACCCACTGTTCCACGGATCCAAAACAACACCCAATGTTTGGTACAAATTTAGTGAAACAGCTCTTTCCATTCTTAACTCATGCCAAGCATCTCAGCTTGGGGTCAGGAAAATGCCAGGGGACATGAGCTCTTCTCCTAGAGTTAGAGAATTCTCTGCCTTAGTTGCAATAAAGGAAAAGATACACATTCTTCCTACAAATGCCAAAGTAGGCTCAAAATTTGGTTCCTAGAGTAGAGTATTGAAGTCGTGGCAAAGATCTTTCCAGTGATCAAAGCAGTGGCTCGTTATGTTCCCTCAGACTGAAGCTACAGTCTCATCTTCACTTTCTGTTAGCTCCCTCCATCCTCTGCGTAGGCCCACACCTGCTTCTTACAGTTGTGTGGATTATAGCACCTCCTCTCCAGCCTCAGGACCTTTGTGAGTGCTGCTCCTTCTTCCTTGACTGCTCTTCACCAGGGATCCTCAGGGCACAGCCCTTACCTCCTGCAAGTCTTGACTTAAATGTCACTTTCTCAGGGAGGCCCACACTCATCACCATTTCACACCCACCTCCCACATGACCTTATTTTACCTGTTCTCTCTTCTCCTCTTTTTTTTAGAGTACTTATGATCTCATGTGGTACATTTTGGGGTTTTTGGTTCTTCTGTATCCGCCACTGCCATGATCAGTTAGAATGTTGGAAACCAAGGAAACTTGGTTTTTTGGCCTGTGATGAAAACTATGGGGTCTAATAGTATCTGATAAAGTGGCAGACCCTCAATTATTATTTGCTGAGTAAATGAATGAAGGTGTGTAGACAACTAGCTCTAGAAGCTTAAATGAGTGATACCATGTTTTATAACATTGGAAGAGGCCGGGAATGGTGGCTCACGCCTGTAATCTCAGCATTTTGGGAGGCCAAGGTGGATGGATCTCTTGAGGTCAGGAGTTTGAGACCAGCCTGGCCAACATGGTGAAACCTTGTCTCTACTAAAAATGCAAAAATTAGCTGGACGTGGTGGCACACGCCTGTAATCCCAGCTACTCTGGAGGCTGAGGCACAGCATCACTTGAACCCAGGAGGCAGAGGTTGCAGTGAGCTGAGATGGTGCCACTGCACTCCAGCCTGGGCAACAGAGTGAGACTCTGTCTCCAAAAACAGAAAAAAGAAAGGGGGGGAAGAAAAGAAGAAGGAAGAGGAAAGGGAGGAGGAGGATTTATCATTCACTTACACTAGAAACAGTGAAAATAGATAATAGCTATAATTTACTCACATCTTATCTAAAACACAAATTCAGGGTAATTTATGAGCAAGTCATTTTCCGGTGGGCTTTCGATAGTGTGTGAATTTGGAATGAATGCTGGTACTTCCAGCTCCCTTCCACCTGCAGCACCAGGAAGCCATTGTTGTGGGGAGGCCACCAACTTGGCTGGCATGTTGCTTCTGCCTCAGTTAGTGATGATGGTGATTTGGAGAGAAAGGACACTCTGCTAGGCTCCAAATCCAAAGGATCAAGTGGATAAATGAAATGAATATCTAAATAAATATCAATTAGGTCAAAAGTTTGTTTTCATCTAAATGAAATCTGAACACTACTTAGGGCTATGAAACATAGCCAGAGGACATGGCCAGCTCTGGAGTGGGGCCTGGACTTGCTCTCCCCTGCTGGAAGTGCTTTTCCTCCCAGAGCTCAGAGCACCATGTGCGTGTGACCCCTGCCTTTTCACAGGCCATTGCCACAGGGCATCTCCCTGGTCCACCCGCCCCAAGATGAGCCAGCCTCCCACTCAGGAACTGGGTGGGGAAGGGAAAGAAAGACAGAGGAGAGAGAGACAGTCACACACAGGCAGTGGAGCTCCCCTGCACCCACCAGGGAGCTTGAGCAGCTCATCTGCAGAGCAGGGAAACATTTTTACTACCATTGGGAAGACGCTGAGCAGAGAGGTGAGGGGACAGCATTTCTTGTCTCCCTGTGGCTTGTTCCACTCACAGTTCAGTTTCTCCTGTTCTTGGGGAAAAGGAGGGAAACTGTATTAGTCAGGGTTCTACAGAGAAACAGACCCAATAAGATGTGTGCATGTGTGTGTGTGTTTATATATGTTCACAGAATGTATATATGTGTATATATATGTATATGGATAACTGCATATATATATTATTTATAGAGAGAGAGAAGAGCAGGAGACAGAGATAAAGAGAGATTCATATAAAGAATTATATTCATAATTTATATAATAATTTGTTCCTTTAATCATAAAGTCTGGCAAGTCCAAAATCTGCAGGGCAGGCCAGAAGCCTGGGCACCCCGGAAAGAGTTGCATCTAGACTCTGAAGACGGTCTGGAGGCAGAATTCCCTCTTTCCCAGGGAATTCCAGTCTGTTTTCTCTGAAGGCCTTTACTGACTAGATGAGGCCCCCACACACATGGAAAGCAATCTGCCCTACTGAAAGTCTACTGACTTAGAGGTTTAGCTCATCTAAAAAATACCTTCGTAGCAATTTCGAGACTGGTATTTGACCAAATAGCTGAGTAGGTTGGCCTAGCCAATCTGACACATAAAATTAACTATCACAGAAACAAAATAATCAATATAGGTAATAACTGTGCCAGAATGCTGTGATGTTTCAGGATGACCTTGTTTACATTTACATTTATTGTCAAAACTTACCTTCTCTTTTTATATGGGCAATTAAATCTGCTACTGAGGGTATCAAGTACTGATTTAATTTACAATCTTAATAGATAAGATAGGTTCCTATTTTCTCCTCTCCATAAAAGTAATAAGTTTGGAGAAACCAGGTCGGAAATACCTCTCCAGATTTTAAAGCATAACCTCTTGTTTGGAATAATAAGTATGTAAATAAGCACCATAAAATATGAAACCAAACATTTCATCATTCTTTTATATACATTATCCCTTGCATTTTTAAAAAATAAGGAACACCTTATTAGCCATATTTTCAAATGGTGAAACCAACACCCCCAGCTCAGACTCTGCCGTGGTAGGCTCCAGGGTCACTGATACCAGATCCCATGGTATTTTCACTATATCCCACTCTTTCTTTGCATGTGGCTCTTTTTTAGCTGCATTGCGGGTAAACAGGTGTGGCTCTTTTCAAACCAATTCCATGCATATGTGAAGAAAATTGATCCTGAAGTTCCTTTTGCCAAAGATGCTTATGGAGAAGTGTCTGTGTCTGGACAGACAAAAGTGTCCATTTTTGCCTCGAAGCTTGGCAAAATTGAAATTGATGATGGGGAAGCTAGAAATACTTCAGTCTACATTTCGAATCCCAGCTGCGGGGAGGCTGGTTGAGGATTGCCCATCCCTCAGTCTGGGCTGGATTCTCCCTCCAGTCTCTGGGGTTCTCTTTTCTATTCACAAGAGGGTGCTAATGAGATGGTTTAATCTCTATACCCTGTGGTCCACAAATACAAGATGCCAGCGTGGCCAATGGGGCTTCCATAAGAGTGGCAATCAGGGGTCTCAAGCTTACCATGACGTTTTGGGCCCTGGAATCAGATCATAGTTCTACAGTTGTCCTGGCACTAGAACTCATGACAAGGTTGTGACTAGACAGAAGGAGAGAAGGCTGGAGGCTGACAGGAAGCAATGTGAACAAATGCCTTCGCAGGATGCATGGGTTTGGGCAACAGATGGTCAGGGGAGGTGCTGGTGCAGACGGGCTCAGTAGCAAAGCAATAACTGTGGATGGCCATTTTATGGCTGCAGATCACAGCACATTTATAAAAGATGTGTGTTTCATGAAAATGTGCATTTCATCGTGGAAATACTGTGGTTGGAGGAGATTTCTCAAAGCTGATAAATAAGTGTAGGTGACTTAACTTGCAAAAGATGATCATATGTGAGAACGGATGTCTCAAATTAGGAAATAACTTGTTAAGTAAAAAAGCCTCATGTATTGATTTGAAGAAAAAGATATTTTGGTGCTCATCAAAATAAAAGTATAATAAGCTGAAGGGCTGCTTTTTTCTGTAAACATAATTTTGTATCACCAGTTTTATTTTCAACGAGGACTTGAAATTCAGAAAAAAAATTAAAGCAGAGAAATGGGAAAAGGGCAAAAAAAAAGGACAGGAAAATAAAGCCAGAAAAAGGCAAATGAGTACAGAAAAAAATAAAGTATCCACTCAGGTTCTGGACACTTTGTTAGAACTGAGAACACACAGATCCAGAACTTCCTAGCAGTTAGTGTAAGTAGGAAATATCACTGTTCATATAATTCAAAGGGTTTTTAAGACCCAAAGAAGCATAGATATCTAACTCTGAGATCTCACAGTTCTCTGATGGTTCTAATAAGGAGGACATGGTATGAACAAATTATGCCTTACTGTTCGCTGAGGTTATATCAATGCCCGAACATTTCATCCAGCAAAGCAGTCACAACTAAAAACAGGTACATGATGGTTGCAGACAGCTTCTCAGTAGCCCAGAGAGTGAGAGCTCACCAGGGCAGAAGGTCCCTGAACCAGAGGCTGGCAGTGCACATGTGCTTTGGTCAGAGGAGAAGGACAACCATGCCCCACGGGGCTGAGGACCCAGTGGCTGGAACAAAGACATGATCCCAATTTTTTTGATACCTACTTTCTCACTTTGCCTTTGGGCCTCCACGGAGCTCCTGTGCAGCTGGCTGGACCATGGCCTATGTACAATGGCTGAGTCTACACACAATCAGAAAAGCAGCCTGAAACTCTGTGGACTGTGTCTGCTTTATTCTCAGCAGGATTAATGACCCTCATTGAATTCCCATCGCCTCAAAGCTTGGCAAAATTGAAATTGATTATGGGGAAGCTAGAAATACTTCAGTCTACATTTCAAATCCCAACATAACCTGAGTAAGGGAATTGCATGCTTTTCTCATCGAAAGCTCAAATAACTTAGTAATGGTTCAAAATTGTCTCCTACTGGCTTCTCAATTTAGCACACTAAATGGTCTTAGAGATCATTGCTCATCTTTGGACTAAGGCAGGCACAGTAATACATGTTCATTCTTTTGGCCTGAGCTATTACAGTAGCCTCCTAATAACTTATCTTCATCATCCTCTTTTCACTCATTCTATACTGGGCACCATGTCTGATCATTTTTTTTTCTGATATTTGGATCAGTTCTATTAAACTGATAACCCTGTGATGTCTTTTTTTCCCTTCAATAGATCTTTAAATTCCAATCCTCACCCTAATCTACTCTTTCCCAATATAGCACCGTTATTCACACTGCTCCCAAAATCTATTCCATCCTCTGACTTCTCACAATTTTTTTTTGTCCTAAGACTCCATGATAATAGAGAAAAGAATTTTGGTCTTCACAGAATGTATTGACTTAATGATATTCCAAATTTCTCTTGGGTGTCAAATATATTCCTCACCAAATATGACTGAAAGAAAACTCTATTCACCATGAATTTAAGGATCTCAAAATTATAATATCTTCTCCACTCTCATAATTCCACAGCCCCTGCTGTTACTATAATGACCTATATTGCAAAAGAGTGAATTCAATTAGAGTCCAAGAGGAAAACTGCTGGTATTTTTTTCATCTTTTGCCATCCCATACTTTATAAAGTGCAGTTAGACCCCCTGTTTGCCTCCCAGCATACCAAAGTTATGTAGATTATTTTAAATAAAATCTACTGAAAGCATGCATTTTTAAGTACCCCTTTTGTGTCCCCTAAATTACAGAGGATAAAACCAGCCATAGAGGCAAATTCCTTTAGACCTTCTCCTAGAAACAAACACTATCCATTACATAAAACCTTCAATTGCAAGGACAGTTCTGTAAACCATGATATTTGATCCTGGAAGCTTCCTAGATTGAACACAAAGAAGAGGGTACAGTATTTACATACCTCCAGCTTTAAGCTGTGTGCCTGGTGTTTTTCACTCCAAGGTGGTTGAGCATCTCCCTCTACACTGCCATCTACCCCATTCCTCATCACAAATGTCAACTCTGTCTGAGCTGCCTTCCAAAGTAAGCAGAGAACTCAGGACTGGGAAACCAGATGGGGCTGGCTTGGGAAGTGTGGCCTACCTGTTCCCTCCATGACCAAGCACAACACTGTATGTGGGGAATGAAATGGGACCAGGTCCCAGAGTACTGGGGAAACAGAACCTCATATCCAATGAGGAGTTCGGGCAGGCAGGTCAAAGATGGACCTGAGACCAACTCACTGTGATGGGTGTCAACAGAAAAGAAGACATGGCCTCAGAAGAGATGCTCCCTGAGAAGCTGGGCCACTTTCTCATGTGACTGCGAGTAATCCATCCCTGCGTGGAGCTGACAAGGCACCAAGCTGCTGGGCATGAGACCCTTCACATATCCTCTCTGATCTTCTCGATTAGCTCTGAAGTCTCTCTGGTTTGAAACCTCATGTCACTTTTTTGGTATGTCTCTGTGGCATTGGACATCTTCTGCCTCATATTAGATGCATTGTGTAGTGTTTACTTATCCCTAATTTGCAGCCACTTATCTGAGCATAGACACTAGACCACTCCATCTTTGCCTCTATAAATATCAGGTGTAGGACCTCGTACTTGACAGGTGCTCATAAGATATCTTTCTCTCCCTTTTTTTTTTTTTTACTTGAGTTCAAGTGATGAGGGTCTAGTAATAGGTATTGCTAAGCAGAGCAAATTCAAATAATTGTTTAGAAAAGTATTGATGACTGTATCTGATTAAGAGTATAAAAAATGGGGGAGGAGCTATGCTGAGCCCCCAATTTTAAGTTAGAGACAGGAGAATTCTGATGCCTGCCACAATTGATATCTTATAATGCTGCATTTGCAAGCTTAACATTCAATCGTTTTTCATTTAGAGTCCAAAGCAATCATTGACCATGGTGCCTGGGTGTTGGCTGTGAAGCCTGAATTCTAAAACACAATTGTAAACGTATTTTGCCTTATATTGAGATAAGCACATACAATACTTAAGACATGCAATATTTTAAAGAAATACAAAAAAATTGCTAACTGGCCACATCAGTTCTTAACTTTTTTATTAACCAGAACTGGTTTCCTCTTGCTGTTAGTTCCAGAAGAAAAGATTAAATCAGAATAGTTCTATATGTTTTACCTTGTGTATTAGGTATCAATTGTTGCACAACAAATCATCCCCAAACATACAGGCTTAAAACCACCATTAGTTCACAGTTTCTGTGTGCCAGGAAACTGGATATGGCTTGGATGCATCTTCAGCTCTGAATCTCTCACAAGGTCACCATCCAGCTGTCAGCTCAGACTGTAATCTTGTCTAAAGGTTTAATTGAGCAAGGAGCCACTCAAACTTAACTCTTGTAGAGTTGGCAGGATTCAGCCCCTTTCAGGTTATTGGACAGAGGGCTCAGCTCCTTGCTGGTTATTAGCTGAGGCCACCTCAGTTCTTGACTCTGTGGGTCTCTCCATTAGGAAGCTCACAGCATAGCAGCTGGTTTCCCTCAGACTGAGCAGAGAGCAAGAGAGAGTGCTCAAGGCAAAAGACACTGCCTTTTTGTAACTTAATCTCAGAAGTGACATCTGCTGTGTTCTGTATGTTAGAAGTGAGTCACTAAGTCCAGCTGAAACTCAGGGGAGGGCTTGCCTACCAGGAGGCAGGAATCACCAGGACCCATCAGAGACACCGTCTACCCCAGTCTGTGCTCGGGTCCTTCATGTCTCTCCCTCCTGAAATTTGATAGATTCTGCAAAAGAAAAAGCCTTGATCCACGCTGCTTTCTAGAATGTTGTAGTGAAAAGCAAGTCAGTGTGGTACATTCAGAGTAATTTTATAATTTTATAATTTAAAAATAATTGACATTACTCCCAGCATTACCAAAGTTGCCAAGATCAGCTTTTAAATGCTCACTTAGGTCATTTGTGTTTAATGCATTGAGTGTGTGCTCAATCTTCATCCCAAGACAGAGGGATTCAGATAACTGGCAAATGATATGAAGGAAAACCTTTCTGGAGTAGTCCATCTGGAGGCCACGTCAGGACTAGCCTCACAGGTAGAGTACAGGCATTCTGACTTTGGGAGCATTAAAAAGAGCATCAAACCAAATTATCTGATTCAGCCCTATATAATAGCCTACATAAGCCCCAAAGATCTCTATTTTAAATTAGAAATAAAGTTAATGTTTCACTTGAACATTCTGCAGGAAAGTGGTATGAGATCAAGGTATTATTAACTATTAACAACTGGCTGGGCACAGTGGCTCACGCCTGTAATCCCAGCACTCTGGGAGGCTGAAGCAGGTGAATCACCTGAGGTCAGGAGTTCAAAACCAGCCTGGCCAACATGGCGAAACCCTGGCTGTACTAAAAAATATAAAAATTAGCTGGTCATGGTAGTGTGCACCTGTAATCCCAGCTACTCGGGAGGCTGAGGCAGGATAATCATTTGAACCCAGGAGGCGGAGGTTGCGGTGAATCAAGGTTGTGCTGTTGCACTCCAGCCTGGGAGACGAGTGAAACTCCATCTAAAAAAAAAAAAAAAACCGAAAAACTATTAGCAACTTAGCATGAAGCACTCTGTCACCTGATAAGAACTGAGAAAGTGTAGCACAGGACAGATCAGGTTTGTCTTGATGGAAGAAAGGAAAGAGGAAATTACTGATGGTAATCTTGAGCCGAGCACAGAGAAAGGCAAGAAGGGATGGCTCTGGTTTCAAACAATCCATGTCTGATTCCTCCCAAGCCCATTCTTTGTTATCTATTGTAATGTCAATACTCATATTAGGTAGGGAGTTCCCTTTAATGACCTCTAAGGATTCTTTCAGCTGGAAGAGTTGTATCCATTCATCTGCTAATCTTCTTCATCAAAGGACAGTTGGAAAGGATGCGGCATTACTCCTTACAAGAAGGTGGAAGTCTAATTTTTAAACTATGAGCTTTTACCTTAATGTGAGCCATTTCTTTTTAAGCTAGGCATTTACATGTACTCCAATATAATTCCTTAGTAGAATACATTTATTTTTGGTGCAAAACAAAATTATTTAGTCCAGAGACACCCTTCACTGGCAAAGAAAGACATTCATTGTGCAGTGCAGTAATTCAGAGAAATATTACTTCCAAGTCTTTTTAAAGTTAAAGAAGAATGTTTTAGGGCCCATTTGAAAAGTGCTATTCATATGAACTTGAAGGTCATTACTCACAGATAATATTCAGGAGAACTCCTGTCTAGGCTGAGAGCAGCCACTTCTGTGCTGTTTCAAGTTTTCAGAAACCATGGTACTGTTACTCCTCTATAAGGTAGAAAAACCATATCTAACATATTTGATTTATTCCAAAAACTCAGCAAAATCGATTTCTTTTTCACTCTTTGGAAGAAAGTACAGAATGAGGAAAATCACTTCTTAAAAAATTCATCAAAATAACTATGTTAAGCCCTTATGATTTCCAGGCCCTGAGCCCGGTTCTGGAGTCATAGAGTTTAGAAGAAAAAGATGGAAATATGCAATCCAGTGGGACTTCCTTTATCAAATGAACGCAAGGGCCTGATTTCTTTGGTAGATAATGCGTTCAACTAAACGGATCTCTTTGAGATGAGGATATTAGCTGCGCTGCACTGTCTGTACAATTGTGTCTGTACCTGGAGGAGTTTCCACAGCAGCAGAGCCTGAGATTCTATGCATTTTAGATTTAGAAACCTCATTATACCAGTTCCTACAAGAATAGGTCTCTGAAAGGACGAATCTCACAAATCAAGCTCATAAAAAATGCATAAACAATGCTTACATCATTTATAATGAGAAGATGTTCATTCCCAGCAATAGGGCAGAGCAGATAATTGAGTATCTCCCTAGTGCAGAACATTCAGAAGTACTGGATACTGTAGCAAACAGTTTCAAATGGAGAGCTGAAATTCCAACAAAGTCCCAAGACCACATTTTAAGACGAATCTGCAAACCAGAACTGTAAAGCACATGAGTGGACCTCACTGACATCTTTGTTTTATAGTAGGAGGTGGTGCTCTGGGCTGCATCAGGTAGAAATTAGACCTAGATCCACAGTAAGCCTGTCCTATATGCTGACACTGCCCCTCCCTCCCAGTAAGCCAGAGACTAGAAAAACATTCAACCTCCTGTGGGTTCAGAGAAACAACAGAGAGCCTGTTTGACTGATCGCAGGTTCTAGGTGGTAAAGTCTCCCCTAAGAATTTATAGGCAAAGGCTGATGCCTCCAGTGTATTCACGTGTGAATTCATGCTCTCCTTGTGGCTTGGGAGTGGACAAAGTAAGACACTGATAGGAATTGTTTCCTGGATGGTAATACCACTGTGACATTGTTGTGGGAAGCAAGCTCTGAGACAGAGACTGACATGCAGGAGAGGGATGAGGGAATGCTCTTGGAATCTCCACCTGGAAGTGAGGAGTAGAAAGCAGGACTGGGACTGGGCCGAGGAAGAGGGCAAGACTCAGCCAGCCTTGCAGGGAGTTCTAAAGATTACGTGGCTCTTAAGAATTATCTGGAGTAGGGCGAGAGGCGAGGCCCTTAGTGCTCCAAGTGAATCAGTCTCGGGATGCTCTGGGAGGGGGCCATGACCTTGGGTGGTGGGGCCATGTCGGAAGGGCTGGCACCTGACTGCACTGTCAGATGGGGCAGGCAGTAAGTCCTTACTCCTGAAAGGACTGTCTGTCCAGGGCTTCTGCTGGCAGCACTGTCAGTCTCGGGGCAATAAGCCCTTTACTCCTGAAGGGATATCAGGGTGGCCATCACTGTGTCACCACAGGGTTCTAGCAGAAGCAAACACAAGGCAGCTGTGAAGGGCAGGCCCTCCACCTAGGATTCCAGTTGACCCATCTAGCAGGATAAAGATAGAAAATGATGGCAGTTCTCGTAACTACAGCATAATTAATTTCAGATTTAAAAAACCAGGTGAAGCTAAAATACCAGATTTTAAATAATGGAACTTGAAAGGGAGCTGATTAGAATTCATGAATCCTAAGGTCTTTGAATTATCCTGGTTAACTGGTGGAATTAAAACTGTATAGTTAACTATATGTATTAAAATATGAAAGGGAATCTTCAAAAATAGGGAAATAAAATGTATAGCTCTCCAGCAAGATACTAAAAAGCAAAAACAGAAAAATGAGCATAATACATAGCATATAATAAAAAGAATGGAATACATCTAAATGTATTGGTAAAATAATAAATATAAACGATCAAAAGATGTTTCTTCTAAGGCACAAAATTAACATTATCTGCCACTTTATACGTAGAATCTGGAGGACCTTGAATAGCCTAACTATAATACCCCTACCCACCCTGCTCCAGTGGCAGGTCCACTAGACAACCTTCCTTATCATGGGTGGCAGAGCCCGGAAGCAAGTGTCACTCCACCCTCTTGTTACTACAAAGCCTGACTCCCTCAGCTCCTGCTTGTTCACTCTGTTTCCAAGCGCAGCCCTCATGTGGCCCCACATCATGTGGTTCCATCCTCCCCTGGGCTGTGTGTGCCTGTGACTAATAAGCTGGTGTGAACTCAACTGTCTAGTGTTGGGTGTCATGTGTCCAGTCATTTCCATAACCCCAGTGTGGGAATCTCTCCTCCACAAATGGGATGGAGACGAGATGAATACATGCCAATAAAAAGACATAGATATTCGTATTGAAATATTTTATAACAGAAAAATGTTGAGAGTAAACATGTGTATAGTATAGGGAAATAGACATATTAATATAAAAGGAAGGAAAATATATAGCAGACATTTTCTAATCAGAAGAAAGCCACCATGGTATTATTACCATCCAGAAAAATAAACCATACAGTAAAATGTATCATTAGGAATAAATACATTCAGTACATGAGGGTCAAGTATTCAACTCCTCAGAAATAGACAACAGTTTTTGTCTAAACCTAAGAACATAATATCAACTATGCACAGTCAGAACTTCATGAAGAAATTGGTAAGTAAAGTGATCACATATTTGTCAAGTGTGTCAATATTTAACTGCAACAAATAATTAGAAAGTACATATTCTCATTCACTCATGGAACATTTATAAAAATGGGCTATGTGCCATAAATACAAGAAAATTTTCAATAAAGATATGCAGACGTTATCCAATTGTTCTTCAGTCGTAAGGCAATGCAATTAGAAATCAAAATAAAAAATAACAAAAAAGATTGTATGTTAATATTTTAAAATCCTCATAAGTCAGTCAAATAACAATTTTTATTTGTAATCATAAGAAAACATTTGTATTAGTAATATATTGTTGCATAACAGGTCGCCCCCCTACTTAGTGATTTCAAAAACAATAATCTTTGATGATCTCTCATTTGTGGGTGGGTCATGTACTTAGGAGCAGCTCAAATATATATTTCTGGTTTGGGAGCTCTCAGGAGGCTTCAGGCAGATGTCTGGGGTAACGGCCATGTAAAGACTTGAACTGGTCGGCGGCTCCGCTCCGCACTGCCGGGCGCCGCCTCGCCATGGACGCGCGCGGGGGCGGCGGGCGGCCCGGGGAGAGCCCCGCCGCCGCCGCGCCCCCCCAACAGCAGCCGCCCCGGGCCGAGGCGTTGCCCCCGGAGGCGGCGGAGGAGGGCGGCCCGCGGGGCCAGCGCCGCAGCCGCGACAGCTAGTGCGGCAGCCCCGGCATCCCGGGCACGGCGAGCACGGCCAAGGGCAGCCGGAACGGCCGAGTGCGGGCGCGGCTAGCCGCAATGCAGCCCCGCGGGGCCCGAGGGCCCGGCGCGGGGGCCCAAGGTGTAGTTCTTGTGCCCCGGGGCGGCCTCGGGGCCCGCGCCGGGGCCGGGGCAGGGGCCGGCGGAGGAGGCCGGCAGCGAGGTGGCGGCCCGGCGGCGGAGCCGCGCCGCAGCCGGGCCAGCTTCATGCAGCGCCACTTCGGCGCGCTCCTGCAGCTGGGCGTCAACAAGTTCTCGCTGCGGATGTTCGGCAGCCAGAAGGCCGTGGAGCGCGAGCAGGAGCGCGTCCAGTCAGCGGGGTCCTGGATCATCCACCCGTACAGCGACTTCAGGTTCTACTGGGACTTCACCATGCTGCTGTTCATGGTGGGAAACCTCATCATCATCCCAGTGGGCATCACCTTCTTCAAGGACGAGACCACTGCCCTGTGGATCGTGTTCAACGTGGTCTCGGACACCTTCTGCCTCATGGACCTGGTGTTGAACTTCCGCACCGGCATTGTGATCGAGGACAACACGGAGATCATCCTGGACCAAGAGAAGATCAAGAAGTACGTGCGCACGTGGTTCATGGTGGACTTCGTGTCCTCCATCCCCGTGGACTACATCTTCCTCATCGTGGAGAAGGGCATCGACTCCGAGGTCTACAAGACGGCGTGCGCCCTGCGGATCGTGCGCTTCACCAAGATCCTCAGCCTCCTGCGGCTGCTGCGCCTCTCGCGCCTGATCCGCTACATCCACCAGTGGGAGGAGATCTTCCACATGACCTATGACCTGGCCAGCGCGGTGATGCGGTTCTGCAACCTCATCAGTATGATGCTGCTGCTCTGCCACTGGGATGGCTGCCTGCAGTTCCTGGTGGCCATGCTGCAGGACTTCCCGTGCAACTGCTGGGTGTCCATCAATGGCATGGTGAACCACTGGTGGAGCGAACTGTATTCCTTCGCACTCTTCAAGGCCATGAGCCACATGCTGTGCATTGGGTATGGCCGGCAGGCGCCCGAGAGCATGACGGACATCTGGCTGACCATGCTCAGCATGATTGTGAGTGCCACCTGCTACGCCATGTTCATCGGCCACGCCACTGCCCTCATCCAGTCGCTGGACTCCTCGCGGCGCCAATACCAGAAGTACAAGCAGGTGGAGCAGTACATGTCCTTCCACAAGCTGCCGGCCGACTTCCGCCAGAAGATCCACGACTACTACGAGCACTGTTACCAGGGCAAGATGTTCGACGAGGACAGCATCCTGGGCGAGCTCAACGGGCCCCTGCGGGAGGAGATTGTCAACTTCAACTGCCGGAAGCTGGTGACCTCCATGCCGCTGTTCGCCAATGCTGACCCCAACTTCGTCACGGCCATGCTGACCAAGCTCAAGTTCGAGGTCTTCCAGCCGGGTGACTACCTCATCCGCGAAGGCACCATCGGGAAGATGTACTTCATCCAGCACGGCGTGGTCAGCGTGCTCGCTAAGGGCAACAAGGAGATGAAGCTGTTCGATGGCTCCTACTTCGGAGAGATCTGCCTGCTCACCCGGGGCCACCGCATGGCGAGCGTGCGGGCCAACACCTATTGCCGCCTCCTTTCGCTGAGCGTGGACAACTTCAACGAGGTGCTGGAGGAGTACCCCATGATGCGGCGCGCCTTCGAGACGGTGGCCATCGACCGCCTGGACCGCATCGGCAAGAAGAATTCCATCCTCCTGCACAAGGTGCAGCATGACCTTAACTCGGGCGTATTCAACAACCAGTAGAACGCCATCATCCAGGAGATCGTCAAGTACGACGGCGAGATGGTGCAGCAGGCCGAGCTGGGTCGGCGCCTGGGCCTCTTCCCGCCGCCGCCGCCGCCGCAGGTCACCTCGGCCATCGCCACGCTGCAGCAGGCCGTGGTCATGAGCTTCTGCCCGCAGGTGGCGCGGCCGCTCGTGGGGCCGCTGGCGCTCGGCTCGCCGCGCCTCGTGCGCCGCCCGCCCCCGGGGCCCGCACCTGCCGCCGCCTCACCCGGGCCCCCGCCCCCCGCCAGCCCCCTGGGCGCGCCCGCCAGCCCCCGGGCACCGCGGACCTCGCCCTACGGCAGCTTGCCCGCCGCCCCCCTTGCTGGGACCGCCCTGCCCTCGCGCCGCCTGAGCCGCGCGTTGCGCCCACTGTCCGCCTCGCAGCCCTCGCTGCCCCACGGAACGCCCGTCCCAGCGGCCTCCACACGCCCGGCCAGCAGCTCCACACCGCTTCTGGGACCCACGCCCGCTGCCCGGGCCGCCGCGCCCAGCCCGGATCGCAGGGACTCCGCCTCACCCGGCGCCGCCAGCGGCCTGGACCCCCAGGACTCCGCGCGCTCGCGCCTCTCGTCCAACTTGTGACCCTCGCCAACCGCCCTGCGGGCCCAGGAGGGCCGGAGGCGGGGCCGTCATCCAGACCAAAGCCATGCCATTGCGCTGCCCCGGCCGCCAGCCCGCCCAGAAACCACAGACAAGACATAGGTAGCCGTAGTTGGACTGACGGGCAGGGCCGGCGGGGCAGCCCCCTCCGCGTCCCCGGCCGTCCCCCCTTATCGCCCTGCGCCCACTCCCATCGCCCCTGCCCCCGGCGGCGGCCTCGCGTGCGAGGGGGCTCCCTTCACCTCAGTGCCTCAGTTCCCCTAGCTGTAAAACAGGGACGGGGCGGCCCAGTGGCTGAGAGGAGCCGGCTGTGGAGCCCCGCCCGCCCCCCGCCCTCTAGGTGGCCCGCCGTCCGATGAGGATCGTTTTTTAAGTGCAATACTTGGCCCACCGGCTTCCCGCTGCCCCCATCGCGCTCATGCAATAACCGACCCGGCCCCGGTCCACGCGCGTCCCGCGGTGACCTTGGGGAGCAGCACCCCAGCTCCCTCCAGCACTGGCACCGAGGGGCGGGCCTGGTTGCGCCGGGCGCGGGGGCGAGGCTGGGGTCCCGCCACCGTGATGAATGTACTGACCAGCTGAGGCAGCAGTGCCCCCACCGTGGCCCCTACGCCCAATTAACCCCCACACCCCCATTCCGCGCAATGAACGACAGCATCGGCAAAAAAAAAAAAAAAAAAAAAAAGACTTGAACTGGAGAACCTACTTCCAAGGCAGCTAACTCACATTTCTGGGAAGTAGGTTCTGAGAAGTCCATTCCTTCCCACACAACCTCCTGCCCCAGGGCTGCTTGAGTGTCCTCTCAGGGTGGTGGCTGACTTCTTCCAGAAATGAAGAGATGTAAGAGCCAGGGAGAGCCAGGCAGAAGTTACAGGTCCACTAGACAACCTACAGTATGGCAAATTACAGTTGCCTGTTTCCTAGAAAAATTTATACCAGCTGAAGTAATTACAGGAGATAGAAAACTTTAATGGTCCTACATGAATTAAATGAATTACATCAACTCTTGAAAATTAACTTTGACAAAGTACCAAAGATGTGTTGCTAATAAATTCTATTCAAGGTACAGATACTTCTAGTCTTATATCATCTGTACTAGAGAATAGAAAAAGAAACAGAAATAAATATATAAAAATATGTGAGAATAAAGCATTATAGTCCAAGCTCGTTTATGGAGAGAGATGCAAATATCCTGAATTTAAAAAAATAAAGTATATACTTTACTCACAGAAAGCAATATACCTAAAATTAAATCTAACATAGATATGCAAAACATTTATGCAGAAGTAAATGTAGCATTGTCTTTCAACACAGAAAATAAACTAAAAATGAATGAGTAGATAGGCAAAGTTTTTGTATCAGAGGCCTAAATATTATGAAGATATTTAATAATTAAATGCAATTCAAATATAAATACCAGCAGGGTATTTCATTGAAAAAAGTTAAATATAAAATTTATATGAAAGTGTATAGGGCCAAGAAAAAAAAAATTTTGGAAAAGAAGAACTGTGCAGTAAAGTGTTAACTCAGCAGGCCTGGGCTGCCCAAACCCTGCATATTCCGAAGGGCTTCAGGACAGTCCCTGACAGGCTCCTGGAGATAACCTCTGAGCCTTTGTAATATTCTGTGTGATTTGAGTGACTTTGTAAACCTGAAGCTTTGGGTCACACCACATGCTATCAACATGCTTTATAGTGAACACCTGTTTATGTATGCCTGGGCCTTGGGTCACATTGTGTCACTTTGACCTCTGGGGGTGGCAGACAGCTGACTGGAGACTGAGTGGTTGAGGTCAGTCATGTGGAGCACAACTGGAAGCCCATGCCTCCTCCTTAGTGCTGGACTCTGCTGTGTGCACCTTTTTCCTTGCTGCTTCTAATCTATATCCTTTCACTGTAATTAACAATAGCTGTGAGTCTAACAGCTGTCTGTGTCCTGTGAGTCTTTCTAGCAAATCGTGCACTGGAACCAAAGTGGGTGGGCACTCACCAACTAAAACTATCAAACCTACTAGGAATCTGTGAAAATTAAAGAACGTGGCAGTACATAGACATAGCCAATAGGCAAAAGAGAATCAAACCTTAAGTGCAAAGAAATGCATTGCAGATCAGCAAGTAAGAGGTAAATTATGGGATAAAGTGATCCAAACACTGTTTATTCAGGAAAAATGTAGATTTTTATCAGACACCGTTTATAAAAATGTTTCAGATAGATTAAAACCTAATAGTGAGCAGCGAAATTAAGCATGTCTTTGGAAGAATGAGGATCATGTTCTTGTTCTCAGGATGGGGACAGATTTACTAATGTAGACAATCATAAGAAAATAGGTATTATAATAATTTGACAACATTAAAGTTAAACATACCTGTATGCAAAAAGACACCATAAGCCAGCAAGGATTAGGTATCATGTATCTCTAACCATGTGATATAGCTGACAGGGGCTTAGTATATTCAGATTATACATCAATCAAGTTAATTAATCCATTCAAACAAATCCTTATTGAATGTCTATGTGCCAGGCCCTGTTCTAGTCACCAGGGTAACTGTAGAAAACAAAACTAATATCCTCCCCTCATAGGAGAGGCAGACACTAATAAATACGTCATTACATATGTTGATAAACCTCAGATTTCAGAAAGTACCAAGGAGAGAACTAAAGCAGGTGGGAGAATAGAGCTTCGTGAGAGATGGGAGATGCTATTTTAGATTGGCTGTTCATAAAAAGAATAATTTTGAACCCAATGGGTTATGTAAAAATCAGTATAGAATAGAAAAATGACCCAATAGAAAAAGACAATTTTCAGCCGGGCGCGGTGGCTCACACCTGTAATCCCAGCACTTTGGGAGGCTGAGACAGGTGGATCAGTTGAGGTCAGGAGTTCGAGATCAGCCTGGCCAACATGGTGAAACCCCGCCTCTAGTAAAAATACAAAATTTAGCCAGGTGTGGTGGCACACACCTATAGTCCCTGCTACTTGGGAGGCTAATGCACAAGAATCGCTTGAACCTGGGAGGCGGAGGTTGCAGTAAACTGTGATCTTGCCACTACGCTCCAGCCTGGGCGACAAAGCAAGACTGTCTCAAAATTAAAAAAAAAAAAAAAGAAAAAGACAATTCTTGATTGAATGAACTGAATGCCCAATAAACATTTGAAAAGATCTCTGTAATGTATTTAACATAATTTTACATCTCTGTTCATATTAGAGAATTTATGGGGTTTTTAATAAAACACTTGGCCCTGAGTTGATAATTTTTGAAGCTGGGTGATAGGTTAATGGTGGTTGATTATATTATTCTCACTCTCTGTCTCACTCATTACACACACACACACACGAAATCATACATGATGATTTATACAGTTACTTATAGTTTACATAATTTATATATTTAACATAAATATAAGTATAAAAATAATTATTATAAATATAAATTATATGAAAATAATTTATAATGAATTCTAAGGTAATTAAGACACAAATAACAAATTTTAGGACTGAAACAGAGATATGGCCACAGATCATACAGGTATTAAAAAATAACTAGTAAATCTATGAAAATCTTTATACAAAATTATCTTTATACTATGAAAATCTTTATACAAAAATTGCTGAAAAACAGACAACTTCCTCCAAGCATATGATTTATTAAAGTGCATTCAAAAATATAAAGTCTTCACAACCCTATAATTATAAAATTGAATCTGTAATTAAACAATTTGTCATCAAGAAATGCCAAGTCCCAAAGGATTTACTGATGATTTTTACCACCAAACATTTGAGGAAGAAATAAGAAGTCATATTACACAAATCATTCTAGAGAATAGAAGAAGAGAAAATACTTTCCAATGAGGGAAAGATAATCTTGGTCACAACCAAAACCAAAATAAGAGTATCGGAAAAAATAAAATTGCTCTTGAATTCTTAATAAGTTACTCTAAACTCTTGAAAGACAATTTCTCTCTTGAATATGACTTAAAAATAAATCCAAGCCAGGCGCAGTGGCTCATGCCGGTAATCCCAGCACTTTGGGAGGCCAAGGCAGGCGGATCACTTGAGTCCAGGAGTTCGAGACCAGCCTGGCCAACATGGTGAAACCCCATGTCTACTAAAAATACAAAAAAATTAGCCAGGCGTGGTGGCGGGTGCCTGTAATCCCAGCTACTTGGGAGGGTGAGGCAGGAGGACCCCTTCAACCTGGGAGGCAGAGGTTGCAGTGAGCCAAGATTGCACCACTGCACTCCAGCCTTGGCAACAAAGTGAGACTGTGTCTCAAAACATAAAACTACAAAATAAATCCAAATAAAAACATTAGCAAACTGAGTCTAGTGACATATACATAAAGGAAAATACATCATGGTCATGTTGGGGGCCAGGGATACAAGATTAGTTTAACATATGAAAATCAATCAACATAATTCTCCATGAAAAAAACATTTTAAAAAATTGAACTGTCTAGTTATGATTGTTAAAAAAGAAACTATCACTATATTAGAAATAGGAATACACTTTCTAAATGTGAGAAAGGTGTTTTTATATTGAATGAAAAAATGTTGTAAGAGCATTCTCAGAGATTAGAAATTAAAACAACAGGATGTCTGCTCTTACCATTGTTATTCAACATGATACTGGAGGTGCTAGTCTGTGCACTGAGGCAAGAGATAGCCAGAAAAGCGTGTATCATTTTCAAGTGCCAGAATAATGAAAATGCTCAAAAAAGCAAAAAGGATGGGGCATATCAGAGAGATATAGAAGTGACCCTGATATAAAATAAATAACATGGTATTGGCTTACAACCCAAAGTATAAAATCAATATACATGAGGTTACACTGATATAAATAAATGATTAAATGAACAAGTAAATACAAAAGAAAGAAGAAGGACAACTCTTTGTAGAAGAATTCCAGATAATATGAATAGATACTGTCTCTTCCAGGAATTGGACCTTAGTGTCTACCTCCCAGGCCACCTTGTGCCTGGCCTGGACTTAGTGATTCACATGCAAGACTAGAGTATTGAAAGCCGGGAAAGAGTATCTGTGTGGTAGAGAAACCTAGCAAACGCCTCCTTGACCACATGATCAAGGTGAACATCACCAGTAATGAGGCATGTTGATATCACATCCCCTTGATATGAAGTGATGAGAAGGAAGCTTAACCTCTGCAGAATTTTTTCCAAAAGCTCATAATTCCAGCCTAATCAGGAAAAAAATAATCAGACAAACACAAATTAAAGAGCATTCTAAGGACCTGACCAGTAATCTTCAAACTGTCGATACACAGTAACAAGGAGAGGCTAAGAGTTGGCCACGGGCCAGAGGAACCCAAGGAAACGTAATGATTAAGTGCCAGATAGTATCCTGAACTGGATACTGGGAACAGAAAAAGAACGTTGGTGTAAAAACTTAGTGGAATGCAAATACATTACTGTTAATGAAAATTCAGAATTTAATATTGGTTTCTTAGTTTTGGCAAACGTAGCATGGTTGTGTAACATGTTAACTTTAAGGGAAGCTGGATAAGATAACTCTCTTTACTTTTTTTGCAGCTTTTCTGTAGATCTAAAATTATTCCAAAAGTAAAAAGTTTATTACATAAAAGAAAGAAGTCACAAAACTCTTATTTTAAGACTTACATGGCAAATTAAGTGGCCATGATTAAACAAGTCATATTTTTTCTATGTATGTATGTATTTATTTTTAAAATTGGTTAATTTATACATATATATTTTTAAATTTTACTTCAAGTTCTGGGATACACGTGCAGAATGTGCAGGTTTGTTACATAGGTATAGAAGTGTCATGGTGGTTTGCTGTGCCTATCAACCTGTCATCTAGGTTTTAAGCGCCGCATACATTAGGTATTTGTCCTAATGCTCTCCCTCCCCTTGCCCCCCACTTCCCTACAGGCCCCAGTGTGTGATGTTCCCCTCCCTGTGTCCATGTGTTCTCATTGTTTAACTCCCACTTATGAGTGAGAACATGCAGTGTTTGGTTTTCTGTTCCTGTGTTAGTTTGCTGAGAATGATGGCTTCTAGCTTCATCCATGTCCCTGCAAAGGACATGAACTATATTTACTTTTTTTTTTTTTTTTTTTTTTTTTTTTTGAGACGGAGTTTCACTCTTGTTGCCCAGGCTGGGCAATGGTGCAATCTTAGCTCACCACAACCTCTGCCTCCTGCTTCAAGTGATTCTCCTCCTTCAGCCTCCCGAGTAGCTGGGATTACAGGTATGTGCCACCACGCCTGGCTAATTTTTAGTAGAGACGAGGTTTCTCCATATTGGTCAGGCTGGTCTTGAACTCCCAGCCTCAGGTGATCCACCTGCCTTGGCCTCCCAAAGTGCTGGGATTACAGGCGTGAGCTACCATGCCTGGCCTATATTTAATTTTAATTGACAAAAAAATTGTATGTTAAAGGTATACAAAATGATGTTTTGATATATGTGTACAATGTAGAATGTTTAAATGGAGCTAATTAATATATGCGCCACCTCACATACTTATTATTGTCTTGTGATGAGAACTTTTAATATTTACTCCCTTAGTGATTTTTAAGTATACAATACATTGTTGTTAAGTACAGTCACCATGTTGTACAATAGAGCTCTTTCAGTCATTCCTCCTGTCTGGCTGAAAATTTGTGTCCTCTGACCATTATCTCCCCATTTCCTCTTCTCCCTAGCCCGTGGAACCACCATTCTGAGCTCTACTCTTAGAAGGTTTTTAGATTTCATATGTATGTGAGATCACGTGATATCTTCCTTCCTCCCTCCCTTCTTCCTTCCTTCCTCTCTTTCTCTCTTTTCTTTTCTTTCTTTCTTTCTTTCTCTTTCTTTCATCTCTCTTTCCTTCCTTTCTTCCTTCCTTCCTTTCTCTTTCATCTCTCCTTCCTTCCTTTCTTCCTTCCTTTCTCCCTCTTTCTTTCCTTTCTTTCTTTCTTTCTTTCTTTCTTTCTTTCTTTCTTTCTTTCTTTCTTTCTGTCTTCCTCCTTCCTTCCTTCCTTCCTTCTTTCAGACAAGGTCTCACTCTGTCATTCAGGCTGGAGTGCAGTAGCGTGATCATAGCTCACTGCAGCCTTGAACTCCTGGGTTCAAGCGATCTTTCTGCCTCAGCACCCTCCAAGTAGCTGGGACCACAGGCTATATCACCATGCCTGACTAATTTTTTAAATTCTTTTTTTTTTTTTTTAGAGACAGGGTCTCCCTATGTTGCCCAAGCTGGTCTCAAACTACTGGGCTCAAATGATCCTTCCTCCTTGGCCTCCCAAAATGTTGGATTGCAGGTGTGAGCCACTGCACCTGGTTCATTATTTGTCTTTCTGTGCTTAGCTTATTTCGTAAAGAAGTCAATATTAAATATTAAAAGTTATTATAAAGATATATTAGCAAGACAGTATGGTAGGGACATAAATATAAACACACATACCAACAGAACATGACAAAAGAACAAAACCAGCCGCATGCATACTCGATGGAGACAAAGGTAACACTGCAGAATGGTGAAGGAAGAACAGTCATTTTAATGACAGTGTTGGCTTAATTGAGTATTCATGTTCAAAAAAGAAATTTGAGCCTTATTTCACATCTCATAGACACACACTATAACTTCCTTGTGGAGTTTAAATCTAAATGCAATAAGTGAGCAATAAAAATTTTAGAATATATTCTAACAGATTATATTAATGATCTTGGTGTAGGAACAGATTTTTTAAAACACTATATAGGAAACTTTAAACATAAAAAAGATTGATAAGTTAGACTACACTAAAATATTGAATATATCTTCAATGAAATACAATGTTTAAATAATGAAAACATAAATCACAGAGTAGGAGAGAATATTTTAAGTATGGCAGCGAAGGTCCTATGCCTAGATGATATAAAGTGCTTCTAAAAGCCAGTAAGAAAAAGACTCAATTAAAACATTGGGAAAACGTTTGGATAGGCACTTCATAATAAAAGAGTATTCAAATGATCAATGCTCACATTAAAAGTGGTTCAACATCGTTAATCATCAGGAAACTGCAAAGTAAACCAACCAAGAGATAACACTGTATACTCATCAAGAGGCCTACATTTTTTATTTTATTTGCTTACATTTTTACTTTAGATTCAGGGGGTACATATACAGGTTTGTTACAGGGGTATATTGCATGATGCTGAGGTTTGGGCTTCTATTGATCCCGTCATCCATGTAGTGAACATACTGCACGATAGGAAGTTTTTAGCCCTTCTCCCCTCTTTTTCCTCTTTTGGAGTCCCCAGTGTCTATTGTTCCCATCTTTATGCTCACATATACCCACAATATAGCTCCCACTTATAAGAGAACACGTGACTTTTGGTTTTCTGTTGATGCATTAATTCACTTAGGATGGTGGCCTCCGACTGCATCCATGTTGCTGCAAGGGATATTATTTTATTCTTTTCTATGGCTGCATAGTATTCCGTGGTGTATAGGTACCACATTTTCTTTATCCGATCCAGAGTTGACGGGCACCTGGATTCCATGTCGTTGCTATTATGAATAGCACTGCAATGAACATATAAGCTCATGTGTCTTTTCAGTAAAATGGCTTATTTTCCTTTGGGCATACACCCAGTAATAAAATTGCTGGATCAAATGGTACCTCAAATCTTAGTTCTCTGAGAAATCTCCAAACTGCTCTCCATAGTAGCTGGAGTAATTTACATTCCCACCAACAATGTATAAAATTTCCCCTTTCTTTACAACCTCACCAACATCTGTTATTTTTTGACTTTTAATATTGGCCATTCTGACTGATGTGAGATGATATCTCATTGTGGTTTTGATTTGCATTTCTCTAGTGATTAATGATGTTGAACTTTTTTTTTCATCTGTTTGCTGGCCACTTATATGTCTTCTTTTGAGAAGTATCTGTTCACGTCCTTTGCCCACTTTTTAATGGGGTTATTTGTTTTTTGCTTGTTGATTTGTTTAAGTTGCTTATAGATGCTGCTTTGTTGGATGTACAGTTTGCAAATATTTTCTCTCATTCTGTAGGTTGTCTGTTTACTGTGTTGATGTTTTTTTGTTGTTGTGCAAAATCTCTTTAGTTTAATTAAATCCTACTCACCAATTTTTGTTTCTGTAACAGTTGCTTTTGGGGACTTGGCCAAAAATTCTTTGCCAAGGCCATGCTAAAGAAAGGTATTTTCTATGTTTTATTCTAGCATTTTTACAGTTTCAGGTCTTACAATTAAGTCTTTAATCCCCCTGAGTTAATTTTTGTATATGGGCTAAGTGTCCAGTTTCATTCTTCTGCATATTATTAGGCAGTTTTCCCTGCACCATTTGTTGAATATGGAGTCTTTTCCCCATTACTTGTTTCTGTTGACTTTGTCAAAGATCAGTTGGTTGTAAGCGTGTGACCTTATTTCTGGGTTCTCTATACTGTCTCATTGGTCTATGTGTCTCTTTTTGTACCAGTACCATGCTGTTTTGGTTACTGTAGCCTTGTGGAATAGTTTAAAGACTTTACCAAAAAACTCCTAGACCTGGTAAATGACTTCAGCAAAGCTTCAGGATACAAAATCAGCATACACAAATCAGTAGCATTTCTATATACCAATAGTTTTTAAGCTGAGAGCCAAATCAAGAGTGAAATCCCATTCAAAATAGCACCACCCCCCAACAAATTAAAATACTTAGGAATACATCTAACCAAGGAGGTGAAAAATCTCTACAAGGAGAACTACAAAACACTACTCAAAGAAATCATAGATGACACAGACCAATGGAAAAACATTCCATGCTGGTGTGTTGAAAGAATCAATATTGTTAAAATGTCCATACTATAGATTCAGCATTATTTCTATCAAATTACCAATGCAATTTTTCACAGAATTAGAAAAACTGTTCTAATATTCATATGGAACCCAAAAAGAGCCAAAGTCATTCTAAGAAAAATAAAACCAGAGGCATCACATTACTTAACTTCATGATGGCTAAAATTTAAGGATTGACAGAAACACATTATATTACTGGTGTAGGTATAAATTATTACCATTAATTTGGAAAACTATTGACAGTATGTCAGTTTTGAACAAAATCATACCCTATGAGTTAGCAACTCCACTTTTGGGTACACACCCAGAACATGATTATCAAAAGGCATCCAAGTTTTATTTCATAAGCACCTAAGGATGTGGATCAAAATGCAAATCTGCTACACAAAATTAGTAGCCAGAGGGTTCTTGGTGAGTCTGGAAGCAAAGCACAGCATTGCTTTTTATTACTCAGCCGTCATGGCCCAGTTGCCTTTGGCAGGTGAGGCCAGCTGGCCAGTAGCTCAGATGGAGCAGGTATGAGGGGGTAAGAGCAGTGGTCCATCTGTCACTGGAGAAGCCTAGTCACCTGGGCAGAATATCTTGAACCTAGGATAAGTTCATCCATGGTAGACCAACTCTGTGATGGAGTTATGAGATGGGGAAGGAGGGTCTGGCACCATGCAACAGGATTTCCCCCAAAGCTCAGCACTCCAAGGAGCACATCAGCATCAGGAATGTCTGCTGGAAGCCAGCGGCTGTGGAGGAGGGGCAGTAGCCACTGAGCCTAGGTTCAGAGCTTCAATCCCCTTCAGTCCTCTTGACTGGCAAGAGAACAGCAGAGTCTATTAGAGAGGAATTACCATTCCAAGCAAGAATTTAGGCCACATCTTTCAGAATGAGACCATTGAGTTGAGGTCCACTTAGCAGGGAAAGTGGCTTCAGGTTGTGGTTGACTGTTTAATTACACCCTGCTGTTCACTCTCTTCACCATTGTATGCAAAGTACAGCGTCTCTGACAAGCAAGGAACACTGGCTTGCCCCACAGTGGCTGGCTGGGGTTGATGAAATGAGCAGCGAAGTAGCAGTGTGCCCAGTCCAAGCAGAGACTACCTCTAGCAGGGGCATGACATTCCCCAAGAGAGGGCATCTCCTTTAGCCTGGACCTTGGAGCAAAAGCAACCCATGGATCAGACCAATAGACAACATGCAGCCCTCATCTAACCCAAGTGGAATATAGCTGTTGGTATAAGCCCCCGAGATTTTGAGGTTGTCCCCACAGGAAAGCAAACTAGCATAACACTGAATTGCTGAGCAAGTGGGTGGTTAATTAATAGCTCTCTTTCCCAACTAGAGCTTCCCTGAAAGTCCGAGGAGGCCTGGAGCATGCAGGGAGAGGACAAGCAGCCTCGGAGAGAAAGAGGGGAGGTACAAGTGACCTGGATGCAACACGGCCTGGCCCAGGAGGAATTGGATACTCTTAAGGGATATTTCACACAAGTCATATGAATCTGGAAGACTACCCCAGATCCATATAGGTATATAGGACAAGGCCAGACTACTCTCTATCCCCAACATGTCTCTCAACTGGAGAGTACTAATAAATACTGCCAATTCTTACTACCCAATTCCTGTTTTAATCAGTTATAAAATACAATTTAGTATATTGCCGTGGATTTTTATATTGGTAATATTTTCCTAAGGTGGCTTGCCAATTATCCCAGCCCCATTTGTTGAATAGGGTGTCCTTTCCCCACTTTATGTTTTTGTTTGCTTTGTTGAAGATCAGTTGGCTGTAAGTATTTGGCTTTATTTCTGGGTTCTCTATTCTGTTCCATTGGTCTATATGCCTGTTTTTATACCAGTACCATGCTGTTTTGGTGACTATGGCCTTAGGGTATATCAGTTGATACCTCCAGATTTGTTCTTTTTGCTTAGTCTTTCTTTGGCTACGTGGGCTCTTTTTTGGTTCCATATGAATTTTAGGATTGTTTTTTCTAGTTCTGTGAAGAACGATGGTATGTTTTGATGGGAATTGCATTGAATTTGTAGATTGCTTTTGGCAATACGGTCATTTTCACAACATTGATTCTACCCATCCACGAGCGTGGGATGTGTTTTCATTTGTTTGTGTCATCTGTGATTTCTTTCAGCAGTGTTTTGTAGCTTTTCTTGTAGAGGTCTTTTACCTCCTTGGTTAGGTATATTCCTAAGTTTTTTTTTTTTTGTTTTGTTTTCAGCTATTGTAAAAGGGGATGAGTTCTTGATTTGATTCTCAGGTTGGTTGCTGTTGGTGTATAGTAGAGCTACCGATTTGTGTACAATAAATTTGTATCCTAAAACTTTGCTCAATTCATTTATCAGTTCTAGGAGCTTTTTGGAGAAGTCTTTGGGGTTTTCTAGGTATATAATCATATCATCAGCAAACAACAACAGTTTGACTTCCTCTTTAGCCATTTGGATGCCCTTTATTTCCTTCTCTTGTCTGATTACTTTGGCTAGGACTTTCAGTACTGTGGTGAATAGAAGTGGTGAAAGTGGGCATCCTTGTCTTGTTCCAGTTCTCAGGAGGAATGCTTTCAGCTCATCCCCCTTCAGTATTATGTTGGCTGTGGGTTTGTTGTAGATGGCTTTTGTTACCTTGTGTCCCTTCTATGCTGATTTTGCTGAGGGCTTTAATCATTAAGGGATGCTTAATGTCAAATGCTTTTTCTGCGTCTATCGAGATAATCATGTAATTTTTGTTTTTAATCCTGTTTATGTGGTGTATTGCATTTATTGACTTGCATAGTGTTAGTGGCTCTTTCTGCATACTTGAGAATATCTAGTTTTATGTCTCGTTTGAATCTGGGTAGGTTACTTAACCATGATGACAGTTCATTATTATATTTTATTTTAAAAATGTATTTTTTAAATTTTAAAATATTTAATTGACAAAGATCGAATATTTTTGGTGTGCAACATGATGATTTGACATATGTATGCATTGTGTAGTGATTACCAAAATCAAATTAATTAACACATCCATCACCACCCATGCTGTATATGAGAACCCCAGAACTGATTCGTCTTGTAACTGAAAGCTTGTATTCTTTGTCCAGCCTCTCACCCAGTTTCCCCTCTCCCCCACCCCTGGCATCACCATTTAACTCTCTGCTTCTATGAGTTTGACACTTTTATTTATTTATTTATTTTTGAGACAGATTTTTGCTCTTGTCGCCCAGGCTAGAGTGCAATGGCACAGTCTGAGCTCACTGTAACCTCTGCCTCCCGGGTTCAAGTGATTCTCCTGCCTCAACCTCCCGAGTAGCTGGGATTACAGGCATGGCATGTGCCACCACACCCAGCTAATTTTGTAATTTTAGTAGGGATGGGGTTTCACCATGTTGGTCAGGCTCCTCTTGAACTCCTGACCTCAGGTGATCCACCTGCCTCGGCCTCCCAAAGTGCTGGGATTACAGGTGTGAGCCACCATGCCCTGCCCAGTTTGACACTTTTAGATTCCACACATAAGTGAGATCATGCAGTATTTGTCTGTCTGTGTCTTTCTATGCTTATTTTATGTAACATGTCCTCCAGGTTCATCTGTGTTGTTGCAAATGGCAGGATTTTCTTTTTATGGCTGAATAATAGTCCACTTTATACTTCAAATTCTTCCTATCTTTCAGAACCAGATCCAATGCCATCTCTTCCGCAAAGCCTTCTTTGATCTTGAAGTTTGGCAGAGGAAGTTCTCCCCACTGTGAGGTTTAATTATATTGACTTCCTCCTGGCCATGGGTCTGTTTGTAATAGGGATTTATGCAGGAGATAGATAAGGTTTCTCATGCAGCTTGTCAGCTGGTATCATAGAGTGTTTTCTGTAGTTATTATTCTATAACTATTTATTTATGTTTTATAAGTCCTATGAAATATCACTTAAAGGAAAATTCTCTCAGCCTTGTTCCCAAATTCTGTGTGATCACAAAGACACTATTGCTTTCTAGGCCTTGCTTTCATGGAACTGAACCTAAATAGTGTACCTTTTTTAGGTATCTCCAGGGTCTTTCTTTAACTATTTTTGCTCAAGTAAAAGTGAATAGCAAAAATGGAGTATTTTAAACCTGAAAAAAAAAAAAAAACAGAAAGGAAGTGAGGTGGCTTGACTTCCTCCTAAGTTTATAGTAAGTATATTTTCTCATGGGAAGAAAAAAACACATTGATGATTAGAAACACTTTGCTTTTTGTTCAGCCACAACCTAGCTATTTCCCACAAAGTTAATCCACTGTTACCAGAATAGGGAAGCATCTGTACACATAGAGAGAAATGGAACCTAAATATTTCTGGAAACCTCAAGTCACTTACACATTCCACAAGTTGCCTCATATCGAGAAACACAGAATTTGTTCAAACATTTCAATACTTCACCAGATTGAGTTTGCAAACAAAAACATTTTGGAATTGTGGCAAAGGGAGTGGCTGTCATGGCAGAGGTGAGCTCAGACATGTGGATTAGTATTCAGACGATAATTTGGCTCCAGAAATCATCACCACGGGGCACACAACCCTGTAGTCAGAAAGGACCTCATGAATCACCCCATAGATTACCCTAAAATTTAAAGATTTTCTCCAGAATGAACCTAGTAAAGAAGACTATTCTAAGAGGCAGCTTATCTCATTCTGAAAACATCTTTGTTGTTTCTTTCTTTCTTTTCTTTTTTTTTTTTTTTTTTTTTTTGAGATGGAGTCTAGCTCTGTCCCCCAGGCTGGAGTGCAGTGGCGCAATCTCGGCTCACTGCAAGCTCTGCCTCCTGGGTTCACGCCATTCTCCTCCCTCAGCATCCCGAGTAGCTGGGACTACAGGCGCCCGCCACCACGACTGGTTAATTTTTTGTAGTTTTAGCAGAGACGGGGTTTCACCGTGTTAGCCAGGATGGTCTTGATCTCCTGACCTTGTGATCCTCCTGCCTTGGCCTCCCAAAGTGCCGGGATTACAGGCATCAGCCACTGCGCCTGGCCTGTTTATCTTTATTTCTTTTTTTTTTTCTTTTATTATTATACTTTAAGTTTTAGGGTACATGTGCACATTGTGCAGGTTATTTACATATGTATACATGTGCCATGCTGGTGCGCTGCACCCACTAACTTGTCATCTAGCATTAGGTATATCTCCCAATGCTATCCCTCCCCCCTCCTCCCACCCCACAACAGTCCCCAGAGTGTGATGTTCCCCTTCCTGTGTCCATGTGATCTCATTGTTCAATTCCCACCTGTAAGTGAGAATATGCGGTGTTTGGTTTTTTGTTCTTGCGATAGTTTACTGAGAATGATGATTTCCAGTTTCATCCATGTCCCTGCAAAGGACATGAACTCATCATTTTTTATGGCTGCATAGTATTCCATGGTGTATATGTGCCACATTTTCTTAATCCAGTCTATCATTGTTGGACATTTGGCTTGGTTCCAAGTCTTTGCTATTGTGAATAATGCCGCAATAAACATATGTGTGCATGTGTCTTTATAGCAGCATGATTTATAGTCCTTTGGGTACATACCCAGTAATGGGATAGCTGGGTCAAATGGTATTTCTAGTTCTAGATCCCTGAGGAATCGCCACACTGACTTCCACAATGGTTGAACTGGTTTACAGTCCCACCAACAGTGTAAAAGTGTTCCTATTTCTCCACATCCTCTCCAGCACCTGTTGTTTCCTGACTTTTTAATGATTGCCATTTTAACTGGTGTGAGATGGTATCTCATTGTGGTTTTGATTTGCATTTCTCTGATGGCCAGTGATGATGAGCATTTTTTCATGTGTTTTTTGGCTGCATAAATGTCTTCTTTTGAGAACTGTCTGTTCATGTCCTTTGCCCACTTTTTGATGGGGTTGTTTGTTTTTTTCTTGTAAATTTGTTTGAGTTCATTGTAGATTCTGGATATTAGCCCTTTGTCAGATGAGTAGCTTGCGAAAATTTTCTCTCATTTTGTAGGTTGCCTGTTCACTCTAATGGTAGTTTGTTTTGCTGTGCAGAAGCTCTTTAGTTTAATTAGATCCCATTTGTCAATTTTGGCTTTTGTTGCCATTGCTTTTGGTGTTTTAGACATGAAGTCCTTGCCCATGTCTATGTCCTGAATGGTAATGCCTAGGTTTTCTTCTAGGGCTTTTATGGTTTTAGGTCTAACATTTAAGTCTTTAATCCATCTTGAATTGATTTTTGTATAAGGTGTAAGGAAGGGATCCAGTTTCAGCTTTCTACATATGGCTAGCCAATTTTCCCAGCACCATTCATTAAATAGGGAATCCTTTCCCCATTGCTTGTTTTTCTCAGGTTTGTCAAAGATCAGATAGTTTTAGATATGCGGCGTTATTTCTGAGGGCTCTGTTCTGTTCCATTGATCTATATCTCTGTTTTGGTACCAGTACCATGCTGTTTTGGTTACTGTAGCCTTGTAGTATAGTTTGAAGTCAGGTAGCGTGACGCCTCCAGCTTTGTTCTTTTGGCTTAGGATTGACTTGGCGATGCAGGCTCTTTTTTGGTTCCATATGAACTTTAAAGTAGTTTTTTCCAATTCTGTGAAGAAAGTCATTGATAGCCTGATGGGGATGGCATTGAATCTGTAAATTACCTTGGGTAGTATGGCCATTTTCACGATATTGATTCTTCCTACCCATAAGCATGGAATGTTCTTCCATTTGTTTGTATCCTCTTTTATTTCCTTGAGCAGTGGTTTGTAGTTCTCCTTGAAGAGGTCCGTCACATCCCTTGTAAGGTGGATTCCTAGGTATTTTATTCTCTTTGAAGCAATTGTGAATGGGAGTTCACTCATGATTTGGCTCTCTGTTTGTCTGTTGTTGCTGTATAAGAATGCTTGTGATTTTTGTACATTGATTTTGTATCCTGAGACTTTGCTGAAGTTGCTTATCAGCTTAAGGAGATTTTGGGCTGAGACAGTGGGGTTTTCTAGATATACAATCATGTCATCTGCAAACAGGGACAATTTGACTTCCTCTTTTCCTAATTGAATACCCTTTCTTTCTTTCTCCTGCCTAATTGCCCTGGCCAGAACTTCCAACACTATGTTGAATAGGAGTGGTGAGAGAGGGCATCCCTGTCTTGTGCCAGTTTTCAAAGGGAATGCTTCCAGTTTTTGCCCATTCAGTATGATATTGGCTGTGGGTTTGTCATAGATAGCTCTTATTATTTTGAAATATACGTCCCATCAATACCTAATTTATTGAGAGTTTTTAGCATGAAGGGTTGTTGAATTTTGTCAAAGGCCTTTTCTGCATCTATTGAGATAATCATGTGGTTTTTGTCTTTGGCTCTGTTTGTATGCTGGATTACATTTATTGATTTGCGTATATTGAACCAGCCTTGCATCCCAGGGATGAAGCCCACTTGATCATGGTGGATAAGCTTTTTGATGTGCTGCTGGATTCGGTCTGCCAGTATTTTATTGAGGATTTTTGCATCAATGTTCATCAAGGATATTGGTCTAAAATTCTCTTTTTTGGTTGTGTCTCTGCCTGGCTTTGGTATCAGAATGATGCTGGCCTCATAAAATGAGTTAGGGAGGATTCCCTCTTTTTCTATTGATTGGAATAGTTTCAGAAGGAATGGTACCAGTTCCTCCTTGTACCTCTGGTAGAATTCGCCTGTGAATCCGTCTGGTCCTGGACTCTTTTTTGTTGGTAAGCTATTGATTATTGCCACAATTTCAGCTCCTGTTATTGACTATTCAGAGATTCAACTTCTTCCTGGTTTAGTCTTGGGAGAGTGTATGTGTCGAGGAATGTATCCATTTCTTCTAGATTTTCTAGTTTATTTGCGTAGAGGTGTTTGTAGTATTCTCTGATGGTAGTTTGTATTTCTGTGGGATCGGTGGTGAGATCCCCTTTATCATTTTTTATTGCGTCTATTTGATTCTTCTCTCTTTTTTTCTTTATTAGTCTTGCTAGCAGTCTATCAATTTTGTTGATCTTTTCAAAAAACTAGCTCCTGGATTCATTAATTCTTTGAAGGGTTTTTTGTGTCTCTATTTCCTTCAGTTCTGCTCTGATTTTAGTTATTTCTTGCCTTCTGCTAGCTTTTGAATGTGTTTGCTCTTGCTTTTCTAGTTCTTTTAATTGCGATGTTAGGGTGTCAATTTTGGATCTTTCCTGCTTTCTCTTGTGGGCATTTAGTGCTATAAATTTCCCTGTACACACTGCTTTGAATGCGTCGCAGAGATTCTGGTATGTTGTGTCTTTGTTCTCGTTGGTTTCAAAGAACATCTTTATTTCTGCCTTCATTTCGTTATGTACCCAGTAGTCATTCAGGAGCAGGTTGTTCAGTTTCCATGTAGTTGAGCGGTTTTGAGTGAGATTCTTAATCCTGAGTTCTAGTTTGATTGCACTGTGGTCTGAGAGACAGTTTGTTATAATTTCTGTTCTTTTACATTTGCTGAGGAGAGCTTTACTTCCAAGTATGTGGTCAATTTTGGAATAGGTGTGGTGTGGTGCTGAAAAAAATGTATATTCTGTTGATTTGGGGTGGAGAGTTCTGTAGATGTCTATTAGGTCTGCTTGGTGCAGAGCTGAGTTGAATTCCTGGGTATCCTTGTTGACTTTCTGTCTCGTTGATCTGTCTAATGTTGACAGTGGGGTGTTAAAGTCTCCCATTATTAATGTGTGGGAGTCTAAGTCTCTTTGTAGGTCACTCAGGACTTGCTTTATGAATCTGGGTGCTCCTGTGTTGGGTGCATATATATTTAGGATAGTTAGCTCTTCTTGTTGAATTGATCCCTTTACCATTATGTAATGGCCTTCTTTGTCTCTTTTGATCTTTGTTGGTTTAAAGTCTGTTTTATCAGAGACTAGGATTGCAACCCCTGCCTTTTTTTGTTTTCCATTTGCTTGGTAGATTTTCCTCCATCCTTTTATTTTGAGCCTATGTGTGTCTCTGCACGTGAGATGGGTTTGCTGAATACAGCACACTGATGGATCTTGACTCTTTATCCAATTTGCCAGTCTGCATCTTTTAATTGGAGCATTTAGTCCATTTACATTTAAAGTTAATATTGTTATGTGTGAATTTGATCCTGTCATTATGATGTTAGCTGGTTATTTTGCTCGTTAGTTGATGCAGTTTCTTCCTAGTCTCGATGGTCTTTACATTTTGGCATGATTTTGCAGCGGCTGGTACCGCTTGTTCCTTTCCATATTTAGCGCTTCCTTCAGGAGCTCTTTTAGGGCAGGCCTGGTGGTGACAAAATCTCTCAGCATTTGCTTGTCTGTAAAGTATTTTATTTCTCCTTCACTTATGAAGCTTAGTTTGGCTGGATATGAAATTCTGGGTTGAAAATTCTTTTCTTTAAGAATGTTGAATATTGGCCCCCACTCTCTTCTGGCTTGTAGGGTTTCTGCCGAGAGATCCGCTGTTAGTCTGATGGGCTTCCCTTTGAGGGTAACCCGACCTTTCTCTCTGGCTGCCCTTAACATTTTTTCCTTCATTTCAACTTTGGTGAATCTGAGAATTATGTGTCTTGGAGTTGCTCTTCTCGAGGAATATCTTTGTGGCGTTCTCTGTATTTCCTGAATCTGAACGTTGGCCTGCCTTGCTAGATTGGGGAAGTTCTCCTGGATAATATCCTGCAGAGTGTTTTCCAACTTGGTTCCATTCTCCCCATCACTTTCAGGTACACCAATCAGACGTAGATTTGGTCTTTTCACATAGTCCCATATTTCTTGGAGGCTTTGCTCATTTCTTTTTATTCTTTTTTCTCTAAACTTCCCTTCTCACTTCATTTCATTCATTTCATCTTCCATTGCTGATACCCTTTCTTCCAGTTGATCGTGTCGGCTCCTGAGGCTTCTGCATTCTTCACGTAGTTCTCGAGCCTTGGTTTTCAGCTCCATCAGCTCCTTTAAGCACTTCTCTGTATTGGTTATTCTAGTTATACATTCTTCTAAATTTTTTTCAAAGTTTTCAACTTCTTTGCCTTTGGTTTGAATGTCCTCCTGTAGCTCAGAGTAATTTGATCGTCTGAAGCCTTCTTCTCTCAGCTCGTCAAAGTCATTCTCCGTCCAGCTTTGTTCCGTTGCTGGTGAGGAACTGTGTTCCTTTGGAGGAGGAGAGGCGCTCTGCTTTTTAGAGTTTCCAGTTTTTCTGTTCTGTTTTTTCCCCATCTTTGTGGTTTTATCTACTTTTGGTCTTTGACAATGGCGATGTACAGATGGGTTTTTGGTGTGGATGTCCTTTCTGTTTGTTAGTTTTCCTTCTAACAAACAGGACCCTCAGCTGCAGGTCTGTTGGAGTACCCTGCAGTGTGAGGTGTCAGTGTGCCCCTGCTGGGGGGTGCCTCCCAGTTAGGCTGCTCGGGGGTCAGGGGTCAGGGACGCACTTGAGGAGGCAGTCTGCCCGTTCTTAGATCTCCAGCTGCGTGCTGGGAGAACGACTGCTCTCTTCAAAGCTGTCAGACAGGGACATTTAAGTCTGCAGAGGTTACTGCTGTCTTTTTGTTTGTCTGTGCCCTGCCCCCAGAGGTGTAGCCTACAGAGGCAGGCAGGCAGGCCTCCTTGAGCTGTGGTGGGCTCCACCCAGTTCGAGCTTCCCAGCTGCTTTGTTTACCTAATCAAGCCTGGGCAATGGCGGGCGCCCCTCCCCCAGCCTCGCTGCCGCCTTGCAGTTTGATCTCAGACTGCTGTGCTAGCAATCAGCGAGACTGCGTGGTCGTAGGACCCTCCGAGCCAGGTGCGGGATATAATCTCGTGGTGCGCCGTTTTTTAAGCCCGTAGGAAAAGCGCAGTATTCGGGTGGGAGTGGCCTGATTTTCCAGGTGCTGTCCGTCACACCTTTCTTTGACTAGGAAAGGGAACTCCCTGACCCCTTGCGCTTCCCGAGTGAGGCAGTGCCTCGCCCTGCTTCGGCTGGCGCACGGTGCGTGCACCCACTGACCTGCGCCCACTGTCTGGCACTCCCTAGTGAGATGAACCCGGTACCTCAGATGGAAATGCAGAAATCACCTGTCTTCTGCGTTGCTCACGCTGGGAGCTGTAGACCGGAGCTGTTCCTATTCGGCCATCTTGGCTCCTCTCTCTATCTTTATTTCTTATAACTTGTTTTAATCATCCTGTTTGGGACTCGTAGCTCTGACATTTGGTGATATTAAGAACACAGGGATTACTTATTCACAGGCTGTGATATCACATAGTGGAAAACCTTTATTATTTATGACTCCTGGGATAAATATTCCAGGTTTCTACACACAAGATGATTTTCATGTTTTCTGCCATCTGTATTATACCCTCTTTGTCAATATCATCCTTAAAATGAGCTGCCCTGCTCCCAGCAAAATGACTCATCTAGCAATGCTTATATGAGATTCCTGAATGCATTACTATGACAGGGTCACATCTCAATTTCATTTTTCTCTTTATAAAAGGAATTTATAATCTTTCCCAGATTATAAATTGTCAATTAACAGAACTAATAAAAATTATTTTAAAAGTATGTATATAAGTAACTGCTACAAGCATTTTCAACAATGATGAACATGAGAAAAGCTATCCTATTCTCTGGAGTTAAATATTTATTTTGAAATATTAAGATATTTCTAATTTTTCAAATCCATTGATAATATATCATTATCTGATGGGAAAATTTTCAATAGATATAAATGTATTTAGAATGTAAAAATGAATTCAGAATGGAATAATAATTCTACTTATAGTAGTATTCACAGAGAAAGTAGAACTATTGCCACCTTTTAATTGGGTGGTAGATTTCAATTGTTCTCACTGTTTTGGCAGCCTTGTCACAGGATTCCTTATGTGAGGTTTTATTTGCCTAAATCTCATTCCTTCCTCACATGAGTCATCACCAAGCCAGGAATCTTTTGTACCTTGCAAGCGACTTTCTGGAATACAGGCTATCACACTTTTTCCTAATAAATTTTATTTCATTTTTCTGTAGCTCCTCATTCTTATCTGTCAATGTCATTGTACAAGTCTTGAAGCTGTCTTCTACAGCAGAGCTGCAAATCTGTTTCCACTTGAGCTTCTGATAAACATACTAAACAATATATGCTGATGACCCAACATTCAGAATCACCTTTCAATTTGACACAGACCTGGTAGTAATACTCTTTAGAGATCTAGTTTAGGATCTCTAAACCCAGGAAATCACTTGGGTTGATCTCTAAACCCAGGCAAATTCTCTTTACCCAGGAAATTCACTAATCTATCAAGATACAGACACAGTGTCAAGTACTCGGCTGAAGTAGAGATACATACCACACTCTGTTCTAAAGGGCAATAACAGTTTTTTTTCCCCATTAGAACGGACTTACTCCTGGTAAACCTGGAGCTGTAAAGCTGATACGTAGGAATCATTCAACAAAGTGTACGCATTAGTATTATTGTTATCAGTTTGTATTAATCAATACACTATCTTCTAAATGCTCCCAAATTCATTGTTTAAAAACTAGATAAGGGGTTGGGTTAAGATAATAAGTCCTTATTTTCTGAAACGAGGAAACTAGTTAAGGTTAACTTCAGTTTGGTCATCTGGTACCACAGAAAAATCTAACACCACAGAGACACTGGGTCATATGCAGAGATTTATTCTTAATATTTCCTAACTGAAAAACAGCTCATTAGGCACATCTGGAGACCTTGGAGCTGTCCTAGGTACAAGGGTGGGGTGGCAGAGAAAAGCTTAATGTAGACTCTCTACTCTCAAACGACTCATTCTGGTGAATAGACACTAGTTAACTATGCAGGTAAAGTTTTCTTCATTCTTGTATCTCAACATCTGACACAGACCCTGGCTTGGTAACGGGAACTCACATGTGTGTGATGAAGGTAAGGAGCACTCCGAAGAGAGCCTGGTGATGCAGAACTAGCAGGCATGTGGTGCATCCCAATTCCCCTAGTGCTTCAAAGCCCTTACAAAGCAGAACCGTGGCCCCGATGTGAGGCACACAGGCTGGGGACACAATTCCTTTTCAAAGAGAAGCAACTGAATGCTCAGAAGTAGAGTGACTTGTGAAGGGTCACTGGGAAGAACGTGGCAAAGCTGAAATGAACACTCAGATCTGCAGACTATAAGTCATTTGCAGGGCCAGGCATGGTGGCTCATGTCTATTATCCCAGTGCTTTGGGAGGCCAAAGCAGGAGGATCTCTTGTGGCCAGGAGTTTGAGACTGGCCTGGGAAACATAGCAAGACCTGTCTCTACAAAAAATATAATAGAAAATTCACCAGGCATTGTGCTGTGTGCCTATAGTCCTAGCCACTGAGGAAGCTCAGGCTGGAGGATTGCTTGAGCCCAGAAGTTTGAGGCTGAACTGAGCTATGATCATGGCACTGCACTCCAGCCTGGGTGACAGAGTGAAATCCCACCTCTAAAAAGAGGGGAAAAAATAGCTTTTTTTTTTTCCTGAGATGGAGTTTTGCTCTGTCGCCCAGGCTGGAGTGCAACGGCACGATCTTGGCTCACTGAAACTTTTGTCTCCCGGGTTCAAGGAATTCTCCTGCCTCAGCCTTTCGAGTAGCTGAGATTACAGGCACCCACCAGCACACCAGGTTAATTTTTTTTTTTTTGATAGAGACGGGGTTTCACCATGTTGTTCAGGCTGGTCTTGAACTCCTGACCTCAGGTCATCCGCCTGCCTTGGCCTCCCAAAGTGCTGGGATTACAGGAGTGAGCCACTGCACCTGGCTGGAAAAAATAGTCTTAACTATAGTCCCAGCTACTTGGGAGGCAGAGGTGGTAGGATCGCTTGAGCCCGGGAGGTCGAGGATGAAGTGAGCTGAGATCGCACCACTGCACTCCAGCCTGGGAGGCAAAGTGAAAACCTATTTAAAAAAAAAGTGGTGACTTCAAATCACTCTCTTTCAGCATTAGAGTAAGGTAGGAAGTCTGCATATTTTTAGATTCTCATGATTTTTCTCATGGAAGGGGTGATCATTTCTGATCACTGCCATTGCATCATGACAACAAAGCTGCTTCTGTGTGTCCTAGAATACAAAATGCAAATGGAATCCAGCCTGGTAAAAATGTGGAAGGAGAGCAAGAAGCCCTTTGGTGAGCATAGCCAGGCCACCCATTTAGGTTGTGTTGGTGCACATCCTTGCAGGCCCCATGCACATCACAACTTCCACAGACTCACATGTGCTTTACAACAGTTCTCTAGAAGATGGTAGTAGGAGATCTTATTCTAACAAAACAGTGTAATATGACAGCATCCCAAGAGATAGAAGTAACATGTCTTGAGAAAGAAGTGCCTCTTTTCTAATCTTCATGGAGACAGCTCATGGACTGTGATTGCTTTGCATCCAGTCTCTCCAGATGACCTACTGCTCTCAAATATCACTAATGACTGACTACAAGCCAACAAGAGAGAGGGTTGAGTTTCATGTATCTTGTGCAGAGTAGGTGCTGAGTTAATATTTCTCGAATTCAGAGTTGTGCTAGGTCTCCCAAGAATTTCATAATGTAATGCTGAAGAGCATGGGCTTTGGGGTCAGGCAAGCTAAGGTTCAAACTTTGACTACTGCTTAGGATACTAGAATAAGTTCTACATCTTCATTGTCCTCATGGAAAGATTCATGGTCCTCACGGGTAAAATGTGATGAATAAAATCTGCAGGACTGGGAGGAGTAAAGGATATAAATAATATTGCATTCCATGCCTGGTACGTAGTTGGTGCTGTTGACAGTAGCTAGAGAGAGAGAAATGAATGATGGTAAAGAGTGCAGGCTACTCTACCTGTACCCATGTTCATCATAGCACTATCCACAACAGCCAGAATATGGAATCAACCTCCGTGTCCATCGACAGGTGAAGAAAATGTGTTATAAATACACGGTTGAGTACTATTCAGCCTTAAGAAACAAGGAAATCCTGTCATTTGCAACACCATAGATGAACCTGGAAGACATTATGCTAAGCGAAATAAGCTGGGTGCCAAAAGACAGCTACTTTATGATCTCACTTATATACAGAGGCTAAAAATGTCAAACTCACAGAGGCAGAGAGTGGGATGGTGCTTACCAGAGGCTGGGGCAGGGGAAGGACTGAGAAGAGGTTGGCCAGGGATACACAATTTCAGTTAGGAGGAGAAACTTCAAGAAATCTGTTGCACAGCATGGTGACCACAGCTAAACACAGTGTCTTGTATTCTTGAGCACTTCTAAGAGAGTAGTTTTAAGTGTTCTTACCACAAATAACTGGCAAGTAGGTGAGGCAATGCATATGTTACTTAGTTCAGTTTAGCCATTCCATAGTGTACGCATACTGTATATCAAAACACTATGTTCTTCTTAGGACAGGCGATGAGGACAAAAAAAGAAAAAACATTATGTCATATACCATAAATATATACAGTTCGTGTCCGTCAATTAAAAAAAAAAATTATGGCTGGGTGCAGTGGCTCACGCCTGTAATCCCAGCACTTCAGGAGGCCGAGATGGGCGAATCACCTGAGGTTGCGAGTTTGAGACCAGCCTGACCAACATGGAGAAACCCCGTCTCTACTAAAAATACAAAATTAGCCGGGCGTGGTGGTGCACAACTATAATCCCAGCTACTTGGGAGGCTGAGGCAGGAGAATCACTTGAACCTGGGAGGCGGAGGTGGGGTGAGCCGAGATCGCACTATTGCACTCCAGCCTGGGCGACAGAGCGAGACTCCTTCTCAATAAATAAATAAATAAATAAGTAAAAATTTACAAACAGAGCACAGACTGTGGAGTCCAGCTGCCTGGAGTCAAGGCCAAGCTTGTCTCTACTTAGCTGTGTGGCATTTACACAGGTCCCTGAAGCTCTCCATGCCGCATTTTCTCTTCTGTAAAAGTCTTTTGGGGAGGTAAATGACAGAACACATGTATGGGGGTCGTTGCTGCTGGCACCTAATATTTCTGATCCTTAGGCACAGCCTGCTCCCCTTCAAATCAGGCCTGGCCTTGGGATTGTGCTTTGGCTTGTGGTATCTGTTTGTTCACTTCTGGCTGGAGCTTCAGGAGACAGCGTGTGATTTGATATTTCTCTTTATCTGCCAGGTAGTGCAAAATGACATACAGCACAGCCTGGCCAGTCCAAAACTGACACATAGTACCATAAAATCTTCTGGGACTTTGTCGGTTTAGGTCCCAGAAAATATTGATGATATTTTATTATTGCAATATGGCCTCCCCCATCTTTTTTTTTTTGTGACAGAGTCTCACTCTGTCACCCAGGCTAGAGTGCAGTGGCGTGATCTTGGCTCACTGCAAGCTCCGCCTCCCGGGTTCAAGTGATTCTCCCGCTTTAGACTCCAGAGTAGCTGGGATTACAGGAGCACACTGCCACACCTGGCTAATTTTTTAGTATTTTTATTAGAGATGGGGTTTCACCATGTTGGCCAGACTGGTCTCGAACTCCTGACCTCAGGCAATCCACCTGCCTCGGCCTCCCAAAGTGCTGGGATTACAGAAGTGAGCCAGCACGCCCGGCCAGCCTCCCCCATCTTAAGGAAAACAGAATCTAAAGTGCCCAAACTCGTGTCTGGCCCATAGTTGGTACTCAGCAAATGTTTATTATTGTTATAATAATAATGATTATTCCTGTCATCATTCCTAATGATGTTCATATTTGAACAGCCCCAGCTCTGCCTAGCTACACCTTGGCCATTGTTGGACTTCATGATTTTAAGATCTCTCTTCTCTAGAAGAAACAGTTTAGTATTTGGCACAAGAGAAACACAGAAAACTACTTCAAACATCTATTGACTGACTGTGGATGCATCTGAAAGTGATTCATCTCTGAGTCTTTATTTCATTATCTGTACAATGGAGATGAATCCTAATGACTGAGAAGTTTGGTCACAAGCAAACTTCTTTTGGCTGCAGTGCCTGGGACAAGGTCAGCACTAGCCACTCCTGTCCGTGCTATCTCCTTTGCAGCACCAATCCCAGCTCCTCCAGCCTTCACATCCTAGTCTCTCACCAGCTATAAGACTTTTCTTTCTCCTAATTGTTGGCTGTTCCACAGGGAGATGGAGAGGAGCTTGCTCACTTGTTAATTTTGCTATTGATAGCTTGAGGAAAAAATTACATCTAGTAGGAGACTCTAATCAGAATATCTGTGGAATTTAGGTAGCTCCATCATTTCTAGTCCACAAATGTAGCTATGAAACATTGGAATCCTTTATGGTTTTAGAACGACCTAATGCATTTGGTGTCTGTGGCTATGTGTAGCTCAACAATGTTGTAGCCTGTACTCACACTTAGCTATACCAGGTGATCATTTTCCCACTGTCTTGGCTTTTCTGGGAAGACCTGCTCAATGCTGCTACGGGCACACGCAGGTGGACAGGTCACGACCTAGGAGTCACTGCTCTCAGCCAAATGTCACATGTAATTGTGTTCCAACATCCTCCTGAAAGGAGCCTTTCAAATAACTGAAAAAAACTAATTAAATACGTATAGCATGAATCATTTCTGGAAGATAACCAAACCCAAGCAGTTACGCCAGTTGGTCTTCATCATAGTTCCTTAATTTAATAGTAATCTTCATAGGAAATTGTGGTATCACGTGAGGTGGATCTGGCAAGCTTTTTCATCCGGTTCCAGATGGGGAACTTAATTGATCTCAAATTTGCTCACTGAGCTTTAAAGTATGGAAAAAGACCCAGAGCCCTGACTTTCCAGCCAAGTCTCAGGTCCCCACCACTGGGCCACATACCCTTCCCAGGGGCCAGCAGAGGAAATAGAACTCAATTTGTGTTAAAGGTTTACAAACCTGTTAATGCTTTTTGTTCAGTATTTCAAAATTTAGAGAACATGGTGCTGCACATTTTAAGGAATATTACTTTTCTTCCTTCCCTCCTGCATCCTGTTTTCTCTCGGTGCTATTATGGTTCACATTGGTTGGCAATACATTGCAGCAAGAAAGGTATTAAAAGCTTGAGGTGGTAAAACTATAAAGTTACCACCTTTCCATGCTAATTCGTGTGAAAACATGATGCGCTCCACATCTTTCATGGTGCAATAACATAGGTGAGTCAACATCAGGCACGTGAGTTTGTTCAAGCAAGTCATTTGAAGTCAGAATGGTAACTTGTGGAGGCGGATCTGTGACATGCTGGGAAGAAGTCAGGTTTAGTATACCATATTGCAGTTTATTATCCATGAAGTAGATTACCCAAAAAACTTAGCCATTTTGCAGTACGTATAAAACGTGCCTTTATTCAGCAATTCAGTTTCTAAGAATTCCTTCTAAATAAATAAGGATGTGTACAGATATATAGATGTAAAGATGGTTATTGTAATTTCTTTAGGATAATCAAATCATGGTACATCTGAACTGAATCATCCTGCATTCATTAAAACAGCAGTGCTGGGATTTCATCATTTATATAAATATGGAAAATTCATTTAAGTACTAAGCAGGTTGCAGAGCAGCAAAGATGTCATTATTTTTACTTTTGAGCAAGTGAAGATGGAGAGACAGACCCACAGTCAGAAGCACATATTTCCAGGTATCCGTAATTTTGTAATTTTCATTTTCCTTTTACCTATATTTCATAATTATTCTGTATGTAACGTGGGTTATTTGCATCATCAAAATGCCTTTCAAAATAATGTGTAAAAACAGTATTAATTGCCTTTTTAAAAAATTATTATTATACTTTAAGTTTTAGGGTACATGTGCACAATGTGCAGGTTAGTTACATATGTATACATGTGCCATGCTGGTGTGCTGCACCCATTAACTCGTCATTTAGCATTAGGTATATCTCCTAATGCTATCCCTCCCCCCTCCCCCGACCCCACAACAGTCCCCAGAGTGTGATGTTCCCCTTCCTGTGTCCATGTGTTCTCATTGTTCAATTCCCATCTATGAGTGAGAACATGTGGTGTTTGTTTTTTTGTCCTTGCGATAGTTTACTGAGAATGATGATTTCCAATTTCATCCATGTCCCTACAAAGGACAAGAACTTATCATTTTTTATGGCTGCATAGTATTCCATGGTGTATATGTGCCACATTTTCTTAATCCAGTCTATCATTGTTGGACATTTGGGTTGGTTCCAAGTCTTTGCTATTGTGAATAAAAAATATGGAACGCTTCACGAATTTGCGTGTCATCCTTGCTCAGGGGCCATGCTAATCTTCTCTGTATCGTTCCAATTTTAGTATATGTGCTGCCGAAGCGAGCACTAATTGCCTTTTTTTTCTTGGACTGAGTTTGCTAACATCTGTGACATAAGGTTAAAGATGCACCATTTAGTGTCATTTTGCCCCCAACTCACTCTGTGACAACTTTTGGTGCCATGAATTTCCAGAGGGTGGGATGCACGTCTTGCTAACTGCAGCATCACCCCAACAGAGCAGCTCATGGTTATTGGCCTGAAATGGGAATTTTGATTAGGAACTAAGGAAAGGGCATCTCATTTCCTAGCTGTGAGCTTCTGGACAGTGGGGCTGTGTCTTTTGTCATCTTTGGGCTCCTGTTCTCCTTTCCACTGAAACATGGGCCAGTGGCTACCTGGTAGCAGTCACTCAGAAGTGTGATCCAGATCTCATTGTGGGTGGGGAGATCGAGGCACATAAAGATGAAGTGGCCTGTCCCCAGGCGCATAGCACCTGCCCCTGCTCCACTCACAGATACTGGGCGTTCTGTGCTAACAGGGGCACCTTCTGGGCAAGAGGATGAGGGGAGCACTGAACACCTCTCTCAAGAGAAATTTTTTTTCTTCTGTCACACATGCATACAAACAACAACCGATGAGCTTGTGGTTTGTCTTCAAGGTTCAGGAAGACTCAACTTTTCCAGCAGAAAGGACAATGATGCCTCAACAGAGCCGGATGACTCTCGATGGCCATGCCACTTAACAAAGCGTGGCCACCCACTTGTTCACCTGCAGCCTGAGGAAAGGAACAGCTGCAACACCTGCCAGGGACTTAGGGGATGAAGCCCTGGAGGCTGATCAGATATCCTCCTCTGGAGGTGGAGCCACATGGCTAATACGCCACTGGACACAGATGTGTGCAGTTTTGTGTTTGCTGTGGGCTGTGATGCAAATCGCATTTTGTAGTCCCCATCTTTGGAGATGCTCCAGACAGTCCCTCGGAGAAAGACAGAAATGGATCCCTTTGTTCTTTCTGTTCTTTCCAGGCAACCTGCCTCTGAGGGGAAGAGGGCCCAGACATAGGATGCTGGTAAGCAACTACTGTAATTGTCAGCGTAAGGGGCTGGAACTCAGGTTCCATCCTGCACACTTGCACAAGCCCACCAATGGGATCAAAGATGAAGGGTGGCAGCGATTGGAGAGGTCAGGATAAGAAGATTCAAGATGCCAGAAATCTGCAACATGAGATACAGCCCAGGCTCTGGGCTCGTTCCTCCAGGGCTGCGTCGCTGCGTAGCTGATGTGGCCTGTGAGCTGGGCCTCAAAGGACATTGCATTTAAAGCAGAGGAGAGGAGGAAATTTTTGGGAGATAAGATGGGATTTACAGAGACACCAAAAGAGCAAAAGAAAATAATTCCTGATGGTCTGAGCACATAGAGAGTCACCGTGGAGGAGACTGGACATTGGTACATATCCTACAATGCCTGCCCCATGGCTCTGGCCTCATGCCATGCCATGCAACATGGCACCTGGCATCTCAGTCAACAGATGTCCCAGATCTCAGTCGTTGGCATTTATTACCAAATTATTCTGCCATCTTATATTCAAGTCCTTCCAAAGCCTTTCTTGTTGTGGGAGGGGGAGAATCTTATTTTTTAAATTTTATTTTAGTTATTTTATGTATATAAGTTGTACATCATGATGGATTTTTTAAATACATTTAATTGTGTATGTTTAAGGTAAGCATCATGATGTTTATATATATATATGTGTATATATATATATATGTGTGTATATATATATATATATATATATATATATATATATATATATAGTAAATTGGTTAATATAGTGAAGCAAATTAATGTACCCATGTTTTGTGTGTGGGGCTGAAGTATCTACAATCAACTCATTTAGCAAAAATCCTGAATACAAGACACTGTTAGTATTGGCGGTCCTCATGTTTTACATTAGATCTCTAGACTTGTCCACCCTCCTTATCTGCGACTTTGTAACCCTTGACCTACTTCTCTGCAATTCCTTCCTGCCACACTGCCCCTGGTAACCACGGTGTAATTCTCTATTTCTGTATATTTGAATTTGTTTAAAAGATTTTACATATGAGTGAGATTATGCAATATTTTTCCTTCTGCATCTGACATATTTACTTAGCATAATGTCTTGCAATTCCATCCATGTTGTGGCAAATGGCAGGATCTCCTTTTTTGAGGCTGAAGGATATTCCTTTGTACATATATATCACAGTTTCTTTACCCATTTGCCTGCCAATGAACATTTAGGTTGTTTCTTATCTTAGATATTGAGAATAATGCTGGAATGGACATGACAGTGAAGATATCTCCCTGAGTGCTGATTTCCTTTCCTTTGGATGCATACCCAGAGGAGGAATTGCTACATCTTATGGTACTTCTAACTTTAATTTCTTTAGGAAGCTCCACTTGCTGGTGTCAGGTGATAACGCATAATGGTTTTGATTTGCATTTCCCTGAGGATTAGTGACATTGAGCATCTTTTCATTAACCTGTGGGTCATTTTGATGTCTTCTTTGGATAAATAACTATTCAGATAATTTGCCCATTTTTTAATTGGGTTATATGTTTTTTGCTATTGAGCTGTGTGAACATTTTATAAATTTTGGATATTAAACCTTATCAAATATATGTCTTGCAATTATTTTTCCAATCTATAGGTTACTTTTTCATTTTGTTGATTGTTTTCTTTGCTGTGCAGAAGCTTTTCAGTTTGACATATTCCCATTTATTTATTTTTGCTTTTGTAGCCTTTTGGTGTGATATTCAAAAATTATTGCCAAGGGCAATGTCAAGGACCTGTTCTCCTATGTTTTCTCCTTGGAGTTTTATGGTTTCAGATTTTACATTTAGGTCTTGTATCCATTTTGAGTTGATTTTTGTGTATGGTACAAGGGCCCAGTTTTATTCTTTTGCGCATGCAAATCCAGTTTCCCCAGCATCATTTATTGAAGAGATTATCCTTTTCCCATTTTGTCTTCTTGGTGCCTTTGTCAAAAATTAGTTTACTGTATATATATATATATATATATATATATATATATATATATATATATATATATTTATTTATTTTGGGGCTCTCTCTTTTGTTCCACTGGTCTGTGGTCTGATTTTATGCCAGTATCATAGTGTTTTGATTGTTATAGCTTTGCAATCTAATTTAACTCAGGAAGTGTGATAACTCCAATGTCATTTTCTCTTCTCAAAATTACTTTTATTATTTAGTTTTTTTATGGTTCCATACAAATTTCAGGATTTTTTAAATTTCTGTGAAGAATGCCATCGGGATTTTGATAAGGATGCCATTGAATCTGCATATTCCTTTGGGTAATATGGACATTTTAACAACATCAAGTTTTCAGATCCATGAATATGGGTTATCTTTCCACGTATTTGTGTCTTCTATTAATTTTATCAATGGTTTATAATTTTCAGTGTACATGTCTTTTACTTCCATGGTTAAACTTATTCCTAACTGTATTTTTGATGCTTTCATAAATACAATCGTTTCCTTGATTTCTTTTTCACGTAGGTTGTTATTTGTGCACATAAATGCAACTGATTTTGTATCCTTTAACTTTACCAAGTTTGTTTTTTAGTTCTAACATTTTTTTTTTTTTGGTGGAGTCTTTGGGGTTTACTAAATATGGGATCATGCCATCCATAGAGATAATCTGAGTTTTTTCTTTCTGATTTAAATGCCTTTTATTTCTTTTTCTTGTCTAATTGCTCTTGCTAGTATTTCCAGTACCACGCTGAATAGAAGCAGCAAGAGTGGGCATCCTTGCCTTGTACCAGATCTTAGCGGAAAAGCTTTAATTTTTTTCCCATTGACTATGATGTTAACTGTGGCTTTTTCATAGCCTTTTTTATGATGACAAACTTTCCATTTATACCTAAACTGTTGAGAGTTTAAATCAAGAAACAATGTTGAACTTCGTTGAATGCTTTTTCTGCATCAATTGAGATGATCATGTGATTTTTATCTTTCAGTCTGTTAATGTATCACATTGATTAATTAGTATATGTTAAATGAGGGTCCATGTCAGTGATAAATTTCACTTGATCATGATGTATAATATTGTGATGTGTTGTTGAATTTGGTTTGCTAATATTTTATTGTGTTTTTTTCATCAATATTTTCAGCGATATTGGCCTGTAGTTTTCTTTTCTTACAGTATCTGTCTGGCTTAGGTATCAGGGTGATCCTGCACTCATAGAATGTGTTAGGAAGTATTCCCTCTAGGTCTATTTTTTGGAAGAATTTAGGAAATGTTGGTATTAATTTGTCATTGAATGTTTGAAGGAATTTAGTTGCAAAACCATTTGATTCTGGGCTTTTTGTTGTTGTCGTACTTGTTATGAAATTTTTAATTACTACTCTGATCTTTTTATTTGTTATTGGTCTGTGTAGGCTTTTTATTTCTTCCTGATTCAATTTTGGTAGGTTAAATTTTTCTTGGAGTTTGTCTGTTTCCCTTAGGTTATCCAATTTGTTGGCATAATATTGTTCACAATAGTCCTTTATGATCCTTTTTATTTCTGAGGCATCTGTTGTAATGTCCTTCCTTTTATTTCTGGTTTTATTTATTTGAGGCTTTTCTCTTTTTTTTTTTTTACGTTTACCTCAGGGTCTATCGATTTTGTTTGTTTTTAAACTAACTCTTAGTTTTATTGATTTCTTCTATGGTTTTTTATTCTATTTTGATTTATTTCTGTTCTGATATTTGTTATTCCCTTCCTTCTTGTAACTTTGGGCTTGCTTTGTTCATTTTTTAGCTCCTTGAGGTGTAATGTTAGGCTATTTATTTGGGGCCATCTTCTCTTTTAATGTAGGTATCTATTGATCAGTACTCTTAAGAATCTTAACTTTGGTGGTGCATACATGAACTTAACATGGGTGGTAAATTTATCTAGAACTAAACGCGCCTAAATACATACACAGACACACAGATAAGTATAAGTAACACTGGAGAAATCTGAACAAAATCAGTGAATTGTATCCATGTCAATATTCTGGTGTGATATACTAAAATGGTTATTGCTGGGGGAAGGTGAGTTAAATGTACCTAGGATTTCCCTGTATTATTGTTTGCAACTGCATATAAATCAACAGTTATCTCAATAATAAGTTCAATTAAAAAACCAAAATTTTATGCATATATCAATATGACATGCTTAAAAGAAGACTTGTAAATTTGCCTTTGCAGAAGGAGGGAAAGGTCGTGAGTGATTCCCACTTCTCTTGGAAAGGCCCATAGTTAGCCCATATTCTCTGAGCCCACATGCAGTGTGCTATTCACATCCCAATAATGCCGATTGATAAATGACACACAGTTTTTATACTTTTTACTCGAGACTTTTACAAGGATAAGCTTAGCTGAATTGTACAATAACATTGTAAATTAAGCTATTTGAACTTTATTTTACAAGAAAGCAAAAGTGTTGCAAAATGCCTTGCTAAATGCCCACAGATGGTGAATGATAAGGAGTTAAACATAGCTGTTTGCTCCAAGTCCAGAGCTCCAAGCTGCTTGTACTGTCTCAGCCCCATTCTTTTTTTTTTTTTTTTTTTTTTTTTTTTTGAGACAGAGTCTTGCTCTGTCACCCAGGCTGGAGTACAGTGGTGCAATCTTGGCTCACTGCAACCTCCATCTCCCGGGTTCGAAAAATTCTCCTGTCTCAGCCTCCTGAGTAGCTGGGATTACAGGCATGTCCACCATGCCTGGCTAATTTTTGTATTTTTAGTAGAGAGAGGGTTTCACCATGTTGGGCAGGCTGGTCTCAAACTCCTGACCTCATGATCTGTCCTCCTTGGCCTCACAAAGTGCTGGGCCACACCCAGCCCAGCCCCATTCTTAACAAGAGATCCTATTGCCCAGATTCAAAGGCTCTGTGGGAAACAAGGATACCATTTACAGTACTGGTGAGAATACAGAACGTTTCTCTTTCTTAAGCCTTGTATAGTCACCACCCCCACATTCATGCCTGCCGCCAGCCTTGGTTGTTGATAATGCCATGAACACTAGGCTCAGGCCATAGAGCTGTGCGGGCTCTAAGCAATGCCCACTCCTGAGATGGGGCTTATCAGCTGCAGAGACCTCCTTGTCCGGGTTTGGAAAATTCCAAGGGTCAGAGTGCAACTGAACTTTTTCTTTTGCAATTTGCACCTGTGGGTCCTAGTGCTACCTCTGGAGTTAGCACTTCTTTCGTATGCCAGTTCTCCCAGGGTCTGCTGGCAGTGTGCTGGAAGTGGCTGGTGCTGCGGGGCAGCTGTGGGCAGAGGACCAGGGGAGCCACTCCTCCTGGTACACTGGGAGATGGAGGTGACAGCCTGAGCTATATGGGTTCCCTTAGCAGCTGACACATTCTCATCTCAACCCAACAAGGATGAAAGATCTACCTTTGGGGAAAGGTGATGGAATCATAGCAATGATGTTCTAGGAATCCAGTTTCTTCATATTTGAGAAAATGACTTACATGTGCAAAAATGTCTATGCTGGAAATAATACAGCTTTATACAATATAGCACTCTGATTTGAAGAACCTTGCCCTGCATTCTCTTGTGTGAACCTGCCCACAGCCATGTGACACGAGCCAGGCAGCACTCTTGCATTTAGAACTTGGCAGAGATAAAAATGAGGCTCCACACCTAATGCTTTCCTTCAGTACTGGATTCAGCCGCTTCACTTATTTTTTTCTGCCAAAACACCACTGTATTTTCAGCCTCCCAGGTACGGGGACGAATTTAAGGCTGCCTGCCCAGTAGACAGTTTAGTGTGGGGTAAATAGCACCATTCTAGCTTCATGGCTTCCCCGAGCCCATCCTGCTCTGCCCCCGGCTGGCCGCCTGTCGTTCCAGCCTCGCCCTGTTTCCCTCCGTCCCCTCTTTAGCACTTGTTCTCTTGGTCCTCATCTTTCTTCCAGGAGGGCATGTCCTGGGTCCCTGTGCCTAGGATCTGTTTCCCTTTCCTGCACTGCCCTTTCTCCTGGCTCTTCTTTTCCGTCGCCCTCCCCCTCCTACCAGCTTGCTCCTTGCCTTAGACACAGACATTGACAGGTCCAGCGAAGAGCGCCTTTGCTGCAGCCCAGTGTGTCCAGATCTTCCCGCACCTGTGCCGCCTGGCGCTGCTGAGGCAGGGACTCCCGTCTCCCCAGGAGCTACCTGGAGGAGGCTCAGAATCCATCCTAAGGAGTTTGATGACATATGTGCCAGATCGTGTAGAGGTGTCCAGGTATGCCCCACCATGTGGACCGTAACACAGACACGCGGGATGGATGGACGCGTCCCCCCTTGGAAGTGTCCAGAGAGTGCCAAGGGCAGGCTCTCCATCCTCGCTGGGAGCATAGCCAGCGCCACACACAGAGGCCAGGTCTCAGCTCAGCCTGGGAGCGCCCGGTTCTTTTTACTACTCTGTCTGCCTCCCTTTCTGAGTGTAACAGTTCCTCTCCTTCCTTCTTCACCTCTTCCAATCTGTCCCAAACACCAACTTCCCCAGGGATTCACGTCCCAAATCCTTAACCACCACATGGGACAAGCATCAACCCCGACACGAATCAAGCAGAATCCGTACCAACCAGGACCCCAGAGGTCCCTTCAGGACCTCAGGGAGTAGGGCTGGGTCGGGGGTGTCTTGAGGAAAGCCAGGGTGACCCGAGGCCCTGGGGGAATCTCAGTCTTGTAAAAAAGCGGCTTGGCCACAGCTGTGGTTACCACTCATCTCTCATGAGCGCTCTCATCATGCCTCCCTACTTTCCTCCTTCCGCGAGTCTGCAGGAAGGGTTTTCTAGGCCCCTTTGCCCATTTCCCATCCACTCGGCCTCAGCACAGCCCGTAGCGGCCACCAGAGGGCGCCCCTCTCCTGCAGCTCCGCATCCCCGCACAGCTGAAGTCCAGCCAAGCCCTGGCCTTGGAAGACCCTTCTGCTTTCTAACCTGACAGAGGCGCGTGGAGGTGGGGGGGCCCTCAGAGCTGCAGAATGGACAAAAACTCAAAAAGGGTGTGAATTTCGCCATGAGGTCCGGGTTCCTGGGGCTTCGCTGTTGTTCTGTTTATTTTACCCGAACCCTCCTATACCATCTGTATGAGAAAATATTCTCAAATATTGAATCATGTAGGACTTTTTTTTTCTTTTAAAGGATTTGATATGTTAATGGGTTAATTTGGGCAGAGATACCTCCATCTCCAATCCCCTTCTGTCAATAACAGCTCTAGTTACCATGAGAACTTTTGGGCTTTTCTTAAACAGCCCATTCTCCTGTTCAATCTTTTTGGTAATCAAAATAGCCTCCAAAGGGCATTCTTTTAAAATCCCATAAGATCCTTCATCACTTTTGTCACCGTAGAAATAATAAACACATAAATAACCCTCCAAAGGCAAAAAATTTATCAAAAATGAGATATCAGAAATATAAAAATTCAGTGGCTCTTGGTCAGCTGGTGCTGGAAGACCCGTGGCTTACAGAAGAGAGAAGGGACCTCTGAAGTTCTGCACAGTTGTTGAAAAGCCAGATGCAAAATCTGTACCTAAGACTGGTGCGTGAGAGACTCACGTTCCTCCATTTCGAATCTGGTTAACTTGCTATGATTGAGAAGCTCGCTCACAAATCCTCACCCTCTCATTCCTATCCTTTCTGGATTGAGTGAAAGATTTTCAGGTTGTGAAGGCTGAAGAAAATGGCTGCTGACTTCACAACCTGTTTCAGCCAAATTGCAAAGCCCCAAAGGGTCAGTAAAATTCTTGCTGGGCTTCATCAGACATTACATTTCATAGGGGCACGGGAGGAGTGTGCTCTTCTGTCTAATGAAATGTGGGCCTTCAGCCTCACTTCCACTGTGATTCTTGAAAAACATTTATTTCCTCACTAACGGTTCAGTGTTCAGCAACCTGGGAGGTTTGCCCTAGTACTATTCTACAAGGTCACAGGTATACTTTGCAAGGTTCTGCCTCTCTTTCTCTCGGAGAGCTTATTCTCTCTTGTGGCCTAAACCTCACCTCTGTCTGCACATGACACTCAAATCAGTTTTTTTCTGCTTTATGCTTGTGTCTCCAGAGCTGTTTCAATGACTGTATTCGGAGTCTCTGCTTGCAGCGTGCTCTGCATGAGAACAGGCACCAAGCCTGCCTATAATTGGAAGATCTGCCTGAATTTCCATAGTGAAGGTCTACACTGCCTCCCAGCCCATTCATTCCCTTCATCATTTCATTCCAGTAGTTTTCTAAAGTGTGGCCACTATGTTGTTGATTATGGCAACCCAGCATCCACACAGGACAACAGGGGGCCCAGGGCCAGTCCTGGCTGCTGCTTATATTTTGGCCCCAGGGATCCATCTGATTTTGTCATTGAAGTGCTGGCACATCCATCCCCACTGATGTTTGTCAAATGATTTCCCAGCTCAGATTGGAATCTCAAAGGTAATTTTCACAAAATTGGAAACAGCTCCTCTGATATGTCCCTGAAAACAGTTTTTGTTGCCCATATGGAGGATGTGACAGGACATCACTAGGAAGATGGACAGACTCAGCCTGCAACATCCCCTTTCCACTGCCAAAGTTGTTAGCAATCCAGACAGACTGTCACCTTGAGGCTCAAAGATCATCTTACCCCCAAACACTCTGACGACCTCTCTCCCTGTGTGCCTTGATGCAGGTACTGAGTCTTGCAGCAGAGCAGTGCCAGGCCCTGTGCTGAGGCCTGCCTGCCAGCAGGATTCGCTCCTTCCAGTAACAGGCACTGATTGAGTCCTCCCTGTATCACAGGCATCGGGGAAGAGTGGCAGGTCCAGCTGTCTATGAGCCAGACACCGTCTCTCTGTCTTCAGCCCAGCTGGATATGGAGAACATTCAACAAATAATTGCACATGTAGTTAATAATTACATTTGTGATAAATACCAGCAAGGAGAAGGATGTGTTGTCATAGAATATGCAACAAGATGGTCTCTGGGACTGGATGGGGGTGGAGAATCAAGAAGTGTATCTTGATGGATGGGCTCAGAGGGGCTTGCAGAAGAGGGACACCAGTGTTCAGGGTCATTTGGTGGCAACGCAGGATTGGCTGGAGCTGCGGTGCTCGTGTTCACCTTGCCAGCTACCATTTCACATCCTGCAGAGGAGGCAGGAGGCAGCCGTGGAGATGGTTTTTCACAAGACAGCAAGGAGATTAAGATGGTGGAGAGGAGGACTAGCTTAATGCTCCCACTTGGACGGACAGAGCAGTGTGTGGAGACTCACATTGTGAACTTCTGCTCCAAGAAGTACCACAGGAATCTACCAAGAAAGTCAAGAGAATCCACAGACCCTTTGAAGGAACTGGATCCCTGCTACAGGCTCCCTGAGATGCCAAAAAACTATGAGTCTGCTTATTTTCTCAGTGGGGAGGCTGGTGGTCTGGGGCAAGTTCTCAGCCCTGGTCACCAGCTGCCTGGAAGTAGACTCAGTGCTGTTGCCGGGGCACAGTGGAAGTAATACTGGCCTCTAGGACTGCCGGCTGCATGGGAGTGGGGTGAGGCCTATGATTGCCGGTTTTCCCCCACTTCCCTGGCAACCTGTGTAATGCAGCAGAGACAGCCATAATCTCCCTGGAAATATAACTCCATTGGCCTGGGGGCCACACCCCCACAGCAGCCACAGCAAGCCCTGCCCCAGGAAAGTCTGAGCTCAGACATGCCTATCCCTGTCCCCACCTGGTAGTCTTTCTCTACCCTCCCTGGTAGCTGAAGAAAAAGGCCATAGTCTCTTGGGAGCTCTGTGGCCCTGCCCAACACCTGAGAAACCTGAATGCTTAACCAGGTGACCCTAGGCCAAGTTTGCATCCTCCCTCATGCACCTCATGCACCTCATGCACTCTTGAAAGCACCACCTCCTGGCTGGAGGCCAACCAACACAAAATCAGCACAAAGCCAGCACACTAAACAAAAATACAACTAAGGACCCTCACAGAGTCCACGTCACTCCCCTGTTGCCTCCACCAGAGCAGGTGTTGGTATCCACAGCTGAAGACCTGAAGACAGATCACATCATAGGACTCTTTGCAGACACTCTCCAGTACCAGCCTGAGCCTGGTAGCTCTGCTGAGTGGCAAAAAATAATCACAGCGGTTTGGCTCTCAGGAAGTCCCATCCCTACGGGAAGGAGGAGAAAACCACATAAAGGGAGCACCCTGTGGGAAAAAAGAATCTGAACAGCAGCCCTTGAGTCCCAGATCTTCCCTCTGACATAGTCTACCCAAATGAGAAGGAACCAGGAAAACAATTCGGGTAATATGACAAAACAGGCTTCTCTAACACCCCCAAAAAATCACACCAGTTTAACAGCAATGGATATAAACCAAGATGAAATCACTGAATTGGCAGACAAAGAATCAGAAAGTTGATTATTAAACTATCAAGGAGACACCAGAGAAAGGTGAAGTCCAACTTAAAGAAATCAAAAACATGATATAGGACATAAAGGGAAAAATCTTCAGTGAAATAGATAGCATAAATAAAAAACAATCACAACTTCTGGAAATCAAGGACACACTTATAGAAATGCAAAATCCACTGGAAAGTCTCAGCAATAGAACTGAACAAGCAGAAGAAAGAACTTCAGAGCTCGAAGACGAGGTTTTCGAATTAACCCCATCCACCAAAGACAAAGAATAAAGAATTTTAAAAAATGAACAAAGCTGCCAGGAAGTTTGGGACTATGTTAAGTGTCCAAACCTAAGAATAATTGGTGTACCCGAGGAAGAAGAGAAATCTAAAAGTCTGTAAAATATATTTGAGGGAATAATTGAGAAAAACTTTCATGGCCTTGCTAGAGATCTAGACATCCAAATACAAGAAGCTCAAAGAACACCTGGGCAATTCATCACAAAAATATCATCACCTAGACGCATAGTCATCAGGTTATCAAAAGTCAAGATAAAGGAAAGAATCTCAAGAGCTGTGAGGCAAAAGCATTAGGTAACCTATAAAGGAAAACCTGTCAGATTAACAGCAGATTTCTCAGCAAAAACCCTGCAAGCTAGAAGGGATAGGAGTCCTATTTTTAGCCTCCTTGAACAAAACAATTATCAGCCAAGAATTTTGTATCCGGCGAAACTAAGCTTCAGAAATGAAGAAAAGATAAAGTCTTTTTCAGACGAACAAATGCTGAGAGAATCTACCACTACCAAGCTGGCACTACAAGAACTGCTAAAAGGAGCTCTAAATCTTGAAACACATCCTCAAAATACACCAAAATAGAACCCCCTTAAAGCATAAATTTCACAGGACCTGTATATCAATAGCACAATGAAAAAAACAACAAAGTATTCAAGTAACAAATAGCATGATGAATAGAATACTACCTTACTTCTCAATACTAACGTTGAATGTAAATGGCCTAAATGCTCCACTTAAAAGATACAGAATGGGGCCGGGTGCGGTGGCTCATGCCTGTAATCCCAGCACTTTAGGAGGCCGAGGCGGGCGGATCATGAGGTCAGGAGATCGAGACCATCCTGGCTAACACGGTGAAACCCCATCTCTACTAAAAATACAAAAAAATAGAAAAAAATTAGCCGGGCGTGTTGTTGGGCGCCCTCAGCCTGTGAGAGGCTGAGGCAGGAGAACGGTGTGAACCCAGGAGGCGGAGGTTGCACTGAGCCGAGATCATGCCACTGCACTCCAGCTTGGGCGACAGAGCGAGACTCTGTCTCAAAAAAAAAAAAAAAAAGATACAGAATGGGCCCAGTGCAGTGGCTCATGCCTGTAATCCCAGCACTTTGGGAGGCCAAGACAGGTGTATCACCTGAGGTCAGGAGTTCGAGAACAGCCTGGCCAACATGGTGAAAACCCAAATACAAAAAAATTAGCTGGTCATGTGGGTGCATGCCTGTAATCTCAGCTACTCAGGAGACTGAGGTGGGAGAATTACTGGAACCCAGGATGGAGATTACAGTGAGCTGAGATCATGCCACTGCACCCCAGCCTGGGTGACAGAGTGAGACACCATCTCAAAACAAACAAACAAACAAAAAGGAATGGCAGAATGGATACAAATTTACCAACCAAGTTTCTGCTGTCTTCAGGAGACTCAGCTAACACATAAGCACTCACATAAACTTAAGGTAAAGGGGTGGAAAAAGATATTCCGTGCAAATAGAGACCAAAAGTGAGTAGGAGTAACTATTTTTATATCAGACAAAACAAACATTAAAGCAACAGCAGTTAAAAAAGACAGAAGGCAGTTTGTGGGGAAGAGGGGGCTTAGGGAGCACATAGCACTGGGCAGACCTGGTGGGGGCAGGAGGGCTGGAGAGTGAGGCTTGGAAGTTTCCTAATTCCATGGGCCAGGGTCCTGCCAGTGTTTATCTCTACCTTTCAAAATCTGTACTATCATTGGAGTCAAATGTACATTTGCACACAAAAACTAAACAAAGAAATGAAAACAAAAGTCTGCCCCATGTCAAACCAACATCTGGGATGCCTGCTCAAAGCCAGCTCTTGTTTCTGTTTCTTCTTCTGTTCCTCTGGAGGATCTTCTATCCCTCGTTTCTTGATTTAGATACTTTCTATTATTCCTTGCCTCTTCTCTCTTTCCACTCCCTCTCAATTTTTCTTAGTTATGGTCTGATTTTTACTTCTTTTGCCTTTAAAACTTTTTATGAGTTGTGTGAGCATATTTTTCTGGTTGCACCAATTTGACAGTCTCTCTTGTCTCCCTTTTATCTGAGATGAGGAAATATTTTTCCCTGTGCTTCCCTTCTGCTAGTTTCCGGAGCTGTACCTGACTTTCACATTTATGACGTTTTAACTCTTACACTCCTATTCCTTAATCCCAAGTCTCCTGGGCTTGCTCTAGATGTTGACTGAAAACTAAGAAGCAGCCTTCACAATATTAGGAGGATTGTCACTGCAAACAGGAGTGTAGTGCACTTGGCTGCAGATAGAAGGACCTGGGATTCCCAGACTGATACATCTAAGAAGCACATACTAAAATTCAAAGTCAAGTCAAATGAAGTCTCAAACACTTTTGTAGCCTATCTAAAGGTATAAAGCAGGGATTCGCAAATATTTTCTGTACAGAATCAAATAGCAGATATTTAGGCTTTGGGGCCATAGGGTGTCTGTCACAGCCACTACCCTCTGCTGTTGCAGAGTGGAAGCAGCCATAGAAACTGCAGGATAAAATAAGTGTCATGAGTTCCAACAAAACTGATTTACAAAAAGAGGCCACTGCCAAACCCTGGTCCAATGCAGAGGATCAAAAACCCCTGGAGGGCTTGCTGAAGGCAGATTGCTGGGTGCCATCCACAGTTCCTGATTCAGCAGGTCTGGGGTGGCCTAAGGATGTGTATTTCTAACAAGTTTCCAGGAGGTGTCCATGCTGCTAGCCCATGGCATGTGCTTGTTGCTTGGCACTAAAGCATGACTCTCTTCTACATATTTGTGAGTTTCCTAGAATTCCCAACATTTTCCCTTTGTTTTAAACTTGTCCTCTGACTTATCACCAAGATTTTCCACCATCGTGATGCTTTTGCTTTCACAAGTCTGCTTTCTTCTTAAACGTTTCTCCCTAGCAACATTTGCACCTGCACTCCCCTGACCTTGCACTGTGGTAGACCAGTTGCTCTCTAAGTCTGCTGCTCAGTTGTCATCTGAGATAGTCCTTTATTGTCTTGAGGATGGGGCTATGTCTCCTTTTGTCTAGGATTTTTATTGGTTTTACTGCAGAATATCATCAAGGATTTATCTTTTTCACTGAAGATGCATAAAGGGTAAACATTCTGAGGCCTAGGATGACTGAAAATGTGTTTATTTGGCATCGACACTCAGTATAATTTTTTTTTACCAGGTGTAGAATTCTAAGTTGAAAATAATTTCCTCTGTGGACTTTGAAGTTACTGCCTCATTGTATTCCAGTGTTACTAATGAGAAATCTGATGCGAGTTTGACTGTGATTTCTTTACAGATGCCCTGTTTTGTTCCTTGTCTTCTAAAACATCACAATGATGCATTTAGGGGTGGGTGATTTTTTTATATCTCCTGATCAACCGTCGGTGACTTTTTAAGTCGAGATGCACGCAGCACCTCCTCATAGCTCTGGAAAATGTTCTCCTAATAGGCTATTCTTTGATCATTTCATTTTTATCAGTTTCTGTATTTTCTCTTTATGTAACTCTTTGGACTTCCTGGATTTAAATGCTCTTATTAAACTTTTTTTCTCATATCTCTCTTCATGTTTTCTCTTTTTATGTACATGCTGACAGTTGTCCTTCAAGTTTTCTTTCAGACATCGTATCTTTATTGTAATGATTATATTTCTAATATTTAAGAATATTTTATTTTCTGATTTCCTCTTTTTCATTGACATATGCCCTTGTTTAATGGGTGCAATATTGTCCAGCTTCTCTTTAAGATACAAGTTAGAATATTTTAAAAGTGTACTACATTTGATGAATTTTTGAATTTTTGCCATCTTTCTCCTGAGTCAATTATTCTGTTTATGCATCTTGGCCTATTATGAATAGAATGTTTGTGTCTCCCCCAGATCCACAGGTTTAAGCCATAATGCCCGGTGTGGCTATATTTGGAGGTGGGGGAGGGGGGTCTATAAAGAACTAAAGTTAATAAGATCTTAAGGGTGGGGCTTTGATCCGAAGGGATTTGTGTTCTTATAAGAAGATACACCCCAGTGCTCTCTCACAGCATCTCTCTGTCTCTTTTCATGCAAGCCCCAAGGAAAGACCATGTGAAGACACATGGAGAAGGTGGCTGTCTGCAAGCCAGGAAAAGAGCCCTCACCAGGAACATGTTGAGAGAAGCAGTCACACAAACGTAGTCTTTTGACCTCTGTACAGTTGCATAGGAGTGTGCCTTGGGTTAGGAACATTTTCTTACAAAGAGATAAAGAGCTTTCACAGCCTGCGCTGTCCATTACCCTTTATGGGGAACCTCTTTCTCTGTTCTGGACTGGAGGCGTACTTCTTCGTTCTACTAAAGCATGTGCATCATATGGCACCTGAACGACCCCACTGCTGGGAACAGGGGCCTTTGTCTATAGCATGAGTGTGTGGAACATCTCCCTGTGCTGGCTGTGGGGTGAGACCCACTGGCCATGAGGGATCAACAGTCGAAACTGAAGCTGCTCTTGCTCTGTGTCTTCTCTATGTGCATAAAGCGTTGTTCCATCCAGTGCCTGCATGAGTCGTGCCTGAAAATCATGTGGTGGATTGACGTCTTGGGATTACTGCTCCTGGAGGCAGGCATTGTTATGCTTTCTGTTCTCCACTGTTTAGTGGGACTCTGCTGCTGGAGGTGGTCACAGGTGTCACTTGCTTGACTTGGACTTCCAGCCTCCAGAAACTTAATCTTGAACTTGCATCCTCCATCACTGTGAGAAAAAATTTCTGTTGTTTGAAGCACTCAATCTATGACATTTTGTGATGTCAACCTGAGCAGACTAAGACATGACCCCTCTTTTGTATGTAATTAGGTTTATTTAATATTGAATGGACTTTGTTGATCCTCAGGTTTATTCCCCTACCCCTAGATGACAGACTGCAGACTGCTGCCCCCATACAAACATGAGGGTAGCTTTATTTGTAAGAGCTGACATCCACATAGGGAGCCCTAACACTCCCTCTGCAGTCCAGTGACAATTATGTTGACTGTCAGTGAATGTCCAAGTCAGTGTGTGTTCAAGGGGCAGCCAGCTGACATTTGCCTGCAATGTGGATGTGGCAGCACATCCTGCCAGTGTGGCAGAGGGGGGACCCTGGCCTCAGCATGGGAATGTTCCCTGGAAGGCTCAGTCCTTTCATCATTCAGGTTATCATGGCGTCATCATTCGTGTAATGTACTGTGAGGCCATGTGGCCCTCACTCATATATACCTGACATGTGACACAAATTCACTGTTTGTTTTATTATAGAATTTTTTTCACTTAATACAAAGTGGAAAACTTATAGAAAGCACAAGCATATTTCTGTGTGTTCTCAGTGTCTTTGGGCCATAGTTTCTGCAGAATATCTTGGAATTGGTTCACTTGGAGCATAATGCCAGAGCAGCATTTTCCTAACAGATATCTCAGGGTTGGTGAGGCACCTCCCCTTGTCAGAGAAAGAGCACTGGACACTGTTAGAGGCAGCAAGACAGATTTCACTCAGACTACTGCAGTAGGGCAGAGAGGCTCCAGTATGAATCAGTTTAATTCCAAATAAGACAAAGGTGACTGGGGTTTTCAAAGGGAGATCTGATAGGGCACACAACGAGATTATGGGAAGTAAAAAAAGGGGGACCAGAAAAGAGACTGGGGGCTATAAGTAGGAAGCTACAGAGTGGAGTTGCAGAGGATTACTGAAAATGGTTTGGCCTTGTGGGTTGGGACAATTTACATCTGGCAGTTCAGGAGCATTGCATTTTCTTGAGCAGAGACTCACACAAGAGCTGTGTCACTTTTAGGCACATGACTAGTGCAGGTAGAAGCCAGGCTGAAGTGTGGCCAAGGATCTCAGCACTGCATGTGGGCAAGTCCTTTGGGTCATTGGGAAGTTCACAGTTCACACCCCAACCCAAATAAAACATTTGGAAACAAAAACATTTGGAAATCACGCAAGGTCTATCTTCCCACTTTCCCACCTGTGGACATATAGGAAGTTTTGCATGAAAGAAACTTTGTTTTCTGTCATGCAACATTTCTCAAACATTCTTGGTATCCTACACGAAATCTATTTATATCCAACATAACTAATGTTCTGAGGAACCCACTTTATGAAACAGGATTTTGTACTGCTATTAGTGGTGAGTCACAATAAGAAGGGAAAGATACCCAAGCTCGCATTGTGAGAGGTCATACAGAGATGGGTCCAAATGGAATCAGGAGTTGAAAGGCATAGAGATGTCCCTAGAAACTGGAGGAGACCACCAAGTTGTTCTAAAGCCAGGAGAAGAATCTAACATTGGCCTGAAAGCTAAAGCCTACCTGTGGGTACAAATTGGACAAAGGATACTTTGCTGGACAGTCAGAAATTCAGCTGTGGAGCACCAGGCTGGCAGTGAGCTCTGCCCTCAGGCACGCCACATAGGCAGCACCAGGACTGAGGACATCTGAGGCTGAGAACGGATGTAAGAACCATCTTGGGTGTTGTGAGATGAATTGCATCCCCCCCAAATTCAGATGTTGAAGTTCTAACCACCCCTTTGGTGCCTCAAAATTCAGAACGTGACTGGATTTGGAGCTAGAGTGTTTAAAAAGGCAATTAAGGTTAAACGAGGTCATATGCCTGGGTCCTAATTCAATATGACTTCCGTCCTTAAGAGGAGATTAGGATGCAGTCCTGCACAAAGGGAAGAACAGGCAGAGACAAAGGAAGATAGCAGCCATCTACACATCAAAGAGACAGGCCTCAGGAGAAAGCAACTCTGCTGACACCTCGATCTTAGACTTCTAGCTTCTAGAATTGCGAGAAAATAAACTTCTGTCACTTAAACCACTCTGTCTGTGGTATTTTGTTATGGCAGCCCTAATAAACTAATACACTAGGGGCACAGAGCAGGTGGGGAAGCCAGATGCAATCGGTCAAAAGAAAAAAAAACTATTTAGTAGCCAAAGAAGACAGGTGCAAATAAGCAAGCCACGGTTAGAGTCTACAACAGTTAGCTTAACTCTGAGCCTAACCCTAGCTGGCCAAGAGACACAGACCATCATGACAAGGGACTGGGGGACTGGACTTTCCAGGAGGACTGGAACACAGGACAAAGCAGTGGGCAGGACCCAGCTCCCCTATCAGACAGGGAAGAATCAGAGACTTGTAGCCACAGGGAGCTCTTCAAAATTCATGCTGGAGCTGGAACCAATCTCAAGATATGAATTGAGTTGAGAGATGTGAGATATTTAAGATGCTGATCATAAAGTTATCATGTCTGAGCCTGGAGCAGAGAGTACCGGTGACATGAAGCAATCCCAATTGTTTTAGATGATTTAAATCTATGACAATTAGCCTTATCTCTGTGTTCATCACAACATTTGGACATGACCATGGCGAAGAAATTACTGCCAGTTGTACTTAATGGGCTCAAATTCAAGCTGAAGTTTTAAAACATGAAAATAAGAAGATTTTATTAATATATAAATTGTAATGTTTTCAAGGGAGAGTTAGCATCACAGTCCCTTTGCAAAATGTTGTCTAGGGAAGCTCAATTTAAGTGTTTCTCATTGGGCCAATGGAGACTTAACAGAAAACACATCTTGACAATAGATTTGGTCTGTTGAAATGATGACGTTTGTTGGCCAAGGACTGAGGATTCATGCTGTGCACTGCCAAGTCCTATGCTCTTCTTCAACTCTGCTACTGCCTGCTTTTCATTGTCGTCATTGGTTCTTCTTCCAGAGTACAAAGAAGAAAAGAACATAGGGCAAAAAGTGCTATTTGTGACTTTTTAGCACACATAAAGTAATTATAAGTAGGCATGAAAGCAAGGCATCCCAGAGTTTGGAAAGTTTAATAAACACACTTTAGTTAAAGTGTAGGTAAGTGGGTAAGTATGCAAAGTTAGACTTAAAAAAACAGACCGTGCAAAAACAAGACAAAATTGCATTTTAATTGATGATATTGATCTACCTGAAGAAGTAATGTGTCACTTAGAAGAAAAGAGTCCAGCGTGGATTACAAGAAGACATAATCAGAGATGCAAGTTGAAGGTCATTTAAGAAAACATGTCAGTGAAGTTCCTTCCAGGCCTGTGCTTGGGGGCCATACACATTCACTGAGTGAACTTACATATAAGACCTCTAACTAATTCCCATTGCTGTGAATCTATATGCACCACAAAACTTTCGGATTCTCATTTGACTTCCCTTAAGTCAGAATAAACTTTCAGTTTTGTGGTAGATAATTTTATTATAAAATAAAGAATTATTTTGCTTCATATATTGGTTTCCTGTCTGCTTGTTATTGTGGATTTTCTTCAGTGATGGCCCTCAGCCTCTACTGAGGCACAAACAAAACCAAGTTTTGCTATGGCAAAGGAGGTGGCGACTGTGAAATGCTCTAGTGCATGCAACTCAGGACTGCTGGGGAGGCACCGGTTTGGAGCAGGCATGCAGGCATCCCTCTGCTGGTACCCTCTCACCTGACCTAGGCCTGCAATCCAGAACAACGCTTTTGGGAAGAAAAACTGATGTCTGGAACTGATAGGGAACCTGAAGAATTTATGTGGTTTATTATTGTGTCTGTGCCTTGAACTCTTTTTAGCAAATAAAATCTAATTGAGTTTAATTGAATTGAACATGGATACATTACATAGATAACATTTTCTAAGGCTACAGCTGCCATAGATAGTGATCGCTTTGATGTATCCAGGCAAAGTAAATAAAAAGCCTTTTGGAAAGGACTCACCATTCTAGACGCCACAAAGAACATGTGTAATTCATGGGAGGAGGTCAAAATATCAACATTAACAGGAGATTGGAAGAAGTGTATTCCAACCCTAAGGATGATTTTGAGGGGTTCAAGGCTTCAGTGGGAGAAGTAACTGCAGTTGTGGTGAAAATAGCAAGAAAACTAGAATTAGAAGTGGAGAATTGCTGCATCTCTTGATAAACTTGAATGGATGAGGAGTTTCTTCTTATGAGTTACCAAAGAAAGTGATTAGTTAAGATGGAATCTACTCATGGTGAAGATACCATGAACACCATTGAAATGACTACAAAGGATTTAAAATATTACATAAATTTAGTTAGTAAAGAAGTGGCAGGGTTTGAGAGGATTGACTTCAATTCTGATTGAAGTTCTACAGTGGATAAAATGCTATTAAAGGAAACTTGCTTAAGGAAAGAGCCCAGGGAGGGATAACTTAAGCCAGCATTTGAGTTGAGGAGACAGAATTGGGACAGAGTTGGCTCAGGGGAACCAACGTAGCTAGAGTTCATGGGACAGAGTACGAGGGAAGAGACAACGAGAGAGAGAGAGGAAGAAGAAGAGGCAGAGCAAAAGGAAGAGGAAGAGAAGAGAGGAAGAGAGGAAAGAAGAGAGAGACATTGAACTCCAGATATCTGCAAAGATGTCACTTGAGTCTCCAGGTTAGTATTGATAAGTGCATGTGTATGAAAATATCCAAGACCAAAGTACAGTCTAATGAAGTAGGCATAATAATTTCCAGGGATCACATGGAACTAGGGATATTTTGTTTCTATCAGCCAGAAAGGCAAACTGTTAAAATGCATGACACATTGGGTACAGTAATCGGAAATATATTGGCTCAGTAACAGAAAAAAAAAATAGCCCTTGATTAAAGGTTTGATCTATCCCACGTAAGAAAGATTAAAAGCAAAGCTAGAAAAGATCAGATTTGTTTCTAAATAACTTATCTGCGTCCTAAAACAAAACTAAAAAATTTTTTTAAATACAGTAATGTATTAACACATACTGAAACTCAATACATACAGAGAAACGAAGATAAGAATAAGAAGTCCAAGTGCAGCGGCTCATACCTGTAATCCAAGCACTTGGGGAGGCCAAGGCAGGGGATCACTTGAGGCCACGAATTTGGGACCAGCGTGGGCAACACAGCAGAACCCTGTCTTTACAAAAAAAAAATAATAATTTTTTTCCTTTTTGGTAGAGACAGGGTTTTACTGTGTTTTTTCGGGGGGAAGAAAAACTGATGTCTGGAACTGGCAGGGAACCTGAAGAGTTTATGTGGTTTACCATTGTGTCTGTGCCTTGGACTCTTTTTAGCAAGTAAAATCTAATTGAGTTTAATTGAATGTGTTCCCAAATAAAAGGCAGAGATTTTCAGATTGGGCAGAGAAAGTAAAACCAACATCAAAAAATTAACCTTCAGTCCCAGCTTACTCGGGAGGCTAAGGTGGGAGGATCACTTGAGCCCAGAAGTTCAAGGTTACAGTGAGCTATAATTGCACCACTGCACTGTAGCTTGGGTGACAGAGCAAGACCCCATCTCTAAAAAAAGAAAAAAGAAAAAGAAATCAGCTGGACATGGTGGCTCATGCCTGTAATCCCAACCCTTTGGGAAGCCAAGGCATGCGGATCACCTGAGGTCGGGAGTTCAAGACCAGCCTGACCAACATGGAGAAACCCCGTCTGTACTAAAAATACAAAACTAGGTGGGTGTGGTGGCGCATGCCTTTAATCCCAGCTACTTGGGAGGCTGAGGCAGGAGAATCACTTGAACCTGGGAGGCAGGCAGATGTTGCGGTGAGCTGAGATTGCGCCATTGCACTCCAGCCTGGGCAACAAAAGCGAAACTCCATCTCAAAAAAAAAAAAAAAAAAAAAAAAAAAGAAAGAAAAAGAAAAACAACAGTGAAATAGTGGAAACAATAAGCCAGAAGATAGTGGAAAAACATCTTTCAAGTACTGAAGGAAAATCTGGCAACCTAGAATTCTGCAACCAACAAAAATAGAAAAACCAGAAATTGACTTTCTCCATAAAAGCAGATAGGAATGTGCATCTACCTAAATGAATGAAGAACACTGGAAATGGAAATGTGTGTGTTAATATTTGGGTGAATACAATGACATTTTTATATTTTGAAATCACTCTGAAAATAGATGATTAAAGCAAAGTAACCATGTATTTTAATTTTAAAACAAATTCAGAAGTAAAATGTGACAACAATCATGCAATAATGGGAGAGGAAAATGTAAGTATACAGTTGTAAAGCTCTTATACGAGATTTGAAGTGGTAATATTATTTGAAATCAGACTTTCATAAGTCAAGATGCACATTATAAACTAAGAGCAAATAGCCATGAGTGAAAAAATAACTAAGAAGATAAATTAAAAGTATGAAAGGTGCTCAGTTGACCCAAGTGAAGGCAGAAAAATATAAGAAAGGAGAACAAAGAACAGATGGGAAACTATATTAATATCAAGGTATATTTCAGGACAAGGGATGGTGCCAAGAAAAAAGAGGGTCTTTCATAATGATTACAGGAGCAATTCATCAAAACAATATAATAACCCTAAATGTTATGCTCCTAATAACATAACTTCAAAATACATGAAGGAAAAAAATCTGAGAATTACAAGAAGAAACAAATTCACATTTATAGTTGGAGATCTCAACATCCCACTGACAATAATCAGTGAGAAGTAGATAGAAAATCAGTAAAAATATAGCCAACTTAAGCAACATTACCATAATCCTGACCTAATAGACATTTATAGAATACTCCATCATACATATTCCTTTCAAGTGAACATGCACTATTTACCAAAATAGACTATATCATAAACCATAGAAAAATTCTCAATAAAAAAGGACTGAAATCATCCACAATTCTTCTGACAACAATTATATTAAATTAGAAATGAGTAACATGAAAATCTGAAAAATCTTCAAATATTTGCAAATAATAAACATGACAGCAGAAATCAATGAAATAGAATAACAATCAGAAATAAAACTAAAATCCACTTTTTAAAAAGCAGTAATAAAATTAGTTCATTATTATCAGGAATTAAAAAGGGACATCACTACAAATCCTACAACTATTAAAAAGATGATTTTTAAAGTATTATAAACACCTCATTACGGTAAGTGTGGTAACTTAGATAAAGTGGACATATTTCTTGGAATATCCAAATTATCGAAGCTCTGAGTAGCTCTGTATCTATTTTTAAAATTGCATTCATAGTTAAAATATTCGCACAATAAAAATTTCAGACGTACCTGGCTCCACTGATTATTTCTACATTCAAGGAAGAAACAATAACAATTCTCAAAGTTTAGATAAAGAAAAAGGGATCAAATCATTAGTCTGGGTTCCTACCTCAAGAAACTGAAAAAAGGAGAGCAAAATACATTCAAGGTAAGCAAAAGAAAGGAAATAATAAAGATAAAAGCAGGAATTTATAACACTAAAAATATAAAAACAATGGAAGAAAACCAATAAATCAAAAGCAGCTTTTTTGAAAAGAAAATAAAAAATGATAAACATCTAGCAAGTTGACAAAGATATAAAAGAGAGAGACGTGTCACCAGTATGAGGAAGGAAACAGGAGTTATTACTGCAGATCATGTAGCCATTAAAAGAATAAGGGAATATTATGAACAACTTCACACTCATAAATTCAACAACTGAGAAGAAATGGATCAATTTCTCAAAAGTCACAAGCTATGAAACTCAATCAAGAAGAAATAGAAAATCTGATTAGTCTTACAATCATTAAATTAATTGAATACATAATAAAAATCTCCCGCAATGAGATGTTCAGGCCCTGATGGTTTTACTAGAGAATTCCACCAAACATTTAGGAGAGAATTGACACAAATTTTATGCAATCACTTCCAGAAAATAGAAGAGAAGGAAACACTAACTCATTTATGAAGTTAGTATTACCCTAATACAAAATTAAACAAAGAGTACAAAAAACCCCCAAACTATGGACCAATATCTCCCATAAACTTGGATGCAAAAATCCTCAAAAGTATTAGCAAATCAAATCCAAATGCATAGAAAGAATTACACGTTTGACCAAGTGGGATATATTCCAGAGATATATATCTGGTTCAATATCTGAAAATCAATTAATATAATAATTATATCAATAGGCTAAAGAAAAATCATATAATCATATAGATATCCTCAGAAAAATATGACACAATCCAACACTCATTCAAAAGACACGCCTATCACTCGGGAAATTGCAGTTCTGTGCCAGGAACCAGGGACAAAAACCAAATATATTTCATCTTGTGTATCCATAGGTTCTGCATCTGTGGATCCAACCTATCATGAATCAAAAATATTTAAAAAAAATGGAGTTCGTATTGAACATATACAGACTTTTATCATTATTGCAAATAATACTGTATAAGTATAATAATTATTTACATAGTGTTTACATGGTACTAGGCAATATAACTAATAATAGAGATGATTTAAAGTATATGGGAGGAGGCGCATAAGTTATATGCTAATACTATGCCATTTTATATCAGAGACTTGAACACCTGGGGATTCTGATTGTCAGTGGGAGGTTCTGGAACTCTGCCCCATTGATATCGAGGGATAACTGTACATGAAGTTGACGCTTGAACAATGTGAGCATCAGGAGCTCCCCTCCCCGACATATATGTGGATTTTTGTGCAGTCAAAAATCCACATATGACTTTTGACTCCCCAAAGCTTAACTACTAATACCCTGTTGAGTGGAAGACCTACTGATCACACAAACAGGTGAGTGAAAAAATCTTTGTATGTTATATGTATTATGTACTGTATTCTTACAATAAAATAAGCTAGAGAAAAGAAAATGTTATTAGGAAAATCGTAAGGAAGATAAAATATATTTACTATTCATTAAGTGGAAGTGAGTCATCATAAAGGCCTTCATTCTCATTGTCTCCATGTTGAGTGAGCTGAGGAGGAAGAGGAAGGGAAGGGTTTGGTCTTGCTGTCTCGGGGTGGCAGAAGAAAATCCACATATAAATAGATTTGCACAGTTCAAACCCATGTTGTTCAAGGGTCAATTGTATGCATATTTTATTAGATACACAATAAGGGATATTATGTAGCTACAATAATCAAGACAATGTTTATTAGCAAATAATAGATACACAGATAGATGGAACAGGATAAAGAACCCAAAAATAAACCCACACAAATAAGCCCAACTGACTAATAAAGGAATTCATTTCAACAGAGATGATAAAGCAATTTAATGGAGGAAGGATCGTCTTTTTAACAAGTGACGCTGGAACAATTTGGCATTCATAAGCCAAAAAACGAACATTGTCCTAAACATCACAGCCTACACAAAAGACTAACTCAAAGTGCATCACACACACAAATGCAAAACATAAATTAGAAAACCTTTTTAAAAAGACAAATGAAAATCTTCCACGATATATGGCTAGGCAAAAACTTCTTAGACTTGGCACAGAAATCATGATCTAGAAAGGGGAAGAAAAAATTGATAATAGGACTTCACCAAAACTTTTGCTCTGTGAAAGCCTATGTGAAAAGAATAAAAACCTGGGAGAAAATATTTATAAACCACGTATCTAAACAATGACTTGTATCTATAATGTATATAGAACACTTAACACTCAACAGTTAAAAATCAATCCAATGAGAAATTAGCAAAATATATTTCACTAAGTAGGACAGACAGATGATGAACATATGAAAAGACATGCAATATCATTAGCCGTTAGAGAAATGCACATTAAAATCCCAGTGAAATATCACTATACACCTGTCAAAATGGCTAAAACAAACAGGCAAACTAACAGTGATGACACCAAATCCTGGCAAAAATGCCACATAACTGGATAACTCATAGATTTTTGGTGGAAATATAAAATGGGACAATAGTATGTACAGCCTCTCTGGGAAAGGTTCAGCAGAAACACTTCTTACAAAACACTTACAGTATACTTATTATACAACCCAGGAATTACACTCTTGGGCATTTATCCCAGAGAAATGAAAACTTATGTTCACAAAAAACCAGTATGTGAATATTCACAGCAGTTTTGTTTATAATAATTGAAAACTGGAAACAGCTCAAATGTCCCTCAGTGGGCAAATGGTACAACTGTGGTACATGCATATGGAACACTCAGAAATAAAAAGGAACAAACTATTAATATGCTTAACAACTTTGGTGAACTCCAGGAATTTGTGCCCACCAAAAAAAAGAAAAATAAAGCCAATCGTAAGAAGTTACATGTGATATGATTCCATTAATATAGCACTCTCAAAATGACAAAATTATAGAGTTGGAAGACAGATTAATGATTGCCAAGGGCTCAAGATACAGGGAGAGGCTGTGACTATGAAGGTTAGTAAAGAATTGTTGATGGGTCTGTTTGTATCTTGACTGTGGCGGTGGTCACACAAATCTATAAGTAAGGTAAAATTTCATAGAAATAAATATCCACACACAGACAAATGAGTGCATGTAAAGCAGGTGAAATTTGAATAGAGGCAATGGATTGCATCAATGCCAGTGTCCCACTTTTGATACTGTACTCTTGTCATGCAATATGTTACCACTGAGTGAAATTGGGGGAAGAGTTTATGGGATGTGATTATTTCTTAGAACTGCATGTGAATCTATAATTATCGTAAAATAAAGAGTAAAAAATGTATAAATACCTCATATACTGGTGCTTAGTCTACCACTAAAATTTGGAGATGACTCAGAAGTTGTCTCCAGAACCTGAACTGAGCAGCCTAGCTGGGGTCTCAGGTGAAGGAGCCCTGCTCAAGGGGCTGGATTACCCCCATAAACTCAGGTTTAAGGTACAGCAAAGCCAGCCTTGGTGGAGAAGTGTGGGGTTGAAATATTTTGATAATTGATATTTTAATAGAAGCATTTCAGTAGTCATTATGAGGGGGGAAAGAGGAAAATCAGTAAATAAATGTAGAAGGAATGAACAAAATAGAAAAATCACCATAGTGTAAACTAGTAAAATAAGGGATTCAGATAAGGATCATCAAGAGATGCTGAAAAGCAGTAAAGGCAGGGTAATAAGGAACACGATATTCCTGCAGTCTCATAACATCACCCCATGGAGTGCTTGCGGACTGGAAAGGGTAAACATACCTTAGATAACGGAGCACCGTTACACATTTAGCTATGCAATACAATTAACATCACTAACAGAAACTTCCTAATATTATGTGCCTCTTGGTGCAAGGTGGTATGAAATACACAGAAGCCGTATTCTTGCCAAAAATATTTAGTACAAATCTAAACAAGCTTTTAAATCTAGTTTCTCAGTTGTATGAAATATGGAAAATAGAAGATTCAACCATGAATCCAGAATACAAAATATTCCACAAGCTCAGTTCCCTCAATAAATCAATACCACGACAAAAGAAAAAAGGAGAGGGCTTTCTTTATTGAAGAGACGCAATAACAAAATGTAATATGCGAATGTAGACTGTATTCTTGTTTTAATAAAATTATAAAAGTCATTTTTGAAGCACTTGGAGAAATTTGAATATGGACTGTGTACGAGATGATAGTGGGGATTAGTTTAATTTTCTTCGCTTTGATTATGGGGGTGTCATTTTATAGCAGGATATTTCCATTTTAAGGAGATATATAATGGACATTTTTTAGTGGTGAAATGTCATATTGACAGTATCTTCCTTCTGAAAGAAAAAGTATGGAAGAGACAAAAATAGATCAGAAAGAGCTTTTCCCCAGTGTCTCAGAGACGTTTTCTACCTGGACTGGATGTTGTGTACTGGATGCGCTCCGAATGTGACTTCAAAGGGAACGTAGTTGGGTGCTTACTAAGTGCCAGTCTTCTTACACAGCAGGCTTTTAGGGATTATCTCGTTTAGTCCGCACAGCAATCCTCTCAGTTGAAATGCAATAGATTGTCTATTAAGATTATCTGAAATAAGAATCTTCTCGGGCAGATGAATTGGTTCTGAGAGTCAGGAGAGTGCATCAGGAAGTGAGATCATGGAAAAGTGGCTTTCTTAAGAAGGGAGTGAAGCTTCAAACATGGATTCACTTTTGGACATGTAGCGAATCGAAGATTTGGATTCCTTAACCGAGAATGCTTTTAAGAAATTGAACTTCCTGGCCGGGCGCCGTGGCTCACGCCTGTAATCCCAGCACTTTGGGAGGCCGAGGCGGGCAGATCACGAGGTCAGGAGATCGAGACCATCCTGGCGAACACGGTGAAACCCCGTCTCTACTGAAAAATACAACAAATTAGCCGGGCGTGGTGGCAGGCGCCTGTAGTCCCAGCTACTTGGGAGGCTGAGGCAGGAGAATGGCGTGAACCCGGGAGGCGGAGCTTGCAGTGAGCCGAGATGGCGCCACTGCACTCCGGCCTGGGTGAAAGAGCGGGACTCCGTCTCAAAAAAAAAAAAAAAAAAAAAAAAAAAAGAAAGAAAGAAAAGAAATTGAACTTTCTTCCCGAGGACCAAATAGATTCATTTTGCCTTAACGAGATGTTAATACTTTGTGACTCAAGTGAGTTTATAAGTATTATATGTATTTCTACACAAAATGCAAATTTGAATAATAAAAATTTAGGAAATTTTTCCTGTATTCACTTTACATCCCTTAACTTCACATTCAGTTTTGAATGAGTAACAATAATGTGTGCAGAGCCTACCAAAGATGCAGAAAGGGAAAGCTCAGAACAAGCAGAAATAAAAGCTGTAACTTCTGAAAAAACTGAATTAATAGGCTGGGCGCGGTGGCTCACGCCTGTAATCCCAGCACTTTGGGAGGCTGAGGCGGGCAGATCACAAGGTCAGGAGATCGAGACCATCCTGGCTAACACGGTGAAACCCCGTTTCTACTAAAAGTACAAAAAATTAGCCAGGCGTGGTGGCGGGCGCCTGTAGTCCCAGCTACTCGGGAGGCTAAGGCTGGAGAATGGCATGAACCCAGGAGGTGGAGCTTGCAGTGAGCCGAGATCGGGCCGTTGCACTCCAGCCTGGGGGACAGAGGGAGACTCTGCCTCAAACAAACAAACAAATAAAAACAACAACAAAAAAACTGAATTAATAGCAAGTGTATTTCCTGATGCTGTTGTAGACCCAAAGAATACTAACGAACTGCTCCCTAATAGTTAGGCAGAACTTTTAGGCTTACATAGCATCAAGTAGTCTTTTCTAGGTATCTAAACGCTACAACCCCTAAAGACATGAATGGAATGGAGAAGAACCCAGTAGCTCCAGACATTGGACACAGTATACATTCTTCTTTGAATCTGTGTGATATTTTGAACTCTGTGTTGAGCTCTTCACATCTTGAATTAAATGAGGAAATTAATTGTGTTGATATACCTAATGCTAAATGACGAGTTAATGGGTGCAGCACACCAGCATGGCACATGTATACATATGTAACTAACCTGCACATTGTGCACATGTACCCTAAAATTTAAAGTATAATAAAAAAAGAAAGAAAAAAATGAAAGATTTCCAAAGGATTATGTGAAATTTTATTTTATTGTTTAAATTATTTTATTTTATTTTATTGTTTAAATTATTTTATTTTATTGTTTAAATTATTTTATTTTATTTTATTGTTTAAATTATTTTATTTTATTTTATTTTATTTTATTTTATTTATTTTATTTATTTTATGTTATTTGAGACTGAGTCTCTGTTGCCCAGGCTGGAGTGCAGTAGCACGATCACGCCTCACTGCAACCTCTGCCTTCTGGGTTCAAGCGATTCTCCTTCCTCAGCCTCCCAAGTAGCTGGGACTACAGGCATGCACCACCAAGCCCGGCTAATTTTTATATTTTTAGTAGAGACAGGGTTTCACCATGTTGGGCAGGCTGGTCTCGAACTCCTGACCTCAGGTGATTCGTATGCCTCGGCCTCCCAAAGTGCTGGGATTACAGGTATGAGCCACTGCGCCGGGCCAGATTATGTGAAATTTTAGATAAACACAGAAGAATTTATGAATGACGATGAACAGGAAATGGAGAAAATTCTAATATCATGCGGTACTTTGTCAGCCAGAGTCAGTGACAATTATTAGGCTGATATGTTGACTGCCATGCCAGGGATGATCAAATCTCTTACCATCCACTGTCTGGAGGTGCCAACACCTGCTGAACTGGCTTTCCAGATCAATGAATTACAGTCAGACACTGTGTAATAATGTTTCAGTCAGTGACAAACCGCGTATACGACAGTGATCCCATGGATTATAACAGAGCTGAAAAATTCCTATAGCCTCTTGAAGTTGTAGCCATCGTAACATAGTGCAGTGTTTTCCTCCCATGTTTGCGGTGATGCTGTGAAAATAAACCTATTGCACTACCAGTCTTATAAAACGGTAGCACGTAGAATTATGTACAGTATTAATGCTTGATAATGGCAATAACTATGTTGCTGGTTTATGTATTTACTATACCGTAGGTTTTATTGTTATTTTAGAATGTATGTTTCTACTTATAAAAAAGGTTAACTGTAAAACAGCCTCAGGCAGGTTGTCAGGAGTTATTCCAGAAGAAGGCACTGTTATCTTAGGAAGTGACAGCTCCATGCGTGTTACTGCCCCTGAAGACCTTCCAGTGGGACAAGTTGTGGAGGTGGAAGACAGTGACACTGATGCTCCTGACCCTGGGTAGGCCTCGGCTAATGTGTGGGCTCATGTTTTAATTTTTAACAAAAAAGTTTAAAAAGTCGAAAGAGTAAAAATTAAATTAAAAAAGCTTATAGGATAAGAATATAAAGAAAGAATTTTTTTTATAGCTGGACAATCTGTGTTTTAAACTAAGTATTATTACACAGTAGTCAAAAAGTAAAAAACAAAAACAAAAAAATACTAAAACGCTCATAGGGTAAAAAAGTTACAATAAGCCAAGGTTAATTTATTACTGAGGAAAAATATATTTTCTTATAAATTTAGTGTTGCCTAAGTGCACAGTATTTATAAAGTCTACGGTAGTGTACCGTAATGTCCTAGCCTTCACATTCACTCACCACTCACTCACTGACTCACCCAACGCCACCTCCAGTCCTGCAAGCTCCATTAGTGGTACCTGCCCTAAACAGGTGTACCATGTGTGTCTTTTATACTGTATTTTTTACTGCACTCTTTGTATGTTTAGACATGTTTAGATACAAACATACTTACCGTTGTGTTACAGTTGCCTACAGTATTCAGTACAGTTACATGCTGTGCAGGTTTGTAGCCCAGGAGCAGTAGGCTGTACCACAGAGCCCAGGCGTGTAGTAGGTTATGCCATCTAGGTTTGTGTAAGTGTACTTAGTGATGTTCGCACAGTGATGAAATTACCTAACAATGCATTTTTCAGAACATATTCCTATCATTAAGAAACACATGATATTTGGCCATGTTGGAATGGATTTTAGGGTCTCTAACAGTTGAGGATAGTCTAGTTCATGTAGATTTGAACCTGACAAAAGTGACTTATGAGAAATTGCAAGAATTCTTGGCAGGTTTCTTTTTATGAAGAACTCCCTTTGTGCTCATTTTGTCACCTTTACTTTTGTCACCTTTACTTTCTATAACAAAATAAACCATGTTACATGAAATAATTCTATTGAATTTTGATTTTGAGAGAGAACTTTCACCAGTTAACACGTTGCTGATTTTGTTTTCCTCTAAGTTTTTAGATTAATATCAGATTAGGCAAATTATACCATTAGTGATGAAACTTAATGTGAATGATTGTTTCTGAGGGGAAAAACCTCGAAACAGTGAGATTTTTACTCTCTCAGTTAAATAATGCAATGCTGATTGATTGAGTTTTAAAAACAGTTTTTATTTTTTAAAGCAGCAGCCGAATTCTCTTAAGTGGAGGGATCGCATAGGTGTCCTGGAGCTCCACCATGGTGAGTGGAGTCACACTTTACAATTTTATTTATCCAGCTTTATTTGTTGACTTACATTTAATAAGAATGATTTTGTCACAATTCTAAAAGGCGAAATGATTTCTAGAAAAAATAATATAAATATATTTACTAATATACCCGTCCTTTGCCAATCTCTTGTCCTGCACATGTGTTTAGAAGTAACAAAAACAAGCTGTGTCCTATGGCAAGCTTACGGGAGGCCCTCCCCTGGTTGGGCATGTTGGACTTGATCATACTGAACAAAATTCATCTCAGAGAACAAGAAATTACTGCAGACTTTAGCAGCACCCGAAGTGTTACTCTGTCTAATTGGATCATCGGAATAGTCAAGTTTTTAAAATTGTCACTCAGGCCGGGCGCGGTGGCTCACGCCTGTAATCCCAGCACTTTGGGAGGCTGAGGCGGGCGGATCACAAGGTCAGGAGATCGAGACCATCCTGGCTAACACGGTGAAACCCCGTCTCTACTAAAAATACAAAAAAGTAGCTGGGCATGGTGGCGGGCGCCTGTAGTCCCAGCTACTCGGGAGGCTGAGGCAGGAGAATGGTGTGAACGCGGGAGGCGGAGCTTGCAGTGAGCCGAGATCGCACCACACCACTCCAGCCTGAGCGATAGAGTGAGACTCCGCCTCAAAAAAAAAAAAAAAAAGTGTCACTCACAGAAATAGCTAACAGAAGAAATTGCCTTACAGGAAAAATCACGACTTAAGAAGGAAGTCACTTATCTTTGTAATAGAATGTGTCATCAGACTGAAGAAGCAGCAGCTCTCCAAGTTACTCCTCGCCATTAACCAAAATTTGGAGGTGTACACTTTCAAGGACCACAGTTATTTCTTAGAACATACAGTGCAATTTTAAAACTGTGTTCTTGAAAGGAATCGTTTACAAAAAGTTATAGCACAGGAGTTTTTCATGAAAATGCAAATGTCACTTCTGCTGAATGGAAGGCTAAAGAGAAAAGGCAAAGAAAGAGACTCAAGACATACGAAGTGGGCCCGGTCGTGGTGGCTCATGCCTGTAATCCCAGCACTTTGGGAGGCCGAAGCAGGCGGATCACCTGAGGTCAGGAGTTTGCGATTAGCCTGGCCAACATAGTGAAACCCTGTCTCCACTAAAAATACAAAAATTAGTGGGGCGTGGTGGTGGGCACCTGTAGTCCCAGCTACTTAGGAGGCTGAGGCAGGAGAATCGCCTGAACCTAGGGACAGAGGTTGCAGTGAGCCAAGATTGCACCACTGCCCTCTAGCCTTGGCAACAGAGCGAGACTCTGTCTTAAAAAAAAAAAAAAAAGTGGACCATTTCTAGGCATTGGATGGTTGCAGAGGAGATGCCCTCATGCACCTACAGAAGTGGAGGGCATGCCCACCAGGTCAGTCCCCATAAGTAGACGTGCAAAGCTCATCACGCCTCCCTGTTGTCACCAAATGTCTCAGACCTCCATGGGCTGCATGTGGACAAAGCTAGAGAATATTTTATGACAATGCTACAGCAAAAACCTGAAGATTTAAGCAAAATGCCTCTCTGTGATTATGGGGGTTGAAAAGCATAGCCAGGGAGCAGCCACTGTCATCAGACCAGCTGCTGCCATAAAATGCCTCACAGCCACAACTTCTGGATCTCTGAAGTTAAACCAGACTTTAGCTCTGAAGTCGGGCTAAAGTAAAAGACACTTCCTTAACTTAGAACTGTGAAGAATTTAATAGAGAAACAAGGCTGAACACATCTGAATTTTGAAGAGCTATTTATGACTTCATGTCGTATATGACAAATTTTATTATCGTTCTCTTTAAAATCGAGCAATTGATTCTCATCATCCAAAGGGTGAACCTGTTTTTAATAAATGAATTAACTATGAGACTGCTCATTAAAATGTAATATTGCAACTATCTATGGAAGAATAGATTATACAATTTTCAGCCAGCATAAGAAAAACAAAAAGATTTTATTTGAACTATTAAAAAAAGTAATTTTCCTGTCAACTCTGTACTTTTTTATATACATTTTTATAACTTTGCTTTAAAAATTTCTTGTGAAACGATTTGCAAATTACATATAGTATAATAGTAAAATAAAATACTTTGGCCAAAAAAAGGATATTTACTAATATGCAATGTAGCCACACTTTAGAAGCTTATACAGACTTTATAATTGTCCTTGAAGGCCAGAAGTTTGTTTTGTCAGTCACTCTGCTTCCTTGGGTTCCACTGGCTTGGAGGGGCTCTCACCAGCATCTTCCATTGTCCCTGAAAGGGTTGTAGAGGTGTGCATTAGTTTCCTGGGGCTGTCATAACAAAATACTGTATAGTGAGTGTGGCTTGACCAACAGAAATGTATGGTCTCACAGTTCTGGAAGCAGGAAGTCCAAAATCAAGGTGGTGGCAGGGTTGGTTCTTCTGAGGGCTGTGAGGGAAAGATCTGTTCCTGGCCTCTCTCCTTGGCTTGTAGATGGCTGAGCTATAGTTTTGTTATTTTTTCCCTCCAAATCCCATGTTGAAATGTGATCCCCAATGTTGGAGGTGGGGCCTGGAGGGAGGTGTTTGGGTCATGGGGGCGGATCCCTCATGGAATGGCTTGGTGCCCTCCCTGTGGTGATGAGTGAGTTCTTTCTCTGTGAGTTCATGCAGGAGCTGGTTGTTTAAAGGAGCCTGGTGCCTCCTCCCTCTCTCTCTTACTCTTTCACTCACCATGTGACATGCCTGCTCCCCCTTCACCTTCCACCATGAGTAAAAGCTTCCTGAGGGCTCACCAGAGGCAGATGCCAGCACTATGTTTCTTGTACAGTGTGCAGAACAATGAGCCAAAATAAACCTCTTTTATTTGTAAATTACCTAGTCTCAGGTATTCCTTTATAGCAACACAAAACAGACTAGTACAGCTGCCTTCTCCCTCTGTCTCTTCAGATCATCTTCCCTGTATGTATGTGCATCTCTGTGTCCAAATTTCCCCTTTTTATAAGGACACCAGGTCATATTGGATTAAGGCCCACCCTAATGACCTTATTAATTTCCCTTTTTATAAGGACACCAGTCATTGGGTTAGGGTCCATCCTAATGACCTCACTTGAAATCCTGCCTCCAGATGAGATCATGCTCTGAGGTATTAGGGATTAGGATTTAACATGAAAGTGAGGGGGATGCAATTCAGCCCATCACAGGGTGGATTCCCCTTCTGGGGCTGTGTTACTCAAACCATCCCAGGAAGGGTAACAGGGCCAGAGGAGCTGAAGAATTGTGAGCCCTTGTTTACCAGGCTTGGGGGGTTCTGTCTTGCACTACTACCCTGAAAACCCTACTGGTTGCCAATTGAATTTATCAGGGAACTCCAGTGCCCAGTGACAAAGGCTGGAAATCTTTTCTCCTAAAGATCTTTAAGGGTGCACCTGCCCTCACAGTCCCTCTGGCTCTGAGCTTGTGGCTCTATCTGTTCCCTATGCCCACATGAATGAGTTCTGCCTCAATCCCTGCTCCCCACTGTGGGGAACCAAGTACCAACCTCAACTTGCTGGGCAGATGCTACGTGACAGTCTAAGTGCTAAGCTCTTTACAGACATGGTCTCATTTTATCTTCCTCATAAGCCAAAGAGGTAAAGAATGACATTACTGTTTTACAGATGAGAAGGCCACATTGTGAAGAAATTAAGTGATTTGCCCGAGGTTTGTGTTGATCATTTCATTAAATGAAGTATCATATCTATCATACTTTTTCATTTATTAGAAACAAAATACCACTCATGGTAAGAACAAAGATGTGGAGGAGCAGTAGAAGAACAGAGAAGTAGGAGTGGAATTTCATGAGTCCCCAAACCGAAGACCAATACCTATGATTAGAAATACAGGGGACTCCATGTTCATAGTGGCGTTATTCACAATAGCCAAAAAGTGAAGTCACCCAGGTGTCCTTGTGTGGATGAATGGATAAGCAAAATGTGGTCCATGTGTATAATGAAACATTACCCAACCTCGGAAAGGAAGGACATCTTCTATACGCCAGAACATGGATGAACCTCGAGGACATTATGCTGAGTGAAATAAGCCAGGCACAAAAGAACAGACACTGTGTGATTCCACTTACATGAGGTGTCTGGAGTGCTCAGTCTCATGGAGACAGAAAATAGAATGGTGGTTGCCAGGGGATAAGGAGTTGGGGATAGCATGTTTGCATTTAATAGGTACAAAATTTCATTTTAAGAAGATGAAAGTTTTATAGATGGTTGGTGGTGATAGTTGCACAAAAAGGTGAATGCATTTAATGCCACTGGACTATATACTTAGAAATGACTAAGATGATGAGTTTTTATGTGTATTCACAACTTAAAAATAATTTTTAAAAAAGAAAGGAAAGGCACTGACCCCAACCCACACACTCAACAGTTTTTGAATCCAGATTTTCTGGCAATGATATAAAATGTCTTTTGATCCAATCACTCAGGAAGGTCAAGAGAAAACCCTGCATTTTTATTGGGAAGAATAGCCTCGAAGCAGGAGCATCGTTTAGAACCTGTCTGTGTGCATCTTCAGTAAACATTCGAGTAATAAATCACTGTTGCACTTGAAGGAAGGTCTCCAGGTTCTGGTGGTAGGTGTGGGGTTGGCAAGAGTGCAGCTTTAAGGTGTGAGCTCCGGGATTTCTCACTGAGGATAAGTTCATCTTTCTACCAGTTCTGCACAGTTGAGTCTAAGCACAGGTGGTGGTGGGGAGGTAAACATGGAGATGACCAAGGAAACACACTCTGACCCATCCCTGATTGCAAAATGAAAGGGTGTTGGATCCAGAATGTGGTTGGTACTTGATAGGTGCACTGTCCCTGACAAAAACGGGGCAGAAGGGTGACCTACACACTCCTATTTCTCATCTCCAGTTTGTTCCTTATCAACTACCACTTTCTCTTCCTGCCTCTCCTGAGTCTTGAAGTTTGTAAAGTCTGGTCTGGCTTACTCCTCATAGGTATCCAGCATTTAGTTTTGAAACATATCAACACTTGTACAAATGGCAGTTAGGGTGACTGTTATGAAAAGGAAATCTAATACACTATTCCTCCACTTGAAATCCTCCATGTCTCCCCATTCCCTGAGGCACATGATTGAAGCCCGAAGAACGCATGCCCCACCTGCTCCCTGCCCATTGGTCCAGCTGCCACCCAGACAAGGTCTGGCACCAGATCCATAGTCAGCAGTGCTGGCCCTGCAGCCTCTGCTAACGGGGCTCACCAGCCTGCAGCCTCGGCTCCTCCATACTCACCTGCCCACCACTACTAGCTCAGCCTACAACCTTAGCCAACTCCTTAGCCTCCAGGAAGACCTCCAGGTGGTTCCTCAACTTAGGTGTCTCTTCTAGCCTTAATCCTGGAAGTTGACTTGCTGGTTGCATTATGATTCCTAAGCCCCAGCTGTGGAGGGAGAGTCCCTGGAAGATGGGACAATGTCTTTGCCCCTGAACTTCCATCCCTGGCATAGTGCCAGCTTTTTCATGGAGGGTATTCAGTAAGCACTGCATGTGAAATGCATTGTGCCAAGTTATTTTGCCTCGTTTAACTCTTGAAAAGCAGGCTTCTGTGCAGACCAGGCTCAAATCCATGCTTCCAGGTGCCCTGTGCGGTGCCACCACAGTGTAGCACACAGACCTGCACGTGCCTACATGGCATTGATTCCAGGCCTTGGTTTCCTCTTTGGGAAGATAAAGTAACTGTACTAAATGCAGAGAGAAATTAGTTAACTTTATCACTTGCTTTTAGAATGATTCTTGAAATATGAATAAAAAATATAAATTTCTGGCTTATTTTGGCTTTTCTTTTCCTAGAGTAACTGAATTTTTAAAAATCAAGCAATGCAGGAAGGAATAAAAACAAATTCAGGTTTACATATATGAGACTGGCAGCACAATACAACTAACCTCTGCTAGTTGGTGACTAACAGTTGGAAATCCATCCTGGAAGTTCCCAAGCACATCAGTGTTGCAGAGGACCTTGAAAGCACAGCAAATGGGTGAGCACACATTATTAAACTTTTATTAGGTTGTCAGCCTTGTGTATCTCTTTCAAAAACGTGTAGCTCATAAAAACATTCTTCACTTATCTTCAGCTGATTTGATGCAATTTTCTTCAATGGTGCTTAGTTATATTTAATCCCTGTGCCATACTTATGTCCAAAAAAATGGGAAATAATGCAAAGCAGGCCATATTCTAAAATGAAAAGCATTAAATTAAGGTTCTAGGTTCCCTCAAAAAGAGCAAAGCAGAGTGGACCTCACCTTATATAGCATCTATCTCTAAACTTTGCATTTTATTTTGAAACTCTGCAAAGCAATAAAAAACTCATTAACTTTTATAGCCAGTCAGAAAGGTAGTAATAGCATCTGTAGCAATGGAGATGTAATTAGGCTTTTATTTAAATGTGGCAGGGAGTTTGTTCTCATTATACGAAATAAATGAACAACCACAAATCACCAGTGGATTCATGCTCCCTATGGTGCTGGTGCAAGTGGTCCAGGAACTTGCCCAGTGCTGCTTCCTTATGTGGCAACAGAGCCTGTGAGCCCCAGAGCCAGGGCTGGATGGAAACCAGCTTTCTGAAGGTTGAATAGTCACAGCAATTATATTAACGATTATAATCATGACAGAAAAGATTCTCCGTCCACATTGTTGTGTTAAAACAGAAAAAGAAAAAAAAAGTGTTGCAGATCATCAATGCAATTCTTAACTTGGTCATAGAAAAACACCGAATTTGATCATCCTCTTGTCTCTGCTGTAGCTAAGCTCCTTTCCTGGCCTCCAATTCCTGTTTCCTTCCCAATACAGCAACTTCCTTCTATCTGTATTATCTCCTTGCCCATTTAGATAGCCTCAGAAAAACATGGGGAAGAACCAATTTGAAAGGTCTCAGTGGGTTTCATCAGGTTCCTAACAGATAATAAATGCTGAGCTAAGGACCCTAGGTTCTTCCAAAAAATGATGATATTAAAGCTCTACATCCTCTTTTTGAAAGTATGTAAAACTACTTTAGTGGTTTTGATTCATTTTAATCTTATGTCAGCTACATTATTATGTAAGGGAAATTCAAAGATGAGGATAGAAATTTACTCAGAAAAAGTATAAATTGATTTCTGTTTAAAGATGATTTTCCGGCCGGGCGCGGTGGCTCACGCCTGTAATCCCAGCACTTTGGGAGGCCGAGGCGGGCGGATCACGAGGTCAGGAGATCGAGACCATCCTGGCTAACACGGTGAAACCCCGTCTCTACTAAAAATACAAAAAATTAGCCGGGCGAGGTGGCGGGCGCCTGTAGTCCCAGCTACTTGGGAGGCTGAGGCAGGAGAATGGCGTGAACCCCAGGGGGCGGAGACTGCAGTGAGCCGAGATTGCGCCACTGCAGTCCAGCCTGGGCGACAGCGAGACTCTGTCTCAAAAAAAAAAAAAAAAAAAAAAAAAAAAGATGATTTTCCTTAATCTCATCTCTCAAAACCCACAAATATATATGTATTACTAGGTATGTGTGTGTATATATATATATATATAAAATATATATATATGCACACATGTGCATATATATTTTTTGTTGTTGATTTGTTTGTGTATATGTATATGAATGTATACACATATGTGTATATACACACATATTTATACACTCATGTATATGCACACAAATCAACAATAAAAAATAGAGGGCAAAAAATCCAATTTATATATAACAAGAAAATGGCTACATTCTCAAAACATCTTGACTGGAGCTCGAGAGCCAATAAAAAGTTGATCTCTGCCACCTGAGACCTTGGGCCAGGATACACGTGCTCTTAAAAGGGCAGGTTCCGTGTTCACTTGTATGTTCCGGCCCCAGCTGCTTTCCCTGATGGAAGAGGGCCAGAGGCACACAGCGGGAAAGTGGAGAAGCTGGAAGGGCTTAAGAGTCTAAGTCTGGGGAAGGTGAAGGAGTGTCCCCAGGGCGAAGAAAGAGCAGGTTTGTTGGAGGGCACTCAAGAACACACCCACGTGAAAGCCGTAGATAGGCTTTCCCTATCCCGCATCCCGCCACACTCCCATCCCACCCCTCGGCAGTACTAGCTCAGCCAATGGGGCTACTGACTGTCCCTTCTCCAAGATGAGTCATATTGAGAAGAACGGCCTGGGCCCATGGAGAACAACTGCCATCAAACAATCAATTGGCAGCATCCATCAAATACCTGATGGAGGGAAAAAAGGAAAGACAGAGGCACATCGGGGCAGATATCACGAAAGACAGTTTTCAAGGACACAGAGAGGGATTCTCACCAACAGTGCTTCATTCTGCACAAAGATTCTATGCAGCAGGCAGCATTTTCTGCACCTGAAACGAGAACTGTCACGGAAGAGTCAGGATATTCAAGTAAGAGGCCGTGTGACAGTGGGAGAGGATGTGAACAGAGCTGTCAGAGTCCATTAGGACATGGAAAGGAGGAAGAACACTGCAGAAATAAAAAATCCATATGAAGCGACAACAAAGGAAAAACAAGACAGATGATATCATGAGGTCTTGACAAATAGACCTGGGAAAATCTCATAAACTACGTATTAAAGAGAACCAGGGAACTTAAAAATGCTTTTAGCAAAACAATGGCCAGGAGAGGGCAAGATAGACAAGGACAGCTCGGCTCTCAGCAGGCGCTTCTAACCCTCTCACTGTCCCCGCCGCCAGCCCTGGGGGAAGAACACTGTGTTTTTGTTTTTGTTTTTACTACAGATTCTTAAATATTTTAAATTTTGAACCATAGATATATGTTTCCATTTTAGCATTAATCAATAAAATGGCTGTTGGAAACTCAGTGAAGAACAATACAAGAAATGTGATAAACCCCACAATGGGTATATGACCATCTTTGATCAATTTTACAACTGCTACTGCTCACCCCTCAATGCCCATCAGTCTCTCACAGGAATGCACCAAGAGAAGAGAATCTCCAGCAGGAGGCCCAGAGGTGGAAGAGGCAGGGATGCGAAGAAGCAGAGGAGGCTGGAAGGAACCGGGCGAGAAGTGGGGACAGCGGGAGTGTAAGTGAGAGCCAGTGAGGCCGCTCACGCAGGGCACCCGGCCAGGTGAAAACTTTTAGAATTTGCTTCAAAAGTCAGTGAAGTGCTCTAAGCAGCACAGTGTCAAAATCAGATTTAAAGTTGTCAAAGGGCATTTTTAATGCAAAAAGCAACAGACTGGGCAAAAGTGTTTTTAATATGTGTAACCAAAAAAAGAGAGTTAAAAACTAGTATTTTTTTTCAAAATGTTCCCAGAAATAACATAAATAAAATTAGTTAGAAAACAAAGCAGACAATTAAAAGAAAAAGAGATACAATTAGTCGATAAATCTATGAAAAAATGGTCACTGTATCGTAAGGCCTGAAATTTCATTTCCCACCTTAACGCCTTCGACCCTCACAAGGCCCCAAGGGTCTAATCCTAAGTCCTTATGCTCACACCAGACGTGTACCCCCGCCAGTGGGAAAGGCTCCTTGCCTGGCCAGTTCCCCATTAGCTGGACTAGCTTCACTTAACCTGATCCTCACTCTAATGGGCTTCGCTTCCCTGCCAGCTCATGAAATTATTCAAAAAAGCTAGTCACATCCTCACATGGGGCCTGGAGGCACCTCAGCATCTTGTTAGTTCAAAGCCTGCCTCCTTTTCACTAGAGTCCCTGCAGGCTCTCTGTGTTCCCATGTGCAAGTCCCTTATGGCCCTGTGTAAAATGCAATGTCCTCCTCCCCGAGGCCTTGAGCATATGTAAGCAACAAACCGCTATGAGCTTATCTGTCCAGTCCCGCAGGGTGGATGCAAGTGGTCAGAACAGTCACCTCATTTGTAATCAGAGAAACATTAACTGAAGCAGCAATGATACGGAATATTTTTACCCAATGGATTCATAAAATTATGAACCAGTATTAACTACCTGTGTTGGCAGTGGTTTGCATGGGAATATATATTGATGGTTTTTCAGGGGATATCTATTAAAATATACAAATCCTGTGACCTCTGATTTACCTTCTAGAAACATTTACTTAGATGCACTGTTGGTAACAGAGAAAAAATTGGATAGAGCTTAAATAGCTACTAAAAGACAATGGTTAAATGAGTTTTGATATGACAACTGATAGGCAATTTTGTGGACTGGCTCATTTCCAATCTTCTTCCCTTGTGTCTCCCTGGACTGCAGAGACCAGAAAGCCAGAAACTACATTTGCTAAGCTCCCTGGATTACAGGCATGACTTAGCTCTGCCAATGAGATGTACTTATGTGTGATTTGACTTTGGATCTGTTTTAGGTGAGATAGAAATAGCATAAAGCAGTGTTTTAAAAAATACTTTATTGTTTAGAATGGTGTTAAATTTACAGAAAAATTGCGAAGCTACAGAGATCTTGCATATGCCAGCATAACCTTTTCCCCCTATTATTAACATCTTACATTCTTAAAGTTAATGGATCAATAGTGATATATGATTGTTATTAAGTAAATACCACAGTTTATTCAGATTTCCATTTATTTATTTAGAGACAAAGTTTCGCTCTTGTTGCCCAGGCTGGAGTGCAATGGCACGATCTTGGCTCACTGCAACCTCTGCCTCCCGGGTTCAAGCGATTCTCCTGCCTCAGCCTTCTGAGTAGCTGGGATTACAGGCATGCGCCACCACGCCCGGCTAATTTTGTATTTTTAGTAGAGACGGAGTTTCTCCAGGTTGGTCAGGCTGGTCTCGAACTCCCAACCTCAGATGATCTGCCCGCCTCGACCTCCCAAAGTGCTGGGATTACAGGCGTGAGCCACAGCCCCTGGCCCAGATTTCCTTATTTTTTGTAGAACTTCTTTTTCTGTTCCAGGTGTCTGTTCATAACTCCACACTGCACTTACCTCTCATGGCTCCTTAGGCTCTCTTGGTGGTGACAGATTCTCTGAGTTTTCTTGTTTTTGATGACACTGATAAATTTGAGGAGTAACGGTCATACTTGGTAAGATGTCCCTCGAATGGAATTGATGTGAATTCTTTCTCTGATTAGGCAGGTGCCAGCATGGCCCACCACTGCTGATGTGGACCTTGGTCACCTGGCTCCGGGAGTCTTTGTCAGGCTTCTTCACGTAAAGTTGCTCTTTTTTTCCCACTTTCCACACCGTACTCTTTGGAACGAAGCACCTCGTGCTTAAGGAGTGGGGATTTAAGCCCACTAGGATAGTTTCAGCACTCAAAAAACGTATGCTTTCAGAAAGACAAGCATCACATGTTTTCACTTATTTGTGGGATCTAAAAATCAAAACACATGGAGATAGAGAGTAGAAGGATGGTTACCAGAGGCTGGGAAGGGGAGTGGGGTGGGGGGTGGAGGGGATGTGGTGAAAGTTAATGGGTACAAAAAATAGAATAAATGAATAAAGCCTAGCATCCGATGGCACAACAGGGTGACTATAATCAATAATTCAATTGTATATTTTAAAATAACTAAAATAGTATAATTGGATTGTGTGTAACACAAAGGATAAATGCTTGAGGGGATGGATACCCCATTCCCCATGATGCAATTGTTATTTATTGCATGCCTGTATCAAAACATCTCATACGCCTCATAAATATATATACCTACTATGTACCAACAAAAATAAAAAATAGAAATCCTGCGCTTTACCTATTTACCCCTCCCATCCCCTCTGGCAACAACTATTTTTACTGACTCCATAGTTTTGCATTTCTTTGAACCTCATATAGCTGGAATCATATGCTATGTAGCCTTTTCAAATTGGCTTCTTTCACTTAGTAATATGCATTTAAAATTTAACCATGTCTTTTCATGGCTTGATAGCTCATTTCTTTTTATGGCTGAATAACAGTCACTTGTGTGGATGCTCTCTACTTTGTTTACCTCGGTTGCTTTCAGTTTTGGAGTTTATGAATGAAGCTGCTAAAACACACTTTCATGCAGCTTTTGGTGTGAATATAAGTTTTCAAATCAATTCTTACTAGGAACTTGATTGCTAAATCACATAGTAAGACTATGTTTAGCTTTGCAAGAAACTGCCTAACTATCTTCCAATGACTGCACCATTTTTCATTCACACCAGCAGCAAAAGAGAGTTCCTCCATACTGAATCCTCTCCAGCATGCGGTGGTGCAATTTTTGCAGATTTTATCTACTCTAATGCATGTCTACCTGTATGTGGTTTCAATTTGCAATTCCCAATTGGGAAATGATTTCAAAAATTATTTTAGGTTGCCATTTGTATATTTTCTTTGCTGAGTTTTCTGTTCAGATCTTTTAACTTCATTTTAATTGAGTTGTTTGCTTTCTTATTGTTTAACTGTAAAAGTTCTTTGTAAGCTTCAGATATAAGTTCTTTATCAGACATATGTTTTGCAAATATTTTCTCCAAGTCTGAGGCTTATTTTTTTATTATCTTGCAATGTCTTTGGCAGAGCATAAGCTTTTAATTTTAATACAGTTTAACTTACCTATTTTTCTTTCATCCACCATGTTTTTGATGTTGTGTTGAAAAACTCATTGCCAAACCCAAGGTTACCTACATTTTCTCTATTTTCCTCTAAAAGTTTCAAAGTGTTGCTATTTACATTTAGGTTTATGATTCATTTTGAGTTACTTTTTTTCTTTCTTTCAGCTATATTGAACTATAACTGACAAATAAAAATAATATACATTCAAGATGTACAATGTGATGTGCATATACTATACACGTTCATTGTGTAATGGTTACCACCATCAAATTAATCAACCTATCCATCACCACAGAGTTACCCTTTGTGTGTGTGTGTGTTGTGATAACACTTAAGATACTTTTTCTTAGCAAATTTCTAGTAAATAATATTATTAACTATAATTATCATGTGGTATATTAGATACTCAGCAATTATTTATCTTATAACTGAAAGTGTGTACCCTTAAATCAACATCTCCCCATTTTTCCCACCCCTCAGACACTGGCATGCACTGTTCCACTCCTTGCTTCTATGAGTTGCACTTTTTAGATTCATATATGTCAGATCATACAGTATTTGCCTTTCTGTATCTGGCTTATTCCACATAGCATAATGTCTTCCAGATTCACTTATGTTGTCACAAATGGCAGGATTTTCTTCTTTTATTATGGCTGGATAATATTTCATTGTATATATGTGTGTATATATGCATCATATATATGTATATACATGCATCATATATATGTATATACATACATCATATATATGTGTATATATACATCATATATATGTATATATACACATTGTATATATGTGTGTATATATACATCATATATATATGTATATATACACATCATATATATGTGTATATAGACAATAGTTTCTTGATCCACTCATCTGTCAATGGACACAGGTTATTCCATGTCTTCCCTATTGTAAATAATGCTGCAATAAACATGAGGGTGTAGATAGCACTTCAAGATATTTTATTTCCTTTCACTATCCTTTTCCTTTTCTTTGGATATGTACCTAGGTATAGGATTGTTGGATTATATAGTAGTTCTATTTTTAATAGTTTGCAGAACTAACAATGTTTTCTATATAAATTGACTATATCAATTTATATACCCACTGACAGTGTACAAGGATTCTCTTTTCTCCACATCCGCACCAACACCTGTTAGTTCTTGTCGTTTGGATAATAGCCATCCTTACAGGTGTGAGGTGATGTCTCAGTCTCACTGTGGTTCTGATTTGCATTTCCCTGATGATTCATGATGTTGAGCAGCTTTTCATACACCCGTTGGACAGTTGTATGTCTTCTTTGAAAAAATGTCTGTTCAGGGCATTTGCCCATTTTTCAATACGTTACTATCATCATCATCATTATTATTATTAATTTGCTATTGAGTTGTATGTGTATTCAGTATTTTGAATATTAACCCATTATCAGATATATAGTTTTTAAATATGTGCTCCCATTCTGTAGCTTGGCTTTTTGTTTTGTTGATTGTTTTCTTTGCTGTGCACAAGATTTTTAGTGTGATGTATTCCCATTTATTTATTTTTGCTTTCATGCTATGTGCTTTTGGTGTTATATCCAAAAAATATTGCCAAGGCCAATGTACAGAAACTTTTTCTCTCTTTTTTCTTCTAGGAATTTCACGGTTTCAAGTCTTACATGTAAGTTTTCTTTTTTTTTTTTTTGAGATGAAGTTTCCCTCTTGTTGCCCAGGCTGGAGTGCCATGGTGTGATCTCAGCTCACCACAACCTCTGCCTCCTAGGTTCAAGTGATTCTCCTGCCTTAGCCTCCTGAGTAGCTGGGATTACAGGCATTACAGGCATGCACCACCACGCCTGGCTAATTTTTTTTTTTCTTTTAGTAGAGATGGGGTTTCACCATGTTGGTCAGGCTAGTCTCGAACTCCCAACCTCAGGTTATCCACCTGCCTCGGCCTCCCAAGATGCTGGGATTACAGGCATGAGCCACTGCGCCTGGCCCATATAAGTTGTTAATCCTATTTCAAGTTAACTTTTGCATTTGGTATAAAATAATGGTTCAATTTTATTCTTTTGCATGTGGTTATGGAGTTTTCCCATCATTTATTAAAGAGAGTATCCTTTACCCATCGTGTATTCTTAGGACTCTTCTCAAAGGCATTTAATTTGGGGCTCTCTATTCTGTTCTAAGAGCCTGTTTTTATGCTAGTATCATACTGTTTTTATTTACTGTACCTTGGCAATATAGTTTGAAATCAGGAAGTATAATTCTTAACAGCTTTGTTGCTCTTTCTCAAAATTGCTTTGCCTATTCAGAGTCTTTTGTGATTCTGTACAAATTTTAAGATTGTTTCTTCTATTTCTGTGAAAAATGTCATTGGATTTTTGATAGGGATTACATCAAATCTGTATATCACTTTGGGTAGTATGGATCTATTTGCGATGTTAATTCTTTCAATTAGTGAACATGAGCTATCTTTCCAGTTATGTGTGTCTCCTTTAATTTCTTTCATCAGTGTTTTATACATTTCAGCATACATATCTAGATATTTCACATGCATGATTAAATGCATTTCTAACTATTTTATCGTTTTTGATGCTATTGTAAATGGGACTGTTTTCTTAATTTTTTGGATAGTTGGTTGTTGATGTATAGAAAACCCACTGACTTTTGTATGTTGATTTTGTATCCTGAAACTTTACTGAATTTAGTTATTAGTTCTAACAGTTTTTTCATGGAGTCTTTAGAGTTTTCAATATTTAAGATCATGTCATCTTCAAACCGAGATAATTTAATGTCTTTCTTTCCAATTTGGGTTCCTTTTACTTACTTTTCTCTCTTAATTGCTGTGGCTAAGACTTCCAGTACTATGTTGAACAGAAGTGGCAAGAGTGGGCATCTTTTTCTTGTACCTGAGTTTAAAAGAAAAGCTTTCAGCTATCATCACTGAGTATGATGTTAGCTGTGGGATGGTCATATACGGCCTTTCTTGTATTGAGGCACAGTTCTTCCATATGTAATTTGTGAAGTTTGTATCATGAATTTATGTTGAATTTTGTAAAATGCTTTTATTGAATCTATGGAGGTGATCATATGATTGTTATCCTTTATTCTGTTAATGTGGTATATCGCAATTATTGTTTTGCACATTATGAAACATCCTTGCATCCCAGGATAAATCCTACTTGATTATAGTGTATGATCCTTTAAATGTGTTGTTGAATTTGGTTTGCTAACATTTTGTTGAGGAGTTTTGCATCTATGTTCATCAGTGATTTTGTCCTGTAATGTTCTTTTCTTGTAGTGTTCTTAGTTAGCTTTGGTATAAAGATAATGCTGGCCTGATAAAATTAGTTTGGAAGTCCTTCCCACTCTTCAACTTTTTGGAAGATTTTGAGGAGAATTGCCATGAATTCTTCTTCAAATATTTGATAGAATTCACCTTGAAGCCATCTAGTCCTGAGATTTTCTTTTCTTTGAGGTTTTAGATTACAGGTTTAATCTCCTTTCTCATTATTGTTCTGTTCATATTTTCTCTTTCTTCGTGATTAACTTTTTGCAGGTTGTACATTTCTAGGAATTTATTCATTTCTTCTAGGTTATTCAATTTGTTGGTGTATAGTTGTTCATAGTGGTCTCTTATGATCCTTTGTATTTCTGTGGTATCAGTGGTAATGCCTCCTCTTTCGTTACGTTTTCTTTATTGTGAGCCATCTTTTTTGTTCTTGGTTACTCTAACTACAGTTTTCTCAACTTTGCTTATCTTTTCAAAAACGCGACTTTAGTTTTGTTGATATTTCCTATTGTGTTTCTAGTCTCTATTTTATTTCTTTTTATTCTAATATATATTTTTTAATTTTCTGACTTTGGACTGAGTTTGTGCTGCTTTTCTGGTTTTTTTTGGGCTAAGTAGCTTGTATATTTGAGATTATTCTTATTTCTTAATATAGGCATTTATTGCTATAACGTTTGTTCTTAAAACTGTGTTTCCTGCATCCCATACGTTTTGGTATGTTGTGTTTCTATTTTTACTTGTCTCAAGATACTTTAAAATTTCTCTTTTGATTTCTTATTTGAGCCATTGATTTCAGGAGTATGCTGTTTAATTTGTACATATTTGTGAATTTCCCAAAATCTCTTGTGTTATTGATTTCTAATTTCATACAACTGTGGTCAGAAAAGATACTTGATATGATTTCAACACTCTTAAATTTGCTAAGAATTGTCTTATATCCCAGCATATGATCTATCTTAAAGAATGTTCCATGTGCTCTGGAGAAGAGTAAGTATGCTACTGCTGTTAGACAGAAGGTCAAGACCTTCTGTTGGGTCCCTAGGCTAATGGGATTACTTCTGAGATTGCAGTCAAGTGGAGTCAGAGCTGAGTTACAACTGCTGCTGGGCCCACAGTGGGGACCATGTTTAGTGGGCCTCTTCCCAGGTGCTCAAGCTGGCATGGATTATACCTCCATGACTTTGGTCAGTAGGGCTGGTGATGGGACAAGTGTCTGTCTACTCAGGGTCCATAGTTGGTTGTTACCAGGTGTGTATACCGGTGCGGATCCTTCTAGGTCCTTGGGATAGCTCCTCCTGGGTCACTGGGTAAGTCCCTGGGCAGGCATGACTGCACAGGTAAGAGTGACTGGAGAAGAGTTACAGGGCCATTTTGGAGTCTACTGTGGTATCAAGGTAAACAAGCCTGCCTCCCTGGGTGTGAAAGATTGAGCATGCCTCCTGGGGGGTCTTTGAGTGGGAAAAACTGCTCTCAGCTCACAGATGAGAAGGCCTAGAGCCAAGTTACAAAACTATTACAGGACCTTCTGTGGGTCTGAGATTGGTAGACCTTCTCTGAATGCACAGATAGCTGTATCTCCTGGCAAGACTGTGCTTGGGCAAGAATGCTCTCAAAACACAATTGAGAGGGTCTATGGCTGAGTTACAGGACTGCTTCAGAGTTCACTGCCCAGGCTGAGGTCAGCGAGCCCATCACCAGAGGGAGCAGTGCCCGTGACTCCACCCCAGTCCTTTGGCAGATGACTGTGGTAGCAGGATCAAGGCCAAACAGGCTTATAGCCGAGCCCACAAGGAGATGAGGCTGATTCCAGACCTATTGCCTGCACCAACAGTCAGCAAGCCTGCCACCTAGATGCAGGCCTCCCCTTTCCTCAACCTCCTAGGTTTTAAGCCAGACCAGGGTTTCACAACCTCCCACCTGGATCCCAAAGGCTCTTTTGTCTAAATAAATCTCTCAATGTATTTAAATATTCTTTGATTCCTGTCATCAGAGTTTAGTAGTTTCCTGCATATAGATTTTGTACATATTATGTTAGCTGTTTACCTAAGAATGTCATTTTTGGTGCCATTGTAAATGTTTTTGTGAGTATAATTTTGAATTTCAAATGTCCATAGTTGGTGTATGGAAAACAAATGACTGTTGAATATTGGCCTTTTATCCTGTGATCTTGCTGTAATCACATCAATACCAGGACTTTGTTTTGACCATTTCTTAGGATTTTATACATAAATAATCATGTCATCTGTGTATGCAATAGACTGAATAATAATTACCAAAGCTAACCAAGTCCTAATATTTGGAACCAGTGAATATTATGTTACGTGGCAAAAGGGATATTGCACATGTGGTTAAAAGATGGGGAGATTGTCTGAGATTGTCCAGAGTGCCTGAAATATAATTGCAAGTGTCCTTATAAAAGGGATGCAGAAGTAGCTTTGATTATGGGTAGGAGAAGGCAATGTGATGAGAGAAATGGTGATTGGAGTGATGCGGCCACACTTCAGGGGATGCAAGCAGCCACCAGAAGCAGAAAGAAGCAAGGAACAGACTCCACTCTGCAAGTGACCAACCCCAATAACACCTTGATTTTAGTCCTATGTCTTAGTCTGTTTTGGGTTGCTATAACAAAATACCACAAACTGAGTAATTTATAAAGAAAAGAAATTATATTTCTCACAGTTCTGGAGACTTGGAAGTACAATATCAAGGTGACAGTATCTGGTAAGGGCCTTCTGGCTATGTCACCCATGGCAGAAGGCAAAAGGTGAGAGATGGTGAGAGAGCTAAGAGGGAAGCCAAACTCATCATTTCATCAGGAACCCACTCCCACAATAACTAACCCACTGCCACAATAATGGCACTAATTCATTCATAAGGGAAGAACCCTCATGACCTAATCACCTCCTAAAGTTCCCACCTCAGCATTGTTGCATTGGGGAATAAGTTTCCAACACATGAACTTTGGGGTACACATTCAAGTCATGACACCCTATATGACTAATTTTGGACTTTTAGCCTCCAGAAATGTAATAGAATAAGGATGTATCATTTTAAACCATGGACTTTGTCATAATTTGCTACATCAGCAATAAGAAACTAACACAATCAATAAAGACAGATTTATTTCTTCCCTCTGTACCTACACAATTTTTACTTCCTTTCTTGTCTTATTGTATTAGCTATGACTTATAGTATAATGTTAAATGGGAGTGGAGGGAAAAGATCTCCCTGCCTTGTCCCTGAACTTAGGGGGAAAGCTTCCAGTTTCTTACCACGAAGTAGTATGATGTTAGCTGTAGGTTTTTTGCAGATGTTCCTTGTCAAGTTGAAGCTGTTATCCTCTATTCCTATTTGCTGAAAGTTTATATCAAGGATGGGTACTGGACTTTGTCTAGTGCTTTTTCTGCATCAATAGATATTGTATTAGTTCATTCACACACTGCTATAAAGAACTACCTTAGACTGGGTAATTTATGAAGAAAAGAGATTTCGTTGACTCACAGTTCTGCAGACCTAACAGAAAGCATGGCTGGGAGGCCTCAGGAAACTTAAAAACATGGCAGAAGGAGAAGGGGAAGCAGGCACGTCTTACCAGGGCGACCCCATGATCCCATCACCATCAGGCCCCTCCTCCAATTCGACATGAGATTTGGGCAGGGACACAAATCCAAACCCTATTATTCTGCCCCTGGCCCCTCCCAAATCTCATGTCCTTTTCACATTTCAAAATACAATTATCCCTTCTCAACAGTCCCCCAGTATTAACTCATTTCAACATTAACTCAAAAGTCCGAAGTCCAAAGTCTCATCTGAGACAAGGTAAGTCCTTTCCACCTATGAGCCTGTAAAAATAAAATAAAATAATTAGTTACTTCCAAGATACAATGAGGGTACAGGCATTGGGTAAATGCTCCCATTCCAAATGGGAGATATTGGCCAAAACAAAGGGGCTACAGGCCTTATGCAAGTCCAAAACCCAGCAGGGCAGTCATTAAATCTTGAAACTCCAAAATAATCTCCTTGGACTCCATGTCTCACATCCAGGGTACACTGACGTAAGGGGTGGGTTCTCCAAGCCTTGGGCAGTTCCACCCCTGGGGAGGAGCTGTGCAGGGTACAGCCTCTGTGGCTGCTTTCATGGGCTGGTGTTGAGGGCCTTTGGTTTCTATAGGTGCACAGTGCAAGCTGTTGGTAGAGCTATCATTCTGGGATCTGGAGGATGGTGGCCCTATTCTCACAACTCCACTAGGCAGTGCCTCAGTGGGGACTTTGTGTAAGGGCTCCAACCCCACATTTCCCCTCTGCACTGCCCCAGTGGAGATTCTCCATGAGGGCTCCACCCCTGCAGCAGAATTCTGCCTGCACACCAGGTGTTTCCATACGTCCTCTGAAATCAAGGCAGATGTTCTCAGACCTCAATTCTTGTCTTTGGCACACATGCAGGCTCAACACCATATGGAAGCTGCCAAGGCTTGGGGTTTGCACCTTCTGAAGCCACTGCCTGAGTTGCGCCTTGGCCCCTTTTAGGCATGGCTGGTGCTGGAGTGGCTGGGATGCAGGGTTCCATGTCCCAAGGCTGCACAGAGAAGCTAGGCCCTGGGCCTGGCCCACTAAATCATTTTTCCCTTCTAGGCCTCCAGGCCTGTGATGGGAGGGGGTGCTGTAAAGGTCTCTGAAATGCCTTGGAGACTCCATTCTTGGCTATTAACATTTGGCTCCTCTTTACATATGCAAATTTCTGCAGCAGGCTTGAATTTCTCCCCAGAAAATGGGTTTTTCTTTTCTATCACATGGTCAGTCTGCAAATTTTACAAACTTTTGTGCTGTTTCCCTTTTAAATGTAAGTTCCAGTTTCAAATAATCTCTTTGTTCATGCATATGACTGTACATGTTTAGAAACAGCCAGGTCACCTCTTGAATGCTTTGCTGCTTAGAAATTTCTTCCACCAGATACCCTAAATCATCTCTCTCAAGTTCAAAGTTCCACAGGTCTCTAGGGAAGGGGCAAAATACCACCAGTCTCTTTGCTAAAGCATAGCAACAGTGACCTTTACTCCAATTCCCAACAAGTTCTTCATCTCCATGTGAGACCACCTCCACCTGGACTTCGTTGTTCATATCACTATCAGCATTTTGGTCAAAACCATTCAACAAGTCTCTAGGAAGTTCCAAACCTTCCCACGTCTTCCTTTCTTCTTCTGAGCCCTTCAAACTGTTCCAACCTCTGCTCTTTACCCAGTTCCAAAGCCGCTTCCACATTTTCAGGTATCTTTATAGCAATGCCCCACTCCCAGTACCAATTTTCTGTATTAGTCTGTTCTCACACTGCTATAAAGAACTACCTGAGACTGGGTAATTTATGAAGAAAAGAAGTTTAATTGACTCACAGTTCTGCAGGCTTAACAGGAAGCATGGTAGGGAGGCCTCAGGAAACTTATAATCATAGCAGAAGGCAAAGGGGAAGAAAGCACATCTTACTGTGGTGACGGGAGAGAGAGAGCAAAGGGGAAAGTGCCACATACCCGTAGACCATCAGATCTCATGAGAACTCACTCTGACAACAAAAAAAGCATGGGGGAAATCTTCCCCCATGATCCAATCACCTCCCACCAGGCCCCTCCTCAAATTTGACATGTGATTTGAGTAGGGACACAAATCCAAACCATATCAGATATGGTCATATAAATTTTATTTTTTTACCTGTTGATGTGGTAGATAGCATTGTTTTCCAGTGTTGAACCAGCTTTGCATATCTGAAATAAATTGGTTGTGGAATACAATTCTTTTATACCTTGTTGGATTCAAGTTACAAATATTTTTTGAGGATTTGTGTATTTGTTCCTGAGAGATATTAGTCTATAGTTTTTCTTACTCTTACTAATAATGATTTATCTGATTTTAGTATCAGAGAAGTGCTGGCCTCATAGAATGCATTAGAAAGTGTTCCCTCTGCTTCTATTTTCCAGAAGAGATTGTAGAGAATTATTGTATTTTCTGTCTTAAATGTGTGATACAATGCACCAGTGAAACTATCTGATCCTTCTGCTGACATTCTTGGAAGGTTATTAACTCCTGATTTATTTTTTATACATATTGACCTGTAATGATTATCTATTTCGTCTTTGATGAGTTTGGTAGTTTGCATTTTGCAAGTAATTGGCCCATTTCATATAAGTTATCAAATTCGGGGTCACGGAGTTATTCATCATATTATTTTACTATCTTTTCACATCGAAGGGATTCCTGCTGATGACATATCTTAAATTTCTGATATTAATAATTTTGGTCTTCTCTGTATTTTTCTCAGTCTGACTAGAAGTTTATCAATTATATTGATCTCTTTAAAGAACTAGCTTCTGATTTTATTTTCTCTTATTTTCCATTTTTTATGTTCATCGACTTCTGCTCTAATTTTGCTTATTTGTTTGCTTTAGGCTTAAATTTTTTTTTCTATTCATAATTCCCAAATGTGGAAGCTTAGATTATTGATTTTAAATCTTCTTCCTTTGTAATATATGCATTTAATGCTATAAATTTTTCTCTAAGTATTATTTTCATTGCATTCTACATATTTTGATAATTTGAATTCTCATTTTCAGTTAGGTCAAAATATTTTGTAAAAATTTTTCTTGAGGCTCCTTCTTGACCCATGTGTTATTTGAGGTTAATTTATAAGCATTTTAGGATTTTTGTGGTATATTTCTGTTGTTAATTTCTATTTTAATTCTATTGTCATCTGAGTTTATATTTTATATTTAATTTTTATTTAAACAAATACGTTAAATATGTTAAGGTGTGTTTTATGGCCAAACATGTGGCCTTTGTGAGTGTTTCAATGTGAGCTTGAGAAGAATGTATATTCTGCTGTCGTTCAATGAATTATTCTATAAAAGTTAATTAGATTCAGTTGATTGATGTTTCAGTTCAGTTCAACTTACATCTTGTTGGAGAATTAGCCTCATCAATCTTTGTGTAAGTCTCTGCTTTATCCCTGCTATTTTTTTTTCTTTGGAAGCCTGCTTTGTCTTAAGTTAATAGCTGCCCTGAGAGCATCCTGAAAGTTGGAATGGGTATGTGGGGCAAGACTCTGATGAAGCTGGGATCGTTAAGCCCCTACATTCTGATGAATCTTCTTTGCCAGTAGAAACAACTCTCCAGCCCAGTAGGAATGGCTGCTCTGAACCTATTTGGGGCAATTAACACTGTATAGCCTGAGGTGACTGCAATGGGCCCCCTGAGGTAGTTGCCATGCAAAACACAGCTGATTTTTTTCAGGACCCACCCCATAACTACACTCACATCACAACAGGACTCTAAAGGCGAGGTAGAAAGTGTGACCCATGAAGAGGCGTGACACACTCCAAGGGAATTAGTTGTGTTTTCTTATTTATACAGACAAAAATCCAGGCTATATGTGCAGAAATGAATGGTAAGTGTGTGGGCTAATGAGAGAAAGTTAGATCAGGGTAAGTTTATTGATATGGGCCCACTAAGCAGAGACTCTGCATTTAATATTGTAGCTTGGGGAGTCAGAAAGGACTCTAACAGTTTGGTTGGTGGACCCAAAAAGGGATCAAAAGGTGGCCCACAGCAAGGGAGTTCAAATATAAATGCCAGGTGTGCCTTGGTTTAATGCCGAAGAAGGGATTAAAGGCTTAAAGACATTGGGATGTTAGAGTGGATTTTCCATTTAAGACCTACTTATATGCCCTGGGAGGCTTCAAAAGACATACCTTTCACCAAAATGGTGAGAAATAAATTTTTGAGGAGAGCCTCAGCATCCTTGATGTGTTTGTTCTCTATAGGCAAGATTTTTAGTGGAAACTAGAGTCACTGAATTGGGAAAACTAAATGTAATGGGAGTAACTGGATCCCAGGTTGGCAGGAGCCAAGTACCAGCATTCAGCCACCAAAATCCAGGTGGGCCTAGCTGACACAGTGGACAGCAATGTCACAGCAGCCACTAGAATAGTCTCACTCGTGGAGACCTATGGCATTGGCTAGTTGATCGTGGTGCTCCTAGAAGTGAAATAGATAGGAAGCCAACTAAATTCTTACTTGATCTGTATAAGCAGAAAAAGTTGTAGGTCAAGTGAATAAAAGTCTAACTCTAATACTGAAAAACAGAGAATCATGATCCCTCAATCAATTATCAGAGGCAAAGTAAGGCCTTTATTCTTCCTGTAAGGGATAAAAGCCAAGTCCCCTTGAGGAAGAAACCCATGACACTGCCAAAAATTTATAATGTTAATCTCTTTCTCAGCCTTCCCCAGAGGAGCTTATGGCCTTTTAACAAGATGACTAAGCATTAGGGAAAAGTAAATAATCAGACATTTTGGTGACTGCTGGACACTGGCTCTGAATTGACACTAATTCCTGGTGGCACTGAACACCACTGTGACTCAACAGTCAGAGTAGGGGTTATGCAGATCAGGTGATCAGTGGAGTTTTAGCTCATCTTATAGTAGATTCAGGTAATCTCTGAACCCATCCTGTGGTTATTT